>NC_000002.12:46250958-46553988 GCF_000001405.40 Homo sapiens
ACATTTTTAAGCACCCACAGAAGTGTTTTATTTCTAGTTTATTTCACTAGCTGAAGAAAGAAATAAGTATAATAGTAATGAATATAGAACAATGAACGAATTCAGCCTGGATTTTTTCTTTTTTTTTTTTTTGAGATGGAGTCTTGCTCTGTTGTGCCCAGGCTGCGGTGCAGTAGCACAATCTCGGCTCGCTGCAACCTCCGCCTCCTGGGTTCAAGCAATTCTCCCATTTCATTATCCCAAGTAGCTGGGATTACAGGTGCCCACCACCACACCCAGCTAATTTTTTGTGTTTTTAGTAGAGATGGGTTTCACCATATTGGCCAGGCTGGTCTTGAACCCCCGATCTCAGGTGATCCACCCGCCTTGGCCTCCCAAAGTGCTGGGATTACAGGCGTGAGCCACCGCGCCCGGCCCAGCCTGGATTATTTTCATCTTTATATCAATGCAGCTATAAAATATGATTTTTAATATATTTTATGAGGGAAGGGTACACAGAACTCACTAAAGTCATAACACAGGTCTGTCCTCACTCCCATAAAACACAGTCAATCACTGCTCAATCTACAAAAGAACTGCCAGGCCACTTCTGGTCTTTTCTCCTCCTCCTCCCATGCCCCAGACTGAGAAGTGCATTAGGAGGAGACACTCCCTAGGGTGTAATTTCCAAGCCCTTAGGACTGGAAGGAGATGGAGTAGGAAAGGAGGCCAGTTGGTCCCTACATATTTTTGTCACTTCCTTTTGAGCGCAGGGCTCCTGCTCTGTCTGATTTTAGTTCTGAGGCACCAGAGGTATGAGGACAGCACCTGTCTGACCAGAGAAATGGTGGTAGAAAAGCAGGAGCAGAACTCCAGCAGTTCACTGCTCAGTTTAGCCTCCTAGGAAGTGCTAGAAGCCAGAACACGTCTAGCCCCAGGCCAGTCACTTCCCACACCACAAATCAAAACAGTTTCTGTCATGCTAGGGTGTCCTCACAGTTTTCTATCTCACATTTCTTCCTGGTTGATCGTGAGGGAAGAAAACCGGCAGATGTACTCCTTAAAGATGCAAATCTTATCTTGCCACTTACCTGGCTGAATAGCCTTTGGTGTTTCCCACTAGGCTTTCAGAGTCTTAATCTGATTCATTTAGGAGAAAGGAGAATTTATTATAACCTCCACTCCTACTAAGGTCCTCTCTGCTGCTTCTTCCCAACTCTCTTTCAAGAAGTATTAACTGGGAAGCTCAGCATTGAGAACTGCCGATTTGGTGCCATAGAGAAGTAGGCAGGCATGCCGTGCGTTAATGAATCATGTGCGTCCATGTGTCTTTCTGCATCCAGCTGAGGAGCAAGTTGACTTAGTAAATGAGTCCATATTTTACTGTACAAACCTGGCTGTATTAATTCCCCTCTACCTCTGATTTCTGCTATGCAATCCCAGCCAGAAGCTGGTGAGCTCACAAACTGGATTTGGGCCTGGGGGGAAGCAGGATATCTTATTCAGCTTAGCGTCTAAGCCTCAAGCTTCAACCCAACCGAAGACCTGCACTTGTGCAGCAATTGAGTGCAATTTCGATTCCTATTTGGCTCCTGTTCCTTCCAATGGGAACTTTGTGGGGCTGAGAGGAAGGGAGAAGAAATAATCTGCAGGACAGGAATCTGATTTTCCAGGATTCCTGACCACGTGCCATCAAATGCCAGCTGCACCTCTTCCCCTGTGATGGTGTAGCTTGTCCAGCCCCTCTGTGAACTGGCTCAGTCCCTATTGCTCCAGTCTTCTTGCCATTTCACCTCTGCCTGTGGCGTTTCTGACAGCTGGTCCTTCTTGTGTGTCCCCAGCATTTAACATGGTGTCTGGCACCTCCCATATATTTGTAGAATGGACATGTTAAATAGGCCTTGTCACCCCTGTTTCCTGGATGTAACTCAGAGAAACTCAGTAGTTTCCCCAAAGTCACACAGCTAGTAAGTGCTGGATCTGGAATCGACATCAGGCTGGCCTGGTTCCCAGTCCCTGCTCCTCTCTACAGGGCAAAGCAGAGAGCTGCTTTCCCTGGCATGGCCCCATTTGTATCCGGAGAGGGAAACTTCAGCTCACAGAGATTACATGCTCTGGTGCTGACAGCTTGTTCATCTCTTCCACTTATCTGCTGTCTATCTTTCTTACTAGTGAAGGTACTGGGGCATAGTTCTTATTAAATTAAGCGTAAGACAAAATCTTTTATTTAAAGCCATTTACCTGTCCATTTCCCCAGGGCAGCTCTTTATTAAGTGATTTCTCACATTTTCCGGATGACTCAGTCAGTGTGATGGGTGCTATGCCTGGAGAAGAGAGAGGGAGGACAGAGACAGGGGCAGAGAAAGCCAATAAAGCTGACTGAGTAGCTGGAAGGGAAAGCACAGTATCATGGCATAGGTGTAGAGAGAGTATTTGAAGCTTACTGTGAAGGCCGTCTGTCCCCACAGAGCTCTGGGAGCTACCCAAAATGTCCTCATCAGCAATTATGCCCTTCTGAGCCACTCCCTCTGAAGTACTGATTTCCCCCAGGAGGAAAAGCAGCTGCTGTTTGCCCTGTAAGGAGCCTCAGGGCAGAAGGCAGGTCTTGTGTTTCCAGAGGCCTGGGAAGCAAGGTGGAAAGGCCTAGAAAGGAGAGGGACTTGGGGGTAATGCTAGAAGCCAGACTTTATCCAGGGTAGAGTGTTGAGGGGGCTGGGCCCCTGTGAGAAAGAAAACCTCTCTAAGGTGAGAGTCGAGGCCTGAGAGTGACACGGCCCAAGGAACTGACACATGGCCGAGGTCTCATTGCCATTATTGTCAAGACTTTGAGAAATCCAGAGTAAACCAGTAAGGAGAATCTGTGAAAAGACGTGGCAACTGTGCTGGGATCCAAGACATTAAATTGGGTGTCCACCTGCTCTCAGGCTCGAAGGCCCTGCATGTGGAATGGAGTGTTAATCTGATGGTTCTCTCAGGCCCCCTCACGCCTAAGGGGGGGGGTCTTCGGCCTGGGTCAGAGCTTCCTGATGGTGCTGTCTGGACCTGACCTTTAAAGACACCTGCCATACCACCACGTGTGGAACATATGTGGGCTCATGAGGCTCAGACCCTGCCCTGAACCCCACTGTAGACAAAACATTTCTGATACTCCACAGGGCTGAGAGCAGGCTGGCTACCCAGGCAACCCGAAAAAATCCAGATCACTGGTCTTGGATCAGGATACCTGGACCCTAATACCAGCTTCCTGTGTGACCCTGGTCAAGTCTCTAAACTTTCTGGTCTCCAACTATAAAATGACGGAAATAATGTTTACCCCTTCTACCCCATGGGGGCTTGGAGATCCAAATGAGATCCGTCTGTGAAGGAGCTTAGAAGAATGTGAAGTTCTCCTGCAGAGGAAGGCAGATGACCAATACAGACATGGCTACGCAACCGTCAGCACAGATGCTCAGTGTTACCAACAAAAGTGGTTGTCTTTCTTGGAATTATTTTAGAAGTGGGTCACTTGCTTTAAAGAAAGAGATCATCATGGACTGGCCACACAGTCCATGACACAGCAGGTCAGAAAGGCTTCCTCCTACTGGGAAGTCTGGGTGGCTGCTGCACCCACATCCTGGGAGATTCCCACCTAGGGGGCCATCAGGTTTGGAGACATGACAGCCAGCGCTGGCCACAGCCAAAATGACACGGAGTAGTTATGGGCAACCCTAGGCTGGCAAGGTTGCAGCTATGAGGTCTCTGACCCCACGGCTGTTCCCCGCCAGATGCTGGCTGGGTGATCCATGACACATGGTCTTCCATTCCCCAATCCCTAACCCCAAAACTTTTCCATCACCTCACAACCCTGTAGAGCCTCATTCTTCTGCTCCACTGTATTTCAAAACTCCTTGAAAGAGTTGTCTGAACTCACTGTCTTCTGCAAGGAGGGTTTCCTCTCCTTTCCTTATTTCTTTTTCTTTTTTTTTTTTTTTTTTTTTTGAGACAGTCTCGCTCTGTCGCCCAGGCTGGAGTACAGTGGCGCGATCTCGGCTCACTGCAAGCTCTGCCTCCCGGGTTCACGCCATTCTCCTGCCTCAGCCTCCCGAGTAGCTGGGACTAGAGGTGCCCGCCACCACGCCCGGCTAATTTTTTTTTGTATTTTTAGTAGAGACGGCGTTTCACCATGTTAGCCAGGATGATCTCAATCTCCTGACCTCATGATCCACCCGCCTCGGCCTCCCAAAGTGCTGTGATTACAGGCGTGAGCCACCGTGCCCGGCCTCTCCTTACCTTATTTCTTAAACTCATTCAGTTAGGTTTCTGCCCCATCACTCCACTCCCGTCAGAGCCACCAATGGTTATCATGCTGCAAACTGATGCATGGCAGTCACTTCTCAGTGCTCATCCTCCTCCACCTCCCAGCAGCATTCGATGCAGTGGTCAGATCACTCCTTCTTCTCTGTGGCCTCTCTTCTTTTGATGTCCAAGACCACCATCTCTTGGTTCTCAACTTCATGGGCTGGTTCTTGGCCTCCTTTGCAGGATTCACTTCATTTTCTTGAATTTCTTGATTGAACCCTGGGATCCTCCAACATCCAAACAAAATGTCTTTATTTATTTATTTATTTATTTATTTATTTATTGGATGTTGGAGGATCCCAGGGTTCAGGCCTCAGCTCTTTCTCTTCACCATCCATACTCACTCTTAGTTTAACCCATCCAGTCCATATTCAACAATGAATATGCTGATAATCCCCAACATATACTTCAGTCCAGACCTTTCCCCTGAACACCATGTATATATTAGATTCCCGTCCAAAATGTCTACTTGGATGGCATCTCAACTGAAATACATCCAAAACCAAATTTCTGACTTTTCCCACCCCTCCTCTCCAATTTTCACTATCCTAGCAACTTTATTTTAGTTACTCCAGCCGAAAACCTTGCCATCATCCTTAATTCTGTCCCTGCTCTCTACCTGCCCCCTCCATGTATCAATCAGCAATTCCTGTCGGCTCTACCTGACTGCCTTATTCCACCCCCATAACCACCACTCGGTCCCAAATCACCCACGTCACACCCGGAGACCTGCAGCAGCCTCTGCACCCTCTCCTTGCTCCATCCTCATCCCCATCCTTTCATCACAGCAGCGAGAGTGATCCTTCCTAACGTAGAAGTAGATCACGCTATACATTTGCCACAACTCGTAGGATATATGCAACTCAAATAGTGACCCCTACTATGAAGAATGGATTTGAGTGGATAATAACGTATCAGTATTGGTTCATCAATGGTAAGAAATGTACCACACTAATATAAGATGTAAATAGCAGGGGGACCTGAGGAGAGTTGGTGTGTAGGAACTTTCTGTGCCTTTCCACCAATTTTTCTATAAACCTAAAACTGCTCAAAAAAATTATCCTAATAGAAAAAAAAGTAGATCACATCACTCCTCTGCTGTAAACCCTCCAGGGGCTTCCAGCTCCTCGTAGGGGAGAGAGGAACAAATCCCCTACAGGAGCCCAGAAGAACTCCTGCGGTGTTGGCCTCCTATGAGTTCTAGAGCCTCAGTCTCATCTCTCCACCTCTCCCTCTCCCCTTCACTGTGTTCTAGCCACACTGGCCTCTTTGCTCTCCCTCAAATACAGCAAGCACCCTTCCCTGCCTCCCCCAACCTAGGGCTTAGCATTTACTCTTCCCATTGCTTGGAAGGTGCTCACCAGATGTCTCCTTGCTGTCTTCAGATCTCACTTTGAAGTTTAGCTTCAGAGAAGTCCTCCCTTACACTCCGTGAAACATGGCACCTCCTCTCACTCTCTCTCCCTTTCTGACACTTTATCCTTCTTCTCTGCATGTAGCACCATGTGACCTTTAGTAAGATTATCTTTGTATTTCCCCACACGTCACTTCCTCAAAATTAAAAGAACAAAAAAGTCCTGAAGTTTAGAACTGGATCACTTGGCTCTTTCTCCTCTTATCTCCTCCCAGCTCAAAGTGCTCGTATCTCTGAATAGCCAGCATCCTCTTGATCTGCAGTTGGGTGCGACATGTTCCAGCCTTGGCACAAAGCTCTTGGTGATGTTAGCCTTCCTCTGGAAAACTGGCTTTGTTTGCCCACCATTGCCACTCTGTTTCCCATCACAGCACTCCTTCTCTGGGCACTCAGGGAATCCTTGCCCTTCTTATACCGGGTGGCTCTGTGAGGCTGATGTGTACCACACTTCTTATAGAAAGTTCTTCGGTTTCCAGGTACTCTGACATCTTGCAGCGAAGGTGTCTACACGGTGAAAATGGAAATCTGGCATCTGCCCTCTCTGCCTTGCCCTGCTGGAGCCTGTCACCTGATGTGTCTGTGTAATTTTGTTGTCTTCCTCTACTAGAATATAATCACCAGGAGCACAGGAACTTTGCGCATTTTGCTTAATACTGTATCTTGAGGGACCTGCCCCCATGATCCAAACACCTCCCACCAGGCCTGATGGGATGCCTAAAAAAATCTGGGTACTGATTGATGTTTAATTAATATTTGTTGATGTAATGAATTACAAAAACAGAACAAATTAGAGTCCTTCCAGGCTGTCGGCCCTGGAAAGGCTCAGAAAGTCAGGAGTAGTAGGAGCTGCGTAGCCAGAGGATAAGAGTGGCTCAGTCGCCATAATGATGCAGTTTGACAGAAGGAACTTCAGCATCTGTTGCTAAGGGGTTGGCTAAACACCCATGTCACTCCAGCTGTGTTGTTCCTAAACAATAACATATTTTCCAGCTGGTGATTCAGCCTCCCTGAGATCTGGCTTGTAGTGCACTTGAGGTTGTTTCCTGTTCATTACGCTCTGTACACTTTCAAAAAGCCCTCAGTAGCTGAATTAACCCAGCTACCTTTATTTGCAAACAGAAGGACTCAATTTATACAGAGAGGTAGAGAACTATCCTCATGCCCAGGTCTAAAAATTTACTATCAGTTTAACATATTTTACCTGCTTGTATTCTTGTGGTTTATTTTCGTTTCTTGACCAACTTCAATTTGTTCCAGGTTTCGAGGAATCAAAAACAACAGATGATAATGTTACCTCAAAATTTTTGATGTTATAAATAACATCTTTGCAAACAAATCTTTCTTGGCATCTCTGATCGTTTTCTTTGTTTCTCTTTCTAACAGAATGAAGCTATGAATCCTGATTATGCTCAAGTGTAAGGTAGGGTCTTTTTTTTTCAATCCTAAATTATTCCTCAGAAAAGAAGAAATCATTTATTGTCACGTGCTTATTGTCACGTGCTTATGAATGCTTTTATTAGCAGCAATCTTTAAATTATAGTTCACCTTTGAATAATGCCCTCATGCAGTTGAAAATCCATGTCAAACTCTTGGCTCCCCGAAAACTTAATTAATAGTAGCCTACTGTTAACGTGGAAGACTTACTGAGAACCTAAATAATTGATTAAAATATATTTTGTATATTATATGTACTATATAGTGTATTCTCACAATGAGGTACGCTAGAGAAAAAGTGTTATTAAGCAAACCTTAAGGAAAATAAAATGTATTTATTAAGTAGAAGTGGATTATCACAAAGGTCTTCATCCTTGTTGCAGGCAGAGAGAAGGAGGAAGAGGAGGGCTTGGTTTTGCTGTGTTAGGGGTGGCTGAGGTGGAGGAAAATCTGTGTACAAGAAGACACCCGCAGTTCAAACCTGTGTTGTTCAAGGATCAATTGTGCTTTATCTTTTAACAGCAAAGTGCTGTTGGAAGAAGATACATAAATTTAATACTTCTCAATCCTGGACGGAATGTTGGGGGTGGAGGAGTTTAAGAAAATACTGATGATCAGATCCCACCTGAGACCAAGAATATTAGAATCTCTGGGGTAGTACTGGGCATTGGTATATTTTTTTAAGCTTCCCAGCTGTTACCAGTTCATATGGATTGGATATTTGTCTCCTCCAAATCTCATGTTGAAATGCAATCCTCAGTGTTGGAGGTGGGGCCTGGTGGGAGGTGTTTGGATCATGGGGGCGGGTCCCTCATGAAAGGCTTGGTGTCCTCCCCGTGATAATGAGTGAAGTCTTGCTTTATTCATTCACGTGAAAACTGGCTTAAAAGAGCCTGGCACCTCTCTTGCTCCCTCTCACCATGTAACACGCCTGCTCCCCTTTGCCTTCCACCATGATGCAAGCTTCCTGAGGCCTCACCAGAAGCAGATGCTGGCACCATGCTTCATGTACAGCCTGCAGAACCATGAGCTAAATAAACCTCTTTTCTTTATAAATTACCCAGCCTTGGTAAATGCAATGCAAAATGGACTAATACACCAGCGTAAAGCTAGGACAGACAGCCTCTGTCCCTAAATGACCTCAGTCCTTGCTAATTTTGTGTATTTATAGAAGCCACTTTTCAGAGTCAATGTCCAAGAAGCTAAAGAAATTTAACTTTGATTTTGTCATTATTCTTGGAGGTGTGGCTTCCTTCTCTTCTTATCAACCCATTCTCAGGAAACTGACAAGCTCAGTCACACTGAGGTGTTAATGACTGATAACACTTCATGTGTTAGTTTTTTAACAGAATATTCCTTGCCCTGAACAGGAGGAGCCATGGGGGCCTTCTACATCCACTCCTCCTTTTCCACCATTCTGTGGGTGACCAGCTGCTTCCTGTAAGGCCTGTCCAGATTCCTGAGAGAAGCGTTAGGGCTTCTGGCCATAAAAATAGGGTGTTCCAAGGACATAAGCAGGGCAGTGAGCAGGGCAGTGTCCCTTTAATTTGCTGCTGGAATTGGGCAGCATCTGAGATCAGGACCTTTGAAATATTTATCTGCTTGTTATTTATCTGGGCAGGGTGCAGGGGAGAGGAAAGGTCCTGGGAACTCTACCCAGAGTCAGGGAGAATGCAGGGAAAACTTTGCTAAATTTGTTTTAATAACTTTTACTGTAATTTTTTATTGTAAAAGTAACAAAGCTTACTAGAGAAATTTTGAAATATACAAAAAAGTGTAGAGAAGAAAGAAACCACCTATAATCCCACAACCCAGTGATAGCCAATGTTAACAGTTTGGCATATTTCCAGCTAGAGCTCTTTTTTAAGCACAGACACATGCGCTGTATAGAACTCTGTATAATGTTGCATCCTCTTCTTTTCCTTGAATGTTACAGCATAAGCATATTCCTATGTCATTAAAATTTCTCTTAAAACATAATTTGGAATGGCTCCATAGTATTCCCTCATTTGTTGTCTCACAATTTATTTAACTAATTTCCTATTGTTGGATATTTAGGTTTTTTCCAAGTTTTCATTTTATGAAGATAATGAGACTAGTAGCCGTTCACAAATCTGCTTGTACTTCTGCTTAATTTTTAGTTTAATCTTTGACCAGAAAGTCAACACGGTTTTGAGAAAAGTCTACCTTTTTTTTTGTTTTGCTTATTGTTTTTTTTTAAATGGAGGCAAATTTTATTTCACATAAAATTCACCATTTTAACTATTTTAAAGAGTATTTTTTGTGGCTTTTAGTACATTCGTAATGTTGTGCAACCATCACCACCATCTAATTCCAGAACATTTTCGTCACCCCAAAAAGAAACCCTGTACCCATTAAGCAATCACTCCCCATTCCGCCTCCTCCCAGTCCCTGCTTTCTGCCTCTGTGAATTAAAGCACACTGTTCTTGTTCTCAGGAACACCAGGATTCAAATCCTGGTTCACCGGCTGGCTAGGCTTATGACTGTAGGAAGTTACTTAGCCCTCTTCTGCCTTAGAATCCTCAGGTGTAAAAACTGAGCTCTTGACAATTTAAATGAGATATAATATGGGAAAACTCATGGCATGTAATAGATGCAAAATAATTTTGAAAATTAAAACATTACAGCTAAAATGGACTTTTAGAAATAATATCAAACCATCTACTTTACAGATGAGGAAACTGAGGCCCAGAAGGAGTAAATAAGTGGTGTCTTGCCAGTGTAACTATAATTGAGCTTATACCTGCATTACTTTGCAAGCTGTCCAAAGTATGCTACTATAATCCAATGTGCCCAGTATATATAGGTATAGTTCAGTGTAGCTGCACTTGAGCTACGTCTACACTAGTTTGTATACATGCTTTGGAGTGACACTGCTCTGCTTTTTATGAAAAATACAATCCTCACTTCAAATGATTATAAATAGCCCTTGGGCCCAGGAGCCAACAGCTTGCAGAGGCACTGGGGGTTCCATTGCAGCTGGTCTCAGATTAGTGTCTGGGAACCAGGCATCTGGTTACTGTTGTACCATTGTCTCTTTTTATGTTCCCAAAACACCTACAAAGGTGCTAAATAAGCCTAAGGTAACAGTCTCTAAATGTCACTCCACAGATTGCTTATGAGTTAAAAAGGGAAAAGGGTCACTCTACAATGGAGAAGGCCAGTGGAACTCACCTTAACAATGTGGACAAATTTGACATCACCAATAATGGGACAAACTGACATATTTGCCCCTGATATGATGTACTGAGAAGGACATGAAATCACCCATGTAATATTCTTCCCAAAAATGTCTGACCTTTTATCATGAGCATACATAATCAGGCAAATCCAGACTTAGTCTTCAAACAACTGGCCTGGGCTTTTCTAAACTGGCCATGATATGAAAGACAAAGAGGGCAAGAGAACTCTTAAAGGTGAGATGATACCAGAGGGGCTTGACATCTAAGTACAATGTGTGATTCTGGACTAGATTGTGGATTTTAAAAAGAAAAAGGAAAGTATTATGACAATTGGGGAAGTCCAAATATGGACCATGCATTAGATAATATTGTACAATGTTTAGTTTCTCAAAACCAATTGTGTTATGATTATGTGGAACATGTCCTTGTTATTGGGAGATAGATGCTGGATTCTTTAGAAGTAAAGGATCATCATGTTTGTAATTTACTCTCAAATCATTTAGCCAAAAAAAAAGTGTGTGTGTGTGTATGTGTGTGTGTGTGTGTGTGTGTGTGTGTGTGTAGGAAGAAAAAGAGTTAAATGAAACATGTAAACATGTAAAATGCTAACAGTATGTGAGAGTAAGGAATACAGATGTTCATCTTACTCGTCTTTAAACTTTCCTGGATTTGAAATTTTTTTAACATAGCAAGGTTTGAGGAAAAATAAAATGATATCTAGAAATGTACTGTTTGAGATTTACAGTGTTTAAAATTTGGGGGACCAATATTTAAGCATCAAGGAATTTCACTTACAAATCTAACTTTCAACTTTTTAAGGAAAACTATCAGATCTGGCCACACAGGCCACATTTTTGGCAGGACAGCAACTGGTGCTGCTGAATGGTCTCCTTCTGCTTTAAAAGGCCCCCTGCCCCACTTCAATCCTAGGTTCTTACACCCGTGGTATGGGAGCAGAATTTGGACAGAAAAGCTTTGATGGTGGAGAATTTTACAGCAAGCTCTATACAGGGAAGGAGAAGGTTCTGGACCAAAAGCCCTCAGAAACCTATAGAGCAGGTTGGGTTGCCAATGTGGCCAACCAAACCAGCATGACCTAACAGCTTGACCACATTCCTCCTTCCAGACAGATGGCTTGCTAGGATGGGGGCTGAGCCTCCTCCTTCTGACTGGGGACTACCCCAGAGTCTTATCCTTATCAGATGAGGGGCTTCCTGAGAGCAGAGACTGTAGACTTCTGGCCTTATTCCAGAAGAAGGTGTTTGTTAGGCACGCATCTTTGACAGCAGACACCCAAATAACATTTTAGGAATCTTGACCACACCAACCTCCATAGAGTACTCCTAACAAAGTATTTCACTCAGAAGCCTGTGGGTTATTGGTGGCCAACCTGTCACCATGGTGTCCATCATGGTAGCCAACCAATCACAGATCAAAGCAGGCTGGGGCAAGAGCAACACCTCATGTCTTTGCAGAAAATTTTGATACTTAATTTGATACTTAATTGGCTAAGAACTTTGCAGAAAAATTTGATACTTACTTGGCTAAGATAAATCCAATTAGGAGACACATACACCTGACTCACATGACATCATTTTAATGGGATAATGTCCTTGTCATTGGTGGAGGAAAAAGAAAAAGTCAATTCTGGTCTCCACTTCACCACTGACTCAGTCTACAAGATTGAGTGATGCACTTAACTCATCCAAGCCCTCAGATGCCTCACTGATCAATTGGAGCCAATTGTCTGTGCAGGCCCTTTTCACTGGGATGTTGTGATGAGGTGATAAGATATGCAGGAAGGACAATATGTTGAAAAGTATTTAAAAATACTGAAATGATATTAATGTACTATTTGGGGACCGTACTGTTATTTTTCCTCCCAGAGATATCTTCTCTACTTCAAGGTCATCTATTTTTTTTGTTTGTTTGTTTTGTTTTGTTTTGCTTGTTTGGTTTTTTTGTTTGTTTGTTTTCTGTCTGTTTGTTTTGTTTTGTTTCATCTCGCTTTACTTCAAACTTTCCCTTACCCTATCCTGGAGTTCTTAAAGCTCTCAGGAATGGCTTTTCTTGAAGACTCTGGCACCAAAACATACACAGATGCGGCCTGGACACTCAAGCCACAGAACTCCCACAGGAGCAAGAATGGGCCTTATCTGTCTCTGTCACTTTTGACAGATATGAAGAGGCTCTGCCCTGGATCTGGTGTTAAATAGGAGCTCAGTTTGTGTTTGTTGAGTGAATAAGTGAGTGACTCAGGAATGTGGGATGGACCATACCTAAGGAGGGCTCTGTTGGGGAAGGGAGGAGATGGGATGGGTACCAGCATCCAAGATTCTCTGCAAAGCAGGATGGCCCAGGGAGCAGAGAGGAGGGGCCTAGGTTTGGGGCTAGAGGAGAGAGAGACCTGCTTGATTATGTGGAAGAACTTCTGGCTTGGGCAACATCCCCCCTCTCTCACACCCCAGTGATGTAGGAGCCAGTTGGGTAGTGTAAATGGATTAATAATGGTCTATAGCCAGCAGGGCTGAGACTCCATGCCTCACCTGCCACCTGGCAGGACAGTCTCAAAAGCCACTGCGTTCTCAAATTCACCAGGTGAAAGGAAAACAACGTCACTTTAAAGCTGCTCAATGTCACTCTCTGGGTTTGTTTTACATTTCTTTGGTGCAGGAAGGCTTTGGTGTTCTGCCTAGGTATAAAAATCCAACTAACTATATTCAGCTTTGAAAACAATAGATTAATGGCCAGGTGCAGTAGCTCATACCTGTAATCCCAGCACTTTGGGAGGCTGAGGCAGGAGGATCACTTGAGCCAGGAATTCAGGACCCTGTCTCTCTAAAAATAAAATAAAATAAAATAAAATTAGCTGTTCGTGGTAGAGTCTGTCTGAAGTCCTAGCTACTCAGGAGGCTGAGACAGAAGGATCACTTGAGCCCAGGAGTTCAAAGTTACAGTAAGCTATGATCATGCCACTGAGCTCTAGAATAGGCTACAGAGCAAGATGAAAAGAAAAAAAAAGAAGAAGAAGAAAAGAAAACAGTAGATTAAGGAAGGTGAAGTGGCCCACTGCTCTGAAAGCAACCATTCTCAATCCTATAAAACTGGGTGTTTTTGACATCCAGAAAATGCCAGGCACTGTGTTAGACTCTAGAGACAGAGATTTAAAAAGAAAAAAAAAAAGACTTCCATACCCTCAAAGCACTTCTAGTGACAAGAAAAGAGGCAAAAAATGGACAAGTGAATGAGTGGTCAGTGTGGAGCTTGGAGAAGCACCAGGCAGTGCAGGATCCCGGTGGAGGTAGTCCTAACCCAGCCACCAGAGGACAGCTGGAGGCCTGTGGGAGCCGTGGAGGAGGGGAAAAGGGTATTAGACAGTGGTTGTTCAAAATCAGCCACTTTTTAAAAAGAATCATTTGTGTGTGTGTGTGTGTGTGTGTAGACATATATTCATGATAAAAATCATTACATAATACAATTGTTGCTTCTAATCCTAAACTCAAATGCTTTAAACACACAAAGAGTTGAGGAGATGTGATAGAAAGATGTGATTTGTGTAGGTATGCATGCGGAATTACAAAATAAGTCTTTTTCTCCTCAAATTGTTACAGCTCCCCTCCTCCATGAAGCCCTCTTTGACTCCCTCTAATGTGATCCCTTCTCTTCAGTAACCCTAGAGCACCCATTCTGCTCCTCACCTGTGATGAGAGGTGTTAGTCATTTTTATGTTCGTTATTTTTGTATTTGTTATTTTTATCATTCAGCAAGTACTTTCCGAGAGCCTGCCATGTGCCAGGTTCTGTCTCTAGTGTCTAACACAGTATCTGGCTTTTTCTGAATGTCAAAAACACCCAGTTTCACAGGATTGAGAATGGGTGCTTTCAGAGCCACTTGAGAAACAGTTTGGCAGTTTCATATAAAGTTAAACATGCACTTACCAGATGATCCAGCGATCCTACTTCAAGGTATTTACCCTAGGGAAATGAAAATTTGTGTTCACACAAAAACCTGTGCATGGATGCTTGTAGTAGCTTTATTTATAATTGCTAAACTAAACCCAGATGTCCTTCAACCAGAAAATGGACCGACAACAGTGGCATATCCATACAATGGATGAAATGCTACTCAGCGATAAAAAGGAACAAAGTATTGATTCAAACAACAACATGGCTGAATCTTAAATGTATTTAGTAAATGAAAGAAGCCAGAACCAAGAGGCTCCATATTGTATGACTCCATTTATACGACATTCTGGGAAAAGCAAAACTACAGGGGTGGTGAACAGATGAGTGTTTGTCAGAGGTCGGGAGGAGTTAATGACAAAAAGGCAGCATGAGGAATTTGGGGGTGATGGACCTGTTCTGTATCATGGCTGGTGGTGATACACTACTCTGAGCATTGGTCAAAACTCATAAAACTATACATTAAAAAGAATGAATTTTACAGTATGTAAAATTTTAAAATCAGGGCATGGAGTGAACTCAAATCAGGACACAAACTAACAAATGAACCTAACTATATTATAAATGAATAGCACTACCACACTGATGGGGGTGGTGAAGAAAAGAACTAATCTAAGTAAGCAAGCGGTGTTTTGACTGGGAATTGCAAGGTTAAAGAAAAATGAACTATGCACAAATAATGTAGTTAGTAAATTTGTTTCTCGTGAGGACATGTATAAGTAATTCTGAAAATGGATATACTTGGGTTGAACAATAAGTAAATATATTATGAATAAGAAGAGCCCAATTTCCCCCATCAGAGAAAGAAGTTACCAATAAAAACAAACGGAAGGCTAGAATGAACTCTGTGTTACTGGACTGGATGCAAAAGTATCACCATGAACTCATGTTTGTTTATGGTAAAATACACGCAACATAAGATTTACCTTTTTAACCTTTTAAATTGTACAATTCAGTGACATTAACCACATTCACAATGTTGTGCAACCATCACCACCATCCAATTTGGGAACTTTTTCATCATCGCAAACACAAACTCTGTAACCATGAAACAGTAATTCCCCATTCCTCGACCCTTCCCACCCCCAGTAATCTCTGTGAATATGCCTATTCTTGTACTTCAGATAAGTGGAATCTTATGCTATTTGTCATTCTGTGTCTCGCTGATTTTACTTAGCATACTTTCTAGATTCATCCATGTTGTAGCATATATCCGAATTCCCTTCCTTTCTGAGGCTGGATAATAGTTCATTGTACTAGATATTACATTTTGTTTATTTATTCATCTGTTTATGGACACTAATGGTCTTTTAATATATATACAGAGAAGTAGCTACAAAAATAAATATAGAAACGTGTATATTCACATATTAGTGCACATATATAAAAATCCTATCTTGGCTGGGCACAGTGGCTCATGTCTGTAATCCCAGCACTTTAGGAGGCCAAGGCAGGTGGATCGCTTGAGCTCAGGAGTTTAAGACCAACCTGGGAAACATGGTGAAATGCTGTCTCTACAAAATATACAAAACTTAGCTGGGTGTGGTGGTGCGTGCATGTAGTCCCAGCTACTTGGGGGCTGAGGCAGGAAGATCACTTGAGCCCAGAAGGTTGAGGCTGCAGTGAGCCATGTTCGTGCCACTGCACTCCAGCCTGAGCAACAAAGTGAGACCCTGTCTCCTGGAAAAAAAAATTATATATATATATATCCTATCTCTGTCTGCTGAAAGAGCCTAGAAGCAATAGCATCCCAATGGCAATGAGCACACCAACTCTCACAGGTTTGTTTAAAATATCATTCTCCAATAAGAGATACCAGGGAGAAGTGGATGATTCCAGGTCAGGGGCAGGGAAAATGCAAGATGATCCTGAAACATGTTGTGGGACCAGAAAGATATGAGCCAACATGAAAGAGCTCCCAATAGCCAAGGCTGGAACAATGTGAGGAGTAAGATAAATAATGGTAATAATAATATTATTAGATTATAACCAAATAAATATCCATAAGTTTATTCCTATATAAAGAAATAATTGGAGAAATAAATAAGTGGGAAGGAAAGGAATCTCTTCCTTTCAGAAGAATTTCAACTAATAAATGTGGAAGGAATGAAGGAAATAGAAAAATCACCATTAGAACACTACAGTAATAATATTGAAGGCAAGATCCACAAGAGATATTAAAATTAAGGGGCAACACTTTGGGAAGAAAGATATTTGCAAAGTATCTTTCTCCAGATATTTATTAATTACAAAGGTTAAAACTGTAGCTTGACAGTAGGGAAACCCAGCAGACACCACCTTAACCAATTATCAAAGTTAACATCCTCAATAATAAAACATACAGACATCCTGTAGCCCCTGGTATGATAGACTCAGGAGAGCACACTGGCTCTATGCTATTCTTGCCAAAAATCTATAACCACAATATAAACATCAGAAAACCTTATACAAACCCAAACTGAGGGACATTCTACAAAATGTTCCAGTCATGAAAAACAAGGAAAAATAGAAACTATCACAGACTGGGCCAAGAGACTAAAATGACAGGACAACTGAATACAATGTGGGATCCTGGCTTGGATCCCAGAACAGAAAAAGGATATTAGTGGGAAAACTAGCGGAAATCCAGATAAAGTCCATAGTTTGGTTAGTAATATTGTGCCAATGTTACTATCTTAGTTTTGATCATTGTCATATAATGATTATATAAGATATTAACATTAGGAGAAACTAGAAGAATGTATGAACACTCTCTATACTATTTTTGCAACTTTTCTATAAGTTTAAAATTATCTCAAAATAATATGTTTTAAAAAGAAGGAATAAATGCTTTGCTGCTCTCTGTATGTTTTTCAAATATACATCATATGTTAGTAAAGTGGTATAAATGTATTAATTTATAAAGTAATAACTATGACATACTGGTGGTATGTGTGCTAAGATATTTAACAGTGGGAGTTCATGGTTAAAAAGGTTTGGAGACCACTCTTCTTCAGCACGAGCAAGAAGTTCTAGAGATGCCTAGTGTAGTCAAGCTCACATACAAACAGAAAGTGAAATAGTGGCTCCAGGGGCTGGGGGAGGAGAGAATGGGGAAGTATTGTTCAAGGAGTAAAGAGTCTCAGTTTTGCAGGATGAAAAGCGTTCTGTGGATAGATGCTGGTGATGTTGTGCAACAATGTAAATATTCTTAATGTCACTGAATTATACACTTAGAATGGTAAAAATGGTAATTTTACAAGTATCCTATCACAATTTTAAAAAGAAAAAAAGACTGCACAGTTTATCACTCAGCTCTGCACTATCTCACTTTTACATATTTCTCGCAGGTTAGATTTTTCTTCCCACAGGTTTCACGTGATCTAGGTCTGGAATACACCTTGTTCTGGAAGGCAGTGGCACCAGGCTGAGTATCAGTTTATGCTTAGTCCATAGATAGAGATTGACAGGAGTTGGGAAAGGTCAGAGTGCAGAAAGGAAAACTTACCACTTGTGTCCATTTGGGGGAAACTATTAACAAGGTTTCGTTGAAGATTATCTCAATGTCCCAGAGACAAGACAAGCTTCCCTCAGGTCCTTGAAGCCTGGCGACTCCAGGCTCAGATGTAACCTGGGAGATGCATGCTCCTTCTCCATCTTCCTTGACCACCTTCCTGAGGGCACTCAGCCCACGCTGTAAGTGTTCCTTGGTTCTGTGATATCTTCCTACCTGATTTATGTTTAATCGATTTGTATTTGTCATGAACCCATCTGTAGAGGCAAGGTTTTGTCATGGTAATGAACAATCCCCAACATCAATGATTTCAAACTTCAGAGGTTTATTTCTTGCTCACTCTGCACATCTACCATAGGTTGGCTGGGGGTTCTCTGTGCTGTCATTCCTGTGGTTCCAGGATGATGCCACAGCCACTTTCCAGAATGTTGTGGTGACCGTGGGAGCTGGCTCTTGGAGCCTTTGCCTGGAAATGACCCAGGTTGTTTCTGTGCACATTTCATTGGTTAAAGTGTGTTACAGCCAAGCATGATTTAAAGTAGATAAGAAATTATAATCCTCATGCAATCTATTATTGGCGAATAATAATACAGTCCACCACTCCTGTACTTTCCCCGCAACATTTCCCTACTCCCAAGGGGAATAAGTTTTGAGGCTGGAGAGAACGGCATCCCCACTCCCACCCACCCCCACCTCACACACCCTACACCACTGAAAAAATCTTTAATGCCTCTGCCTCCTGGAGGTAAGGCCACAAAGCCCAATTAAGATCATTTGTTTTGGGTTTAGAGGTCTCTGTTGCTGCCCTGGGAGCAACAGAAACCTCTAAACCCGAAACAAATTTAGGTTTATTCGCACACTCCAGGCTGAGTCCATCCAGATGGCTGTGAAGGTCACACCCTACTCCTTCTGGGAGAGGACTCACGGCCATTGATGAAGAGTACTTGTGGGTTGCCCACCGTGGCCCCGTGTGACTCACTGGTTTCCCAGAAGCTAATCAGCCACTGGTGATTAGTGATTCTCCAGCCCATTTCCCCCTCTACTCCTACTGGGAATCCGTAGCTGAATCAGGAGCTGCAATCCCGGAAGATTAGGAGAATCCCTATCCGTTATTTGCATTTTTAAAGGCAACAGCACTCGTGAATTTTTTCCCCTCGTTTTTCTTTTAAAATAATGTAATGTAATCCTTCTTTTAAGATTGAACCCTTAGCAACAGAACACTTGGGAGGGTGCAGTGGGTGCAATGTATCCGTGTGTAAGCATAATTTCTGTGGTTTAGCTGGGTTTTACCTTACACTGATGTAACAAATTATTCACTTCCTATACAACTTCACTGCATTCTTAAAATAACCAATTCACATTGTGCACTTAAAATACTAAATTGTCTCATAAAAATCCAACTTACACCCAACTTTTTGGGAGCATTGTTCCTTCATAAAGCAAAACCTTACTTTGTTGATGTTTCTCAGCAAATTTCTAGAACTACAGACAATATGGAAATGGAGGGTCTTGGATACAACAACTGGAATATTTGTGACTTGCCCAAAACTTGCTTCCTTTTAGGACAGGGGTTTTCTAGCAGGGAGGAAACAGAGTCATACATTTGTTCAACAAACGTTTGTTTGGCTGAGTGTCTTCTAAGAGCTGAGCACTCTGCTAAGTACCCTAGAAGATGGAAGGAGTGATTAGCACCCATTACTCTCTGCTAGGAGCTTACAGTGTGGATGAAGAATCACATTTCACTTGCATGACATCATCCCTAGAGAAGTATCTTCCTACCCAAAGACCCAGTGAGGAAAGTGAGACCTAGAGAGTTTAGGGCTCTGGCCCCAGCCCACACAGCCCCTGGCTGAAATCTCCTGTGTCCAGCTCCATACTTATTCCACTGGACAGGTCCCTCTGCAGATGGGAGCTGCAAATGCAGCCCTTACCCTACAAACAATCCCTACCCTTTTCTCCCGGGCACACATCCCCTTGAAAGTTATCCTTGGCAGATATGACTCTCTCCACCAATCCTATGGTCTCCCAGGACCCAGCCCTGCCAAAGAACAGGCTGTGGCCCCAAATGGGACACATCAGTTAGGCACAGGGAGCGTCCAAGCTCAGGTTTCTCTATTTGCTTAAATTAATCCTTTGTTATTGTTCGACATTAATGTCTTATTAAATCAAGGTGGGCCTTCACTGGCATGTGAATGCTGGTAAGAGTTGGCAGAGCTGGGCATAATTGTGCTCTGGGTACAGAAGCCAGCATCTTGGTTTGCCTGGGTGTGGTGACAGCGGCAGTAGCCTGGAGCAGTCTTTCAGGATGTGGGAGATCTTGTCCGTCACACAGCTAGGAGGTGATGGGACTGTCCTGGCTGAGAAAGGCCACTGGAAAAAGTTGGTCCCTCCTTTACAGTCAAAGCACATGTTTCCCAAAAGGGAAAGCAGTTCTATTGTTAATGGGGAGATACTAATGAATTGAGAAATTTCTCCAAACCTGACCTGCCATTTGGTGTCAAGGCCTCTTCTGTGGAAGTTCTAAGAAGGGGTTGGGAAGGTAAGCTGGGCTCCCCTGGAGGCTGATCTGAGGCCCCCAAAGCTTCTGCAAGAACCCTTGGGGGGCCGATCATCTTAGAAAGCCAGTGAGAGTGCATACACCCACACACAGGCAGGGGGCTAATGCCTTTTGAATCCCGGGAGAAAGCAGCCACCTTGAGTGCAGAGGTGCTGGGTGAGGCAAACTGGCTGATGTGGTACTTATGTGGGATTGCCGTTTTACTCCTTGAGGGATTATGGCTCTAAACATAAACACCCCTGCAGTTATAGTTTAGAGTTTAAAGAAGTGGTCTAACTAGCGGTAGTCCTCCGCCCCTGGGCAGGATGTTATTTAAACTACATGATTTTTCTTTTCTTTTCTTTCCTTTCTTTTTTTTTTTTTTCTTAGACGGAGTCTCACTTTGTTGCCAGGCTGGAGTGCAGTGGTGCGATCTCAGCTCACTGCAACCTCCAACTCCCTGGTTCAAGCAATTCTCCTGCCTCAGCCTCCGAAGTAGCTGGGACTGCAGGTGCATGCCACCACACCCGGCTAATTTTTGTATTTTTAGTAGAGACGGGGTTTCACCATATTGGCCAGGATGGTCTTGATCTCCTTACCTCGTGATCCACCCGCCTCAGCCTCCCAAAGTGCTGGATTACAGGTGTGAGCCACCGTGCCCGGCCACCACATGGTTTTTCTAATGCTTCCATGTATTCCCTCCCATCAGGCCTCCGCTGTATCTGCTCACCTTCTTTAGAGTGTCTCCCACAGAAATACTGTCTCTCCTCTCTTTCTGTACTTTCTTCATTCCTCAATTCCAGGCAGCACAAATGACTTGCCTCTAGTTGAGAATGTTGAAGGCATTCTCTTCATCTTGCATTTCTCGTTGCATTTCCAGATGGTAGCGTAGTGCCCAGCACCAAGTGGCTGCTCAGAGCGTTTCAGAATTGACTGGAATGCTTCCCCCCTGCCCACCTGAGAGACTCGATGGCCTCTGTCAGTGGCTGCTTTCCAACTCCCCTGGAAGCCAGTTCCTAACCCAAATTCTTTACCCCGAATGTCAACCTTCTTTTCCTAAGAAATAAATTACTAGAGATGAGGGAGGGCTTCTTCCTTAGTCTTTGGTTTCCATGAGGAGGGAATTATCTGTGCACTCCTGGCAGGTTACTCCACCATGCCCGACCCCCGACAGAGGTGAACTGCGGTAGTGACTGAGTGAACAGTTTGGGAATGGATCAGGGGCCAGTTGGGTGTGCCTCACAGCAGGTAGTTTGCACTCTAAGGTGCTCTGACAGGGGTAGGGGTAAAGGATCTACCAACTGGGGGCGCCTGTAGCTGGTTGGGGGTCTGCTGAAGCTGGTCTTCTCAAGGGCCCCCTTGGGAAGTCCCTAGTCCTCAGCAGCTCAGTCCATAACAGAGCCGACATCTTTCCCTCCATCCGCTGTTTCTATATTTCAGAACTTGGGGCCTGGCACAGTAGTTCACACCTGTAACCCCAATATTTTGGAAGACAGAGGTGGGAGGATTGTTTGAGGTCAGGAATTCAAGACCAGCCTGGGCAACATAGTGAGACCTTTGTCTCTACAAAAAAATTAAAAAATAGTCATGTATGGTTGGTGTGCACCTGTAGTCCCATCTACTCAGGAGGCTGAGGTGAGAGGATCGCTTGACCCCAGGAGATAGAGGCTGCAGTGAGCCAGGATCATGCTACTACACTCCAGCCTAGGCAACAGAGTGAGTCTGCCTCCAAAAAAAGAAAAAAACAGAATTTGGATGGGGAAAACATGATTGTTATGTTTCAACCTCCTCAGGCTCCAACAGGCCCAGAAAGAAACTTAAGAGGCATTTTTAAGAACTGTCTTGAGGCCCAGAGGCACATGGGAAGCTGGGTGCCCAGGGTCTGGAACCCTATTTTACAGAATAGCTGTCTGGGTCTCTAAATCTGTTCTTGGTTGCTTTTTCTCCTTAGGGCCTCTTGACATGTACAGACGCTTGGCTGAGTCCTGGAAGCTGCAGTGTTGACTTAGACACTGTCCTCAGCCCGGTGTAACTACACAGGGTCAAAATGAGTCAGCAGGCACCCCAGGCCCTCATTCGTTTTCCACAGTCTCCTGACGGAAATCTCTGGGCAGACGGGGAGGTATCAAGGAACCACCAGGGAGCTAGGCTGAATTCTGGGTAAGGCAGGAAGGACGATGAGGTGTCTCAGGAAGAAAGTCAGGACACCCCCAGCAGCCATTCTCCCTTTGTAATTAGAGCCCCCACCCACCCAGCTCTCTGGAGATCAGGAGTACTGGCCAACACTTCCTGTTTAGAGCAAACATTTGCTATAGCTGAACTTTGTGTCCAATCCCTGAAATGGGTACATAGGAAGGGCACCCTGAAGCTAAATAAAACATGTATCTTAGGGATCTTAGGTCAGGCTAAACTTTCAGTGTGTACTTCCTGAGCCAATTGTGGAGAATTCTTAGCTTTCCATTTCCCTGAGGAGTTAACACTTGACAACTTTCACGGAGGAGTGATTGGAAAAACATTGCTCTAAAGAAGTCTTGAAATTTCTGGGCCCAATGTGAGCCCCAAATTAAACAATTCTAGTAGGTCACTGTATCTTTAACTGGCTCATCTCTATGACCCAGATGGAGGGAGGGAGCTGCCTGCCTTGGGGACGTTCCTGCCTTACCCAGAATTCAGCCTAGCTCCCTGGTAGCTCCTTGATACCTCCCCGTCTGCCCAGAGATTTCCTTCAGGAGACTGTGGAAAATGGATGAGGGCCTGGGGTGCCTGCTGACTCATTTTGACCCTGTGTAGTTACACCGGGCTGAGGACAGTGGCTAAGTCAACACTGCAGCTTCCAGGACTCAGCCAAGCGTCTGTGCATGTCAAGAAGCCCTAAGTAACTAGCACTGGGTGATTTTACAACTTGGTTAAACGCAAGCTGTCACTTCCATGGCTAGTGGATTGATCATTTACCAATCTTTAAAGAACAGTTCTGTCAAGCAAACCTAACCAATCCTTCTCTGATGTGTCAGACATATTTCAGGATCTCTTGGGATTTCAGAGTACTCTTGGAACTATCATTCCCATTGCACAGATCTGTCCACTAAAAGAGTAGGAAGCTTATGGGAAGAGCTAGTGCATTTAGTCTAGAGAAAGGTTGACTCAGTCTACAAATACAGGAAGGGCCAGACAAATTTGGTCTCTCCCAGGGAGCAGAACCATGTCCAATACATGGAGGGAGGGAGCTGGCTGCCTTGGGGACATTCAAAGAAAGACTGTATATGCATCAGCCAGGATGCATAGAGGGAGTGTTTATGTCTCCCATGAGGGCTGGTTTCCAAGACATTCCCACCTGTTATGGACTGTATTCCCCCAAAATGTATATGTTGAAGCCGTAACCCTCAATGTGATGGTGTTAAGGAGCAGGACCTTTGGGAGGTGATGAGGTTTCGATGAGGTCATGTGGGTGGAGTGTCCATGATGAGGTTAGTGCCCTTATAAAAAGAGGATGAGATACCAGAGCTTCCCAGCCTCCAGAACTGTGAGAAATAAATGTCTTTGACTTAAACCACCGAGTCTAGGGTATTTTGTTACAGCAGCAGGACTGGCTAGGATACCACCCACGAGTCCTTAATTTCATGGAGGTTAAAGAGATGGGGCTGAGTCTACACCAACCTTATGAGATGCCCTGAACATTATAAAAAAGAAAGAAAATTTGCTCCTTTGTCTCCTCTCAAAAGCAGGCAAAAATTCCTATGGTTTGTACTTTCATTGAATTCTGGATAAACAGCAATCTGACAAATCTTCATGTGTTTTCCTGGGATCTGGAAGGTGCTACTTAGCGATGGCCTGGGGGCAGAGGTATGCTGGGCTTCACTGTATCTTATGAGTCTATGAGCATTCTCAAAAGTCCTGCACTCGGAGATTGTAGTGACAGGTAGAGACCCAAATTACCAGGAGGTGACATTGGCTGAACCACTACTGCCAGAGACCACCTCTCAAGTTTTCTTCTTTTCTGTTCATCCAACTTCTCCACCATCTAATTCATGTGGCAACAATTGAGGTCTAGGTCAGAGGCAAAAAATAAAACATGCAGGAGGCCAAGGAAGAAAGGCAGACCCTTTATGTGGGAAGAGCAAGTGGCTCTCTGCATGGTAAGCCTTGAGAGACACTTATAAAGTGCCTTTGTCCCCACTCCCACCCCATCCATGCTCCCTGACCCCTCATTCTGCAAAGCTCTGCCCCACCACACTGCCATGGTGCCTTGGTCTACTGACTAGTTATACAGCAACACCAAGGCTGGATCCAGGGTATTCATTAATTCAGCAAAGCTCCAAGTAGTCATCACAGAAAAAAATATATGAATCTTGTTGTTCTTCCTTATGTTTCCTTTATTTTTCCTTGAAGTGTTTTAAAGTTACAGAAAAGTGAAAAGAACAATATAACCAGCATCCATATTTTCACCACCTAAAACAAGCCTTCTTTCTCCCATTTGCTTCTAATCACTTTATTTTGCAATAAATAAACATTTCAGATAGAGCTAAGTGTCCTTGTATTCTTGCCCCAATCCTACTCTTACATATCTGTTTGTGTCTCTTTCTTTTTATATAAATAAATATAATGTAATTATAAAATTATGAATAGGTACTGGGACACTGGGATATTTTCAGTGCTTGGGGCCCTGTTTAGAGGGACTTTGGGGTCCAGGAGAGACCTGTCACTCAGCAATGAGGTGACCCGCTCCCTGGGCTCGTGCCCAGCAGCCAGTAGGGCCTTGTGACCTCAAGCTCTCTCTCCTCCAGGCGGGAGAAGGCCAGGCAGGCTAGGGCTGCTTCCTAGAAAGCTCCGCCCAGGCTTCCCCTGGCTGGCTGGGGGGAGGCGTTTCCGGGACGCAAGACCCCGGCAGCCTGGCAGGGCCGCCCTGCGGAGGAAGCGCTTTATTCTCCGAGTGGCACGTTCGCCCCAGGCCGTGCCAAGTGCCCCGCTGGGCGGCAGGGAGTAAGGGGAACCCGCGCCACTCTGGGGGGCCCAACTAGGCCTTGGGGTTTGCAGGGAAGCCCGAGGGCACTCATTTGTTGGTGCCCTAATGATGGTAGCATTTCTTGCACACATGCATACGTCTTACAGCTCTGTGCTGGGCACTGGAATTACAAAGACGGTTTCTTCCTTCATTCATTTGTTCCACAGATAGTCATTGAGCCTCTACCTGTGCCAGGCACAGTTGTAGGTGTAGGGGAAACAGCTGGGGAACAAAATATATAAAGGTCTTTGCTCCCCTGGAGTCACATTCCAGCAGACACAATGAGTAATAGACATAAGAAGTGAGCATATTCTACTGTAGATGTTAAGTGCTATGGAAAGAAAAAAAGAAAGAGGACAGCAGGGTCGGGGAAATTAATAATAGAGGGGGGAGTGGGGAGAGAGTTGCCAAATTAGGTCTCTGGGGGAAGAGCATTCTAGGTAGAAGAAACAGAGCATGAAAAACCCTGATATGGGAGCCTGCCTGGTAGAATGTGATTTATGCAGAGATGGTTTCCTCCCTCAGACACTTGAGCCTCATCTGGACTCTCTAAGCTCCCCTAGAGGAAAAAATGTAAAATTTCCCTAAGGCAGGGCCCACAGTGAGTGGCCACATCTGAGCTCCAATGGCTACTATGATCTGCAGGATAAAATTTATACACCTTGGGACACCCACAGGTATCCTCATTATCTGGACCTCGTGTATCACTCCAGTTCCATTTCCCACCCGTTTCTACTTTCTCCCCTGAAGCTTGACCCGTGACTTCTGGTTCTCTAGGTGCACCATGATGCTTTATTTAGGCCTTGGCTCAGAGCATCTCCTGGAATGTAATAAATGTACTTTGCTCCTACCTGCATTTACCCGAGAAGCCCTTACTCTCCCTTTAAGACTCTGTTCAACATCACCCTCTGTGAAGACTTTTTTCATTTCCCTCTGAACATTCCAGCCCCATCCTCTGCTTGTTTGACACCTGGCACA
The DNA here is from genome assembly GCF_000001405.40 of Homo sapiens. Classification (NCBI taxonomy): domain Eukaryota; kingdom Metazoa; phylum Chordata; class Mammalia; order Primates; family Hominidae; genus Homo; species Homo sapiens. The sequence continues at coordinate 46,277,296 of NC_000002.12, forward strand.
GACCTCAACCGGCAAGTGTCTGGCTACATTGCAGCTATGCATTGACTTGTCTGTGGTCCCACTGGATGTAGTGGTTCTATCTCCCTCACCTCTGTGTCCTCAGCATCCAGCACCTGCCTCGTGCAAAGTAAGTCCTCAAGAAAGACATGCCAGGTGACTGAATGGGCAGTGCTTGGTTGCTCAGGGCCCCTGAGAGGGCCCCGGAGGCCTGCACCAGGCAGCACCTGGCCTGTCTTGAGCTATTTAACAGACTGTATTCACAGCTGTGAACTCCCGGGACAAGGATTTCCTGTGGGTGAGGGACTGGCGGGGAGAAAGGCCCTCCTTTTAACCACAGAAAATGGCAGGCTCGGGGGCATTGTTATCCAAGAGAATAGGAGGAGCCGCCCCTCTCCCTGACCCCACCCTTGCCCTGGGTGCCAGTCTGTACTGGTGCACAACTCCTGGAAACTCTGGTCAGAAATGTGCTTCCTCTCCCTCCCCCAGGGACTCTGAGCACTCCTGGGGCAGTGGCGCCTCAGCTGCTGAGATCAAGGTACACAAAGAGTGTGCTGGGCTGGTGGATTGGCCACCACTCAGCCCCCAAGGCCTGCCCAGTCTTTCCTTGAAAGTCCTTCGCCACTGGTCCTTTTCTTCCCATTCCCACCTCCACAGTCCTAATCCATGCCCCTGGCATCTCATCTGGATGGCATGAATGTCTCTGACTCACCACCTTGTCTCCAGTCCCTACCAGTTCCTACTGTCTCCTGCCAATGTTTAGAATCACCTTCAGATACCTCTTTTCAAAGTCACCTCTTTGTTTGGAAATGTGCAGCAGATGCCTCTCATTGTCCAAAGGACAAAGTCTGGACACTCAAACCTGGCATTCTTAGTCCTTTGCAAACTGACCCCAACTCTCTTGTGTGTACTTTTCCCTACTTCTCCCCTTCACCAGCCTCCTTCCAACAGTCTACACACTGTCCCTCAAATGTCCCAGCTCTGTGCTTTACCCGTCCTGAAAGCCTTTCCCAATCCTCTGTGGCAGTCCAGCCCTAACAATCCTTCTGCACTCCCAGACAGTCCTGGCTCAAGCCATGTCTGAGCTCTGTGTCCTTTGTGCATATACCTCTACAACAGTTATTTGATAACCAATTGGATGGTCAATCTTGAAAACTTTTAAGGTCCCTTCAGTCCTGCAGTTCTATGCTACCATATGTTTTTGCTGTTATTTTTCACAAGTCTGTCTTAGTTCTCCATTTACAGAGTAAGAAACCTGAGGACCAGACCTTGCCTCATATTGGTCTGCATCTTCTGTGATATAGTAGTGCCTGGCACAGGGTAGGAGCCTCAATATGGGTTTACTAATGGAAGATTCCAGACCCCCATCTGCAGGTATGGCCATTCTCAGTAGTTCCCTGTTCAGTTCCCTTATGCAGGGGCTCTCACATACTTGCCTTCTGAAGGGGAGCTGATAAATATATACATATCAATACGTACATATTAATATATTTGTCCTCCAAAGGGAATCTGCATTGTGAAAGGTATCTAGAAAGAACATTCAGCTTTAGTGGTGGGATGCCAGTTACCAGTGAAGGCAAAATGCTTGGCATAGGAACCTTCCTTGGAGCCATCTCCCTACCTTCTTTCCCTGGATGTTCTGCCAGCTCTAGACTGGGGGGATAGAAAGAGGAGAAAAAAACCATTTACAAGGAAACTCCCTCTCACTCCTTCACTCTGTGCAAACTTTACCTCCCTAGATGTCATCCTGAGAAGAAACCCTGAATATGGGTTGTCAGGGTGAAGGGAAGGAGGGGTCGTCCCTATTCCTCCATCACTAGTCAGCAAGGCTGCCTGAGCTCCAGCTGGCACCATGCCCTGAAGGAAGGAGCTAGCTCAGTCCTCCTGGGCCAACAGACCTGCTGGGAAGAGAAATGTTACTCGAGTAAAGGAGAGTGAGACAGACTGTCAATGGCACATAGGGTTCAGAGCAAGAAAGATGTGTGCGGGAAAGAAGAGGGAGGGAGAAACAAACCTGCATTTATTTGAGCATCTGTTATGTGCCAGGCACTGTGCTGGTCACATTCATCATCTAATGTTCTCAACGATCTTGATAACTGTCCTTAGCTCCATTCTCCGATATAGAAGTTCATTTCTTCTCAGACCGTTTCTCTATTGTTCTTTTTTCTGTTTTTTTAATAAGCTCATGAAGTATTGATAGTCATTATAGATATGGCATATAAAAGAATATAAAAGTGTATGGAAGAAAATAAAAATCACATATAATCCCATGCCCAAGATAAATCATTGCTAGCATTTAAGTGTGTGCATTCCTAGTTTTAAAATTCATTTTAAACATATATTTAAAATATGTATATACAATTTTCTGTTCTTCTTTTAATGACCTTTATAACAAAAATTTTCCATGTCATTAAAATTTCTTTTTTTTTTCTTTTTTTTAAATTTTTTTTATTTGATTATTATTACGCTTTAAGTTTTAGGGTACATGTGCACAACGTGCAGGTTAGTTACATATGTATACATGTGCCATGCTGGTGTGCTGCACCCATTAACTCGTCATTTAGCATTAGGTATATCTCCTAAAGCTATCCCTCCCCCCTCCCCCCACCCCACAACAGTCCCCAGAGTGTGATGGTCCCCTTCCTGTGTCCATGTGTTCTCATTGTTCAATTCCCACCTATGAGTGAGAATATGCGGTGTTTGGTTTTTTCTTCTTGCGATAGTTTACTGAGAATGATGATTTCCAATTTCATCCATGTCCCTACAAATGACATGAACTCATCATTTTTTATGGCTGCATAGTATTCCATGGTGTATATGTGCCACATTTTCTTAATCCAGTCTATCGTTGTTGGACATTTGGGTTGGTTCCAAGTCTTTGCTATTGTGAATAGTGCCGCAATAAACATACGTGTGCATGTGTCTTTATAGCAGCATGATTTATAGTCCTTTGGGTATATACCCAGTAATGGGATGGCTGGCTCAAATGGTATTTCTAGTTCTAGATCCCTGAGGAATCGCCACACTGACTTCCACAAGGGTTGAACTAGTTTACAGTCCCACCAACAGTGTAAAAGTGTTCCTATTTCTCCACATCCTCGCCAGCACCTGTTGTTTCCTGACTTTTTAATGATTGCCATTCTAACTAAAAAACATCTTTAGTGCATTCACAGTGTCCCATTATGTGGTGATACAACAAGTTTCTTAGCTGTTCTCCAACTGCTAGATACCTGTTTTCCTATTTTTTAAATTATAAGTAATGGTTTAATCACCATTGAGTCTTGGCTCTTTATACCAACATGTTTCACTGAATTTCTGATTTTTTAAACATATTTGAAGAAGAGGAATTACTGGGTCAAACAGTGTTATTGTGATTTTAAATAGTAGTTTATTTTCACATTTTAAAAGTAATGCTTCTTTACTGTGAAAAGCTTAGAAAATATAAGAAAACGTCATGTATGACCTTTCAAATTACTATTATTAACCTTTTGGGGTGTTTCTCAGTCTATTTTCTAATATATAAGCATAAATATAGCAGCATAAAATTGAGATTATATATTATGTACGTTATTTCCTGCTTATCAGCAAACATTGTATTGTAATCACTATATCATCAATCTATGAAAATATTTTTATTAGCTGTAAAATTCCACTTTAAGAATGCATTATAACCAATTTAAACATTCTTTTACTCATGGCCATTTAGATTTTTTTCCAAAAATTTCCTGTTAATAACTCTGTGATGAACATCTGAACATCTGTGAATATTAATCTTTGACCTCATCTCTGATTATATCCTTCAAACAGATTCCTAGAAGCGAAATTACTAGGTCAAAATGCATGAGCATTGTTAAAGCTGTTGGTACATATTGCCAAATTGTGTTCCAAAAAGCATTCCTAATAACCAAGTGGAGGTTGTCCATCTTATCACACCCTTGTCAATACTGATTATTATAGATTAAAAACTATAGTAGTTTTTCATAAGTGAAACGTGCCTCATTTCTTTAATTTTCACTTTTATTATTAGGGATGTTAAACATGTCTTAAAACGTTATTAGCTACATGTATTTCATCTTTTGGAATTATCTGTTTGTGACTCTTATCTACTTATTGTTTTTGTCTTATATTTCTTTTCAAAATTTATTTATTTATTTAATTTTTTGTGACATGGTCTCACTCTGTTGCTAAGTCTGGAGTGTAGTGGTGTGAGCTTGGCTCACTGCAGCCTTCACTACTTGAGCTCAAATAATGCTCCCACCTCAGCCTCCTGAGTAGCTGGGACTATCACCACACCTGGCTAATTTTGGGGTTTAGAGACAGGATTTTGCTATGTTGCCCACGCGGGTCTCGAACTCCTGGGCTCAAGCAATCTGCCTGCCTCAACCTCCCAAAGTGCTGGGATTACAGGCGTTAGCCACCACACCTGGCCCTTAGTATACTTCTTGTTGTTTTAGATGAACTCTTTATATTTTAAGGATGTTAACTCAATGCCTGTTATATTCATTATTGAAGAATTGTCCAAAAAAAGAAGAAAATAGCATCATTTTTATAGAAATGGAAGCCAAGACTCAATGAGGAAAGTGAATTATCTAAGGTCAGCCAACTGGCAAGTGGCCTAGCTGGGATTTGAACTCAGGTATGACTGGCTCCAGGGCTCTTCATCAGAAAAAATAATAAGACAATAACAGTAGCTGTGGAAGCCTTAGTGGTAGAACTTGAGTATGTTCTGTGGGATGACTAGAGGTCAGCTGTTGGAGGGGTTGGGGACACATATGGGGAAGGAGAAGGAACAAGGTGCTGTGGACTTGGGAGCCAGAAAAGGACCTGGCTTGGTGCCAGCTATGCATCTTTCTACCCATTGCCTCCAAGCTGAGGTACATGCTCTTGGCACCCCTCATCCCTTCACAACCCTTCAGAGGATTGCCTCCAGCTACTTACCCACGTCTTCTCCAAATCTGCCAGGTGTACAGCAGTGCAACCTTTGACTTGCCCTCAACTGTATATTCCCAAGGCTTTGAGGGGGTCCCTTTTATCTCTTGCTCCATTATTTAGGGATGAGAGCAGCCTTGGAGGCAACATTTCCTGCAGAGTTTAGAATCTAAGGACTTCTTTGATCAACTTTTCTTACCCAATCACGCTTATTCCAACCCACAGTTCTATGATCCTTGCTAATTGGCAGGGAAAGAAATGGGAAGAGGAGGGAGAAGAAACAAAAAAGGAGAAGACTGGATTGCTGATTTCCTTAGGAGGGGTACCCATGGTCTCCCATCTAGTCTATAAGCTCCTTCGCTTCCCTGCAGCCTCTCCACTTCTGCCTTTCTCTTCCCCTAGTAGAGGGGCTGCACTGAGGAGGGGGCTTAGTAAATACCTGAGGATAACTGAAGGGGATCAGACTGCTGCTGCAAAGAGCTTGATGCTCTCCTCCCTGGCCCAGGAAGGAAAGGAGGTAAATCATCATCATCATCATCATCATCATCCAGTAGTTTAATCTTGCATTGCAGTGTCAGAGAGGTCCCCTTTGGGGAGTATAGGGAAGGTGACGTAGGAAGGAGGAAGAGGAGAGGCTCCTGGTTACCTGCCCTCTCTTCTCTTTCATGGCTCCACCTGGGCCTGTCCTTAGGGAGTTTGGAAATGCCTAAAAATTTATCTTGGGATTTAACTGCACTGTGGGAAATGGTTGGAAACTTGCAGGTTTTGGAGGCTGTATGGAAGCCGCAATGGAAGGGTAGAAAAGCTGCAGTGTCCCTGGAGGGGGAAGAGAATTGCGAAGTTCTGCAGGTTGAAGGCAAATAAAACAGAAACATGACCTACAGAAATGAATGAAGAGCATCAGAAATTATTAAATACAGCGGTAACTTTAAAAAACATACTCTATTCAATTCTTAATGTCTTTAAGACATAATTATCTAAAGCAATAACAACAACAACAATAATAGTGGGGCTTATGACATACACAGTACTTAGGTATACGATAACAGTAGAACAAAAGATGGGGGTTATAAAAGGGAATGACACTGGTTTAAATTCTTTCATGTGATTTCAATGTAGACTATGAAAAGTTTAAGATACCTATTATAACCCCTAAAATAAACACAAAAGTTAAACAAAGAGATTTAGCTAAAATGCAAATGGAGGAGGCAAAATGGAATACTAATACTTGATTGATCCAAAATATGGCAAGAAAAAGGAAAGAAAGAACCAACGGGACACATAGAAAATACATGATGGCATGTATTCATTGTATATTATCCCCAAAGGGAAGAAATTAGATGATCTCTAAGGTCTTTTCTAGCTTTCAGTGTCTCCAATTTTAGTCCATACCTCCCCCATCAGTTTCCACTCAGGGAAACTGATGCAGATCTAGTTAAGGTTCAGTGTGGCAGGACTGGGATGACAGTCTGACCTGCTGGATCTTATATCTAGAATTGGTCCATCGAGTAGAGGGGACTGTGCTTATGGATTTGGGTTTGTCATTGAGATTAGAGTGCCAAGTTAAGGTGGTTATTAGGGACAGGATTAAAGTTAGAAGAAGGTGTTGTTTACACAGTCAGGCCTAGGGTTAAGGCCACATTTAGAGTCAAAGTCCGCTCTGGAGTTACTGCTGGCTTTGGCTTGTTGGTCAGATTGGAGGTGGGGAGTGAGCCTAGGGCTCAGGAGTCTTAGATCAGTGGGGACGGGGTGACCCAGCAGAGCTTGTGCAATCTCTCATAGCAGCTATTCACTCATATTGGGCATATTGTTTCCCATCATTAATAACTTCTTTTCCTTCACTCTCTCCCAGGACTTTTCTCTCTTTCTTTTATCAATACAGTGCAATATCCATTCATTCAAAAAGCTCTTCATTAATTACCCTCTAAGTGCCAGGTACTAATCTAGGTACTGGGGATGCAGCATCAACAAAACAAAGTCCCTGACGCCATGGAATTGATGATCTGCTGATGGGAGGCAGGAAACAAACACGTAAACAGATAAATGAGATGATTCCAGAGAGCAAAAAGCAGGCAGTGGGACAGAGTGATTTGGAGGACAAGGAAGCCCTGGATTGAGAAGGAGCCAGGCTGTGGAGAGTCAGTGGGGGAGAAGCATGATGGCAGCCTGGTGTGAGAGATGGGGAGGAAAGCAGCTTAAAGAAGGTGAGCCACCTGGACTGTGCTCTCTCTATTGGGAAGCCACAGAGAGTGTGAGCCAGGAGTGACATGGTCTCATTTGAGGTTTAAAAGATGACTCTGGCTGATGTGTACAAAATAGCCTATGAGAGAAGAGAAAACCAAACAAAAAAGAAAAATGGACTAAGAGAGAGGAGCCCTGGATCCCTCAATATGCTGTGTGATCTTGGATACGCCACTTAGTCTCTAACTAAATGCTGATAGTAACATCTGTGTTGTTGATGTCAGAGAAACGAGGTAGGAATCAGTGATAGACTGTTTAAAAAGTTACTTTTAAAGAACAAAGGGCTATACAAAAGCTAAGTCTGTGGTGATTTCCCTCCTCCTTTGTATATGGACACCTGCTTAAATGCAATTGATTATGTGGGGTGTGTATAATAATAATTTGAGTTAATTTCCTCCATGAACATTGGGGCTTCTGAGACGTCGCTTGCACAGCGGCTGGTTAGCTAATTTGGTTAATGAGGCCAGACTCAGCTGTGTAACCCTAGAGCTAGCCAGATTCTTCCCCTCCATTCCCAGGCCAGGAATGCTCAGAGGCCCTGATCGACAGCTTTTAAGTGGATGTTGCTGGTCACCAGCAGCCCCACTGACAGAGTGAAGATTATTTCCCGTGGCTTCACTGCTGAGGCAGCCCCTGGTGCAAGGAATTCTCACTCCTCAACCTCTGGAAGTCAGATGAGCTTCAAGCCTGGTGGCCCCACATCTCTAAGGCAATTGGTGGGGGTGGGTGGGTGGGAGGATTCAGGATCAACAGAAACCCCTGGGGAGGTGTCCACGTGTTTGTTGTGTTGTTGTTGATGTTGCTGATGAAAGCTTTCCTGTCCTTAGTGAGAAATAAGAGAAATAAAAGCCTGTGGCACATCAAGAAAGGTTTTAGTGTTCCTCCAGCAGTGTTATCTGTGTCCAGCCCTGGCCCTGCAGGCCAGATCTCAGTGATAGGGCATTTTGTTTAACCACACACATGCACAATGCAGAAAACAATCAACTAAACAACAACAACAAAATGCAAGAAGCCAGACCCCATCTGCACATACACTTTGAGTGGTGCTGTAGGTGATTTGTGTGTCTGAACACTGTAGAGGCCTTGGAGATCATTTAATCCTTACAGCACCCTCTGAAGTGGGTAACTTCATCCCCATTTTACAGATAAGGAATTTTTTTTTTTTTTTTTTTTTTTTGAGATGGAGTCTCACTCTGTCGCCCAGGCTGGAGTATAGTGGCGCGATCTCAGCTCACTGCAAGCTCCGCCTCCTGGGTTCACGCCATTCTCCTGCCTCAGCCTCCTGGAGTAGCTGGGACTACAGGCGCCCACCACCACGCCCGGCTAATTTTTTTGTATTTTTGGTAGAGACGGGGTTTCACCACGTTAGCCAGGATGGCCTTGATCTCCCTACCTCATGATCCGCCTGCCTCAGCCTCCCAAAGTGCTGGGATTACAGGCGTGAGCCCCCGTGCCCGGCCCCAGATAAGGAAATTTATATCAAGAAAAGTTAATGGATTTGTCCAAGGCTATAGGATGAATTACAGAGCTGGGAGGCCGACCACGTCAGTCTGATTCCGAGACGCCGTGCTCTCCGGTCCTCAGGCTTGGACAGTCCCAGAGCATTTACTGTACCTTTTTTTTCTCTTTCCATGAAGCCCAGAGCTCCCAAAACCCTGGTAACTCCTCAGGCCAGAGATGATGGAGGACAAGCTGAGACCTCATAGGGCTGGTTTGTCATTCAATCCATCAGAAGACAAATGCTCAATCAGCTGGGCTGCATTAATTGAGGTCTGTGGGGGGTCTGGCAGGACAGGCAGGAGGTATGCATCCCTATGAATAATTTTCGAGCAAGATGCAGCCATGTCTGCGCCCAGTGGAGGGGTAGTGCTGGCCACTGGGAAGGAGCTGACCAGGGGTTAAGGGTGAGGCAGAGTCAAGGGATCCAAGGCATGTCTGGAAGAGGGCAATGCCATGGGTTCAGATGCCACCACGGGGAAGCCAGAGGTCTGACTGTTTCCCTTCCTGGGGCCTGGGACCCTTCCAGGGTCCAGGATCCCTCTGGATCCTAGGAGAGGCCAGGCCAGGGCCACTGGGAGCACCAAGCAAAGCCTGCACCCACATCTCAGGCTTGCCCGAGTGGCCCAGGTGCCAACCCTGGCCCCCTGTCCTCCCCTCCAGAGCCATTCTCGGCACTGCCAGCTCCTAGCTAATGTCTGGATGAGTGACTGAGGCTGCCAGGGTCTAGATACAGGAACAGGGCTAGGAGCAGGGGTTTCTTTCTACGTGCGAGGAGGCCCCAGGAGAAAAGGGAAAATCAGGGGAAGGAGAGGTTCTCATGGAAACACTGTGTGGGGCCAGGGCCATGCAGCACCCTCTAATTTGTGGGGCTGGGCTGACAGCTCCCCTGGGGTGACAAAGTGACTGGGTGTGGGGCAGGTGGGGAGGGAAGGCAGGAAAACCTGTCCTTCCTGTCCGGTGAGCCTCCCTGCCTGCCTGCCTCTCTCTCAACACTATTTTTAAAGTATAACCAGAGGCTTACCACACTCCCACCCAACTGCTCAGGGGCAAGGGGAGGGAGTTCACCCAAAGAGTCCTGCACTAGTGGGGCAGGAAGGGAAAAGGGCCTTCTCCTCCAGAGGCAGGCTAATTTAGCAATGGCAAAGAGCAGGGAGAGAGTCTTTCCCAGCACTTAGAAATGCTTCTGAATTTTAATAGAAACTGATTTTTAAATGATCTTAAATAGAAACTAAGCTTTAAAATGTACTGAATTTATACTACCTTAGTGTACAAAATTTAGTTTCTTTGGTTCCTTCTGAGGCTATTTTATCTTGCTAATGCTCTCCCTTTGGAAATCCATTATGCTATAAGAAACACCAAGATATTAATGATAGGATATTAATAACCACATTTGTATTGTACTTTATACAGTGACTTTGGGCTTAGTATTGCATTTGATTCTATCCCTAAGTGTGTGAGGTGGAATTAGAATTCTCATCTTGCAGATGAGGAAGTGGGGACTCAGAGATGTTGTTCAGGTTGATGGAGACCTGAACCTGGGCTCCAGGATTCAGACTTCAAGCCATGCTCTTCTCCCCTCCCCTTCTCCCACAGTGGGCTCCACAGCATCATCTAATCCAGGGACTTCTAGGCCCACAGGAGAAAAGGGCAAGTTAAACTGCTTCCTATCCCATGTCTAGCCCAGCTTGGAGCAGCTTAGCCCACACAGACCCAGGTCAGATGAGTTCAAACCCTTATATTTATATTGGGCTTTAGACTTTTCTTATCTTATGTCTCAGTTACTTCTCCACCATATGAGGAAGATATGTTTCCTTTAATTTGGCAGAAAAATAAAGTTAGGAATCAGTGGGAAATGGGACCTCATTGCATGTCCTAACGCCTTCTCTCGGGTTCTCTCTGCCATACCTCTCTAGCATTCCTTACCCTCACGCTACCCCAGAACCACCCCAAGGCCCAGCACAGTGTTGGGTTCTTGGGTACTGGCCTGAGTGACTTAAAGCCGTTCATCTTTCCCTCCAGCTCCTCATAAGCAGTCTGGCCAGGCCTGCAGAGAGGAGCCTCTGCTGTCTCTCATCCAAAGACAGTGATGGAAATAGCCTTCCTATCTCTGTAATCAACATGGTCATTGAAACCTTCAAACTCAGTAGAAACTTCTGGGAAAAAAAAGATATATTTACGAGAAAGAGGAATGGGGAAATAAAAGAAGAATTGTAGAGGAGAAATAGAAGAGAAGGAATAGGTACAGAGAACAGGTGGAGGCAGTGCCCAGGGTGAGAAATTGAGTGGAAACTTGCAGGGCCCAAGGACTCCCCACTAGGCCCACTCTTCCCAACTCTAGAGGTCTCTCTAATGTTCCCTATGCCTAAGAATAACTCCTGAGTTGGGCCATGAGGGAGTCTGATTTGCTTTTGACTCCATTTAACATCCTCTGCGTTGAGCAGAGATCACGCCACTATACTCCAGCCTGGGCGACAGAATGAGACTCCGTTTCAAAAAAAAAAAAATCCTCAAGATGCTGTGGCCTCCACAGCCATCCATCTGTACTTCTAGGCCACAGATACTAATCAGTGTCCCCTCCAACTTCAGGGCTGCAATAATTGGCTCTTTGCTTAGAGTAATGTACTCCAGGAGATTCCAGAACTCATGGGAATGTTGCTCTGATGCTAATGCCTACTGTGCAAAATTTCAGTTTTAAGAGAACATTAAAGTTTTATAAAAATTAGGCTGAACAAGAAAGATACATCTTCTTGGGAAGAACTTGAAAAAGGTGCCTGGTAACCTGAGTCAACTGCTGCACAGGTCAAAGGCATCTGCACTCGGTTCCACAGATGCTCCTGGAGTTTGCAGAAGAATACTCACTACTGCTGTGATGGCCACTTAATTATTAGGAACAAACCCAAGGTAGGAGAGCTGGAATGTCATGACTAAAAGATGAGGGTCATATCCCACTCATCTCTAGCATAGGCATTACTGTCATCCTCAAAATACCCTATCAGGCACTAACTTAGGTGGTCTAAGTACTGCACAAAGTCAGAAGCAGTTGATAGTCTAGCATGGGCAATAATAACTAAATCTCTGCAAAAGGTCTTTTGAGTTGCTCCTGTATGACCTGACATTTGCTTTGCGAATTATCAGAGAAGACTCTGTCCCAATTCTCAACCCAGAATGCTCTTCCTTCCCTGTTCTAACTAGCAAACTCCTGGTCACCCCTCAAGCTGCAGCCAAAATGTCACCTTTTCTAGAAGCCTTCCCTAAGTTCTCCTCCCTCCCACCTCCATCCCCAGGCAGAGTCATTTCCCATTCTGAGCTCCCAGAAAAATGGGGTTTTCTCTTTGGAGGTGTAGTATTTTGTTTAGAAGTCTGTCTCCAATAGGAGAGAGTGAGCTTTAGAGGGTAGAGCCGTGTGTCATTCATCTTTCTCAGCTGAGTTTCAACCACATCCATGCATATGGACTGGACAGTCAATAGATGCCAATGAGTAGAAGAATTACTAGATGAAATTAATTCAACAAAGATCAGAATGCATGCAGTCAAAGGGGATGGTGCCTCAAGCACAGTGGAATTTGAAAAGGAAATTGGAAAGCTGCATTGTGTAAACACCATCGTTTTATTACTTATAAAATGAGCTTTCTACTCTTAACAGGCAAAGCTAACTTGGAATTGTGTATGGCTCTTTTCAGTACTCTTATAATTAGGCTCTTAATTATTCTTTAAAACCTTGGGCACATGAACTTCACTCCGTAATTCTTTCATACACAGTGCACTCTGGGTTCTCTGCCTTGAGGTCATCTACTTAGAGATTTACCCCTGGCATGTTTTTAGGCCAGAAGGCATCTCTTCACCATAAATTACTATCTGATCAGGATGCATTTTAATCTAGCCTAAGATAGAAGTAATTAGGAGAGCTAATCTGCTATCATAGAAAATTAACAATTAAGATAGGGCATGCTGGCTGGGTGCGGCGGCTCACATCTGTAATCCCAGCACTTTGGGAGGCTGAGGTGGGTGGATCACTTGAGGCCAAGATTTCGAGACCAGCCTGGCCAACATGGTGAAACCCTGCCTCTACTAAAAATACAAAAAGTTAGCCAGGTATGGTGGTGCGTGCCTGTAATCCCTGCTACTCAAGAGGCTGAGGCACAAGAATCACTTGAACCCAGGAGGCGGAGGTTGCAGTGAGTGGAGATTGCGCCACTGCACTCCAGCCTGGGCGACAAAGTGAAACTCTGTCTCAGGCCAAGACCCATTGCCTAAAGGTTTTGAAATGTCTGTTTCTCGTCTTCCTTCCACTGGGGTAGATCATTGAGCACACAGGGGCCAGATGGCCTTGAAACCCCAGGATCCATACACCACAGACTACAACCCTCTGAGGAGACCAAGAGAAAATCCTCGGAGTTTAAAATCTGAAGTATTTACAGTCACATTCTCAGCATTGCATCCCTGGTTTTCTTCAAAGGGCAAAGACTGAGGTATGCACTGAAGAGAAATGAAAAGTTTCCAGTGAGGTTTGTGTAGAACCCTATTTCTGAGCTTGGCACCAGGTAGGTACATGAGCATGTACATGTGTGTATGTGCAGGTGCGTCTGGGGATACTTCAGTGTGTGCTTTAGACATCACCCCTGTATCACTGTTCTATAACACCATGACTTTGGAAGGACCCACATTCAGTCCCCAGAATGATGCAGATATAGAAGGCCCTTACACAGTCACTGGGAATCATAAAGGGGCAAAGATTTTCCTCATTCTTCGTATATTATTTTTTGAGTGTCCATTTTATGCCAGGTTCCCTGCTAGGCATTGAGGACGCCAAGACATTTTCCCATTTAGCACCTCTACCCCATCCCCTTACTAGCCTCACCTTGGCCCCTGTAGAGTAGGAGGGAGAATAAAAAACAAGGAGTAGGAGATGCCTCTCTGTCTGCCTTCCTTCCTTCCTTCCTTCTCTCCTTCCCTTGATCCTTCCCTTCCTTCCTCCCTCCTTCTTTTTCTCCCTCCTTCCATCCTCCTTCCATCCTTTGTTTCTAGCATGGATGAAGTATCTCTTTGACCTTCCCTGGCCATGGCTGGTGCTTCCCTCTTTGGTACCTTTGTCACCTTGTATGGAACCCTCTTGGTCCCCTGGGACTGCAGTCTTCAAGAGTCCAAAGGGGCCTCTCCTTCAGCTGGTCACTTATGGTCCTCCTTCAGCCTCTATCTCCAGTTGGGCCTCCACCTTTTTCTGCCAAGGTCTTTTTGAAGAAGCCCATGTGGACAGAGTCCCCTTAAAAATTGCTGGGCACAGTGGCTACTTGGGAGGCTGAAGCAGGAGAAGTTCTTGAGCCCAGGAGTTCAAGGCTACAATGTGCCATGATCACACCTGTGAATAGCCACTGCACTCCAGCCTGGGCAACATAGCAAGACCCTCATCTCTAAATTTTTTTTTCCTTTAATTCTAGGTGGTTATTCTTTTTTTTTTTTTTTTTTTGAGGTGGAGTCTCTGTTGCCCAGGCTGGAGTGCAGTGGTGTGATCTCGGCTCACTGCAACCTCTGCCTCCCAGGTTCAAGTGATTCTCCTGCTTCAGCCTCCTGAGTAGCTGGGATTACAGGCACCCACCACCATGTCTGGCTGATTTTTGTATTTTTAGTAGAAACAGGGTTTCACCATGTTGGCCAGGCTGGTCTCGAACTCCTGACCTCAAGTTATCTGCCTGCCTCAGCCTCCCAAAGTGCTGGGATTACAGATGTGAGCCACTGTGCCTGGCCCTAGGTGGTTATTCTTCTTGCAGTTTCCACATCTGGTACCTGCATGCCATATGCCATACTGGACCCTGTGATCCCTGCCCAGATCTCCCCTTAGGAATGAAGGACACATTCCCCCAGATGCTGTTGCTCAAGGTCACAGCCTTTCCCCAAGGTCAGCCAGGAACAATGACCAATCTATGGCAGGGGTAGAAAGGCCCCTTGACTCTGCCTTGGGACAACTCTGAAGGGCCATCCCAGCTTCAGATCCGGGCAGTGGGGGTCCACTTCTCTCTGATCCTGCTTCTTCTCCTTTCCTCCTCTGGGTGCTATCCCAAGAGCACTCTAATAAACCTTCCTCATGCTAATCTTCCCCCTCAGAGTCATCTTCCAGGAAACTCAATCTGCCACACACTCCCTTGCCATGATATAGGCAAGAGGGAGTGACTTCCAAATGGAAATGTCCTCTACAATAGGCCTCTTCAGCCAGCTGCTCACCAGTGGGCAGTCTCCTGTGTTCCACAAGCTCCAGGGACAGATATCAAGCTCTGTGTGTGGTCTCAGGTAAGCCCTAGTCACTGGACTTAAGAGACAGGAGCAAGGCATGTCCTCTCTCCATGGTATGGGGAGGAAAACTGATCACAATGTTGACAACTCAATCCTAGAACTCCAACTTTGAGTCCTCTTCTGTATCAATCCATGCACTTTCCTTGAGGTGGACAGTGGCTGGAGAAGGTACACAAAATCATTTTCAAGGAGCTCTTGTGTTCCGCATTTTGGAAGTGGGAGTAGCTGGCATTGATTGTCTTGGGAACTCAGTTGAAACTGAAGTAGGAAGAGTCCCATTTTAACACTTTGCTACAGGCCAAAGCAATGCCACAGAATAGGGAGGGTGTCTCTGACTACACCCCAACCGGCCCTGTCCTCTATGCCTGTCTTAGCCAGGTGCCAGAGAAAATCGGATGCTTGGGGCCCAATGTCATCATTTTTAGTGATATAGCACCTTCATTTCTACTCATGCCTTTTTCTAAGGTGGGGCTGGCATGTCCTTCTTATTGGCCATTCCTCCCACATGGGTGTTATTTTATCACCTCAGAGGTCACACTCATCAGCCCGGCAGCTGGGCCAGTCCAGGCTAGGCTTCTCTGGGTCCTAGCAGTGGACATGGCTGGGACTCCAGATTTTCTGGTTGTTCACCACCACCAAATTCTTACCACTCCTGTTGTTTAGGCTATAAGATTTTGCTCTCGATTTTCAAATTTAAAAATGTTAAGAGCATATAAATTGTACATATTTACCAAATTAAAAATTGGGGGAGGAAAAGGAATTACCATGTCAAAAGATACCTGATTTTGGAAGCCTTAAAACGTGTGTATTCAAAATCTGGGAAATGCAGTATGTACCCAACTGAACTATGTCCTCTTGGAGGGAAGGAAACCACCAGTGCCCTCTTCCACAGACTGATGTCTTATGCTTTCCCGGAGGCAGCAGAGCACATTGGCCCTGGACCAGTGACTCTTTCACCATTGGTTGAATGACAGTTACAAATGCACAACTCCCTTCAGAGGCAAAACTTCATTCCTAAGCCTAGCAATGGAAGATGTTAGTCTCCAAGTCATCAGTATACAGGTGTGAGGAATGGAGAAGCTGGGGTTCTTTAAAACTGCATCCTTCTTACCAGCAAGCACTTAGGAATTCAAGGAGGAAAAAAAGTTTGACTCTTGCCTCAAAAAAAAAAAAAAAAAAAAAAAGAAATCACAGAACTCTTTTTGAAAGATGACAAATTCTAGATTTGTGGGGTCAAAAGTCACAACATTTAAAAGAAGATACAGCACATGTCTGTGTGGAATATCTCACGACATTGGCCTAAAGCCAAACACAGGGGGCATAGTTTTCTGGACCTGGAGTTCAGTGACAGGGAGTGTGAGTATAGATTTTGTGAAGTCACAAAAGGGGCTGGTTTCGTTTGGATGGAGTAACATGCAAGTGTGAGGGAAGGAGTGACTCAGGCAAGGCTTTTCATAGAGAAAGAGTCTCTGCCAGCTTGTCCTCTCTCCCATCTCTGCTCCTTACCTCCCCTGCTCTCTCCACCCCGAAACCAACTAAATAGCCAGACAAGGGTCAGATGGGTATTACGTGAGATAAGGCATGTGGCAGGACAGAGGCCAGTGTACTTGCATGACTCTTAAAGGCCTCTTTTGCCTCACCCTGGTCCCAACTCCAATATGTGACAATGCATTGGAAGTTGTAAGGTACTAATGAGATAGCCCATCCTTCCAAGAGCTGTTCCTGTTAGATCCCATCCATTCCAACCTAATTTCCAACTGCATCCTGGAACATACTGTTACTTCGATGGGAGTACTGAGGCCATCTTTCTTCCACCAGCCCACTGCATCCCAGGTGCCTGCTCTCTGCCAGGTTTGTAAGTTCACACTTTATCTCTATCCCATCCTCCTGAGGGCACACCCTACAAAGAAAAGAGGAAGCAAGAGAATCAGATTTGTCCCTTGTCAAAACAAATAGGTGTTTCACTGGTGCCACAGCTTTTGTTCCCAAACCATCCAATACAGGGTTGGGGGGCAGGTAGGGAGATTTGCTGGGAGGTGGGCAGTTTGCTCCTATTTTAAGCAGCTTGGGAGCTTTGCCTACCGGTGTCCTCTGCTGCCCTCTGTGGCCACAACATCAGTGTCTCTAAAGACACCCCTCTGAATCCGGGGACCCAGCTCCCCATCCCCCACTCACTGCCCCAGCATCACCTTTCAAAGTTTTTCTCCTCTAGTTCTCCACAGGCTCTAAAAAGTAAAATTGGATGCACCCTAGCCACAGCCTGCATCTGGTTTACACTCTCAGCTCCTTCCTGCAAAGGTTATTGAGCTGAGTCCTGGAAGAAATCTCAGGCCACCCGGCTCTGCTCTAAGCAAGGCTGGGTGCAACCCTTTTGAGAGTTATTATAATGAGTTTTTGGTGTATCTCAGACACTGCCAAAATCCCGGACTTGGCAAGGTGCGGTGGCTTATGCGTATAATCCCAGCACTCTGGGAAGCCCAGGTGGGTGGATCACATGAGGCCAGGAGTTCCAGACCAGCCTGGCCAACATGGCAAAACTCCATCTCTACTAAAAATACAAAAATTAGCCGGGCATGGTGGTGCACATCTGTAGTCCTAGCTACTTGGGAGGCTGAGGCAGGGGAATAGCTTGAACCCGGGACGTGGAGGTTGCAGTGCGCCAAGATCGTGCCACTCCGCTCCAACCTGCGCAACAGAGTGAGATTGTCTAAAGAAAAAAAAAAAATCCCAGACTCAATGCCAGCTGTTTGTGTTAGCCTGGGGATCCTTCACTTATAGGGTGCAGTCTGGCCAAGAGGAAGGAGCTATATAACATGGTTGATGGAATTTCTAACATTTAAGCTCAGGGGTACATGTGCAGGATGTGCAGGTTTGTTACATAGGTAAATGTGTACCATGGTGGTCCACTGCACAGATCATCCCATCACCTAGGTATTAAGCCCAGCATCCGTTAGCTATTGTTCCTGATGCTCTCCCTCCTCCCACCCCTCACCCTCTGACACGCCCCAGTCTGTGCTGTTCCTCCCATGTGTCCATGTCTTCTTAGGTTGATGTGGTCTTGAGTGACCCCTCCTTGCCTTTCCTCTTTAAAAACAAGATCTAAAAGGCTATGTTCTCTATGGGTTGGAGGTGTTGCCTCGATCTGTCAAGCACAGTCCAGGACTCAGAGGCTGTTGTGGTGAACTACTGTAGGCACCTGGAAGCCACCAAGGTGCCCTTTTCCCGCACTCTAGTCCCAAGTGAGGGAAATAAGCCTATGGTTAAGGGAGAACTATCTACCAATTTGAACTCATTAAAATACATAAATGTGTCCACTAGAAATGGCTGGCTGGAGAAGCCCAGTACCAAATCACCCCGTTCCTGAAACCCACCAGCCCCATGAAATAGTTCGCTAGAGAGAGATTTGCAATCTTTGAATTCGTTGACTATCAACCTGTATAGGTGCTCCGTGCCCCGAGATCTGAGAAAATGACAAAATACGTCTACTTCCCGGCCGGGCACAGTGACTCACGCCTGTAATCCCAATACTTTGAGAGGCCAAGTTGGGCAGATCACTTGAGGTCAGGAGTTTGAGACCAGCCTGGCCAACATGGTAAAACTCCCGTCTCTACTAAAAATACAAAAATTAGCTGAGGGTGGTGGTGGGCGCCTTTAATTCCAGTTACTCCGGAGGCTGAGCCACAAGAATCGCGGGAAGCGGAGGTTGCAGTGAGTCGAGATGGGGCCACAGCACTCCAGCCTGGGCGACAGAGTGGGACTCAGTCTCAAAAAAAAAAAAAAAGTATTTCCCAATTCTTCGTCAGTTTTTGCCCTCTCCCCACTTCGCCTTCTCCAGGCTCCTGAAAAGTATCTCCCCCAACCCTTTCTGTGTACACGGGGAAAACACGTGTTCATTTTTATTATGGCGCTGAAACCTACCCTTCTCTTCAAATCGCTTCTGTAGATCGTTCTAGTATAAAATGTGGCAAGAGGCTAAAGGGAGAGATATAGACCAGTTCTTTGGCCCTCGCTTTCCAACTTCAAGTTACACCTGTGAAACTCATGGGTCCTTCCACAGCCTTCAAAAACTAAGGGCGTCCCCTGTCCTCTCCCCAGATGTCCCTTCCCCATCGCCGGTAGCGAGTGGGAGACAGCTCAGCGCGGGGCAGGGGAGCACTGGGCCCGGAGATGGAAGGCAGCGTCAAAAGCGCCGCTGGAAAATCCCTGAGCGCTAACCGTTGCCTGTGTGAGCCCTTAAATCTACAAATTTCCAACACCTGTAGCCTTTGGGTTTCCCAGGACTTCCATCGACCCTGGCGGCAGAGAGGGCAGGCCTGAGATGCAGTGACTTGAGGGCACATGGCCAACTCTTGTCACTCCAAGATCACACTGGGGAACCAGACTGACTTCTCCAATTCTGAACTCGCCCCGGCCTCGGGCGGCTCAAAGGGCCTCCTCTGCCGCATCCCCGCCAAAACCAAACCGCCTGGCACAAGCCGGTAAGCAACCACCCTGCTGGGAGAGGGAAGGAAGAGTAGGCGCAGCCCTAGATCAATTTCCTTGCACTGCTTCTCCCAGACGGTCAAGTCAGCTGCGTCCCACCGAAAAGGGCGCATCGCCCACGCCCGAAACGCAGCCGCTGGGGGCCGAGAAATTATCCCCACCTGGCCCGAGGGCCAGGGACGCAGGAGCGCAGCAGCGTGGAGGGGCTCCGCGCTGGCCCGGCGCTGCCCGCGGTCCTGCCCTCGTTCCAAGGGCACGGCGCCGGTACGAGGACACCGACGCTGTGGCGCAACTGCCGTCCCCCGCAGCAATCCCGGAGCCCGGCTCCCGGCCGCCCCTCGGCCCTGCGCAGGCTGCCTCTCCCCGACGCGGAGTCCCACCCCGCTACCCGCCGCCCAGACGACCTCATAAACAAGTCCTCGAAGTGCGGAGGCAGGAGGCGGGGCGCAGCGCGGGGGCAGGAGGCGGGCCAGGGTCAGGGCAGAGGCTGCGGCCGCGCGTCCCCATTGGCCGGGACGCAGTGAGCCGCCCGGAGCTCGGCGCGGGCGGGGCCTGCCGGCGCGTGCCCGCCCACACACCCGCGCCGGTGCCCGCCCCCCGCCCTCCGCGCCCGCCCCGTGCCCGCCCCAAGCCGGCCGACGGAGTTTTTAAAGTGGGCTGCCGGCCGCGGGAGCTTTACACTCGCGAGCGGACCGCCACACGGGTCCGGTGCCCGCTGCGCTTCCGCCCCAGCGCTCCTGAGGCGGCCGTACAATCCTCGGCAGTGTCCTGAGACTGTATGGTCAGCTCAGCCCGGCCTCCGACTCCTTCCGACTCCCAGCATTCGAGCCACTTTTTTTTTTCTTTGAAAACTCAGAAAAGTGACTCCTTTTCCAGGGAAAAAGGAACTTGGGTTCCCTTCTCTCCGTCCTCTTTTCGGGTCTGACAGCCTCCACCCACTCCTTCCCCGGACCCCGCCTCCGCGCGCAGGTTCCTCCCAGTCACCTTTCTCCACCCCCGCCCCCGCACCTAGCCCGCCGCGCGCCACCTTCCACCTGACTGCGCGGGGCGCTCGGGACCTGCGCGCACCTCGGACCTTCACCACCCGCCCGGGCCGCGGGGAGCGGACGAGGGCCACAGCCCCCCACCCGCCAGGGAGCCCAGGTGCTCGGCGTCTGAACGTCTCAAAGGGCCACAGCGACAATGACAGCTGACAAGGAGAAGAAAAGGTAAGCGGGCGTCCGGGCCGATCAGGGGGCCGGTCCGAGGCCAGGGCCGGGCTGCGCGGGGCAGGCGCGACCGAGAGTGGTTGGGAGAAGAGTGCTGAGAGGTCTTCGGAGCTCGAGGCTCGGTTTGGAGGGCTGTGAGGGGGAGAGCATGTGCCCGGTTTGGGGGCGCGGATCAGCAGCTTTGCAGTGGAGACTTCTGCGGCTCGGAGGAGTCGGGGATTTGCGCGCACGGCGAGGCCAGGAGGCCGAGGGAGATGGCCTGGAGGTCGGAGGTGCTTCCGCGGTGCCTTTGAAAATCTCCCAGCCGCCCCGCAGCAGATTACCGTGGCCACCGGCGCTTGGAAATGTTTGTGGGTGCATGTCCTCGACTTTCTCTGGTCTCTCATTTTGGGGCAGCATCCACGTCTCTATTTTTCTCTGGATTCGCGGAGTCCTTCCAAATGCGCTCCTGTGCCCGCGCCGCGGCCCAAGTGGGCAAAGGGGGGCGGGAGGCGGAGAGCGGCTCAGGGACACGATCCTACCGAGGAGCCAGGACCCTTCAGAGCGCCCCGCTGCCGGGCTCCAGACCCCACCGAAGGTTGGAGAACCCACTTCCTCGTGCCGCACCTTGACTCTGGGGAGAGTAGGTAGTGAGTGACCTGGATTGCCCTGCGGGGGCAGATGGTTCGGTGTGTAGGAAGCGGACGGCAACACTGGATGTCCCTGGCAGGTCCGGGTGTCTGTCTCCGAAGAGGACAGAGAAGGGCAGCCACGATCTGCCCGCCTGCCCTCGCGAGCCTCTCGGCACTGGGTGAGAGGCAACTCTGGCCATTTCTTGCTGCCCTCTCGCCCTCTCCCGGCCGCTCCCAGTCCAGCCGGGCCCGGCGCTACCCGAGCGAGGGTTCGAGCCCTCTGCGCGGCCGCGCAGAAGCAGGCAGGGCCTCAACTTCTGCAAATGTGTGCGGCTCGCCGCCTGTCCCCTTTCTCCTCCTGTCTCCACCCGTGCGGCCCCAGTGGCCTGGAGCTTCCAGCCCCGCGCTTGGCCGCGGCTTGGCGAGGCTATGCTGCGGGAAGCTGGAATCCAACGCGCGGCCGGCTGAACCGCCTGAGCCGCGGGAAACCAGCGGCGGAGCGGCGGTATAGAGGTGCGAGGATGAGGAGGACCGACTCGCTAAGGGAGGGAGGTGACTGGCCGGGAGGGCTCACTGCCGAGGTTGATTTGCTCTTGTTCCAACTTCCACTACGGGACTGGAGCCAGAAACCGTGTATCCTCCGGTCGAAAGCAGCGGTTCCCACCTCGGGGCACCGATAAGGATTTGATAAACGGGAGCGAATCGCGCCTGTCCTGGCTCGGCGCCCGGGCCCTTCACTGCGGGATCGCTAGGGGAGGGGATTGGGCCCTGCTCCCCTTTCCTGGCCGTAGTCCCCCCTTTCTCGTCACCGTCGCGCCCTCAGACCCAAGACAAGTGAGGGAGCCCTGAGACTGCAGCCGGCACATTCCCAGGGCCCTCGGAGCAGTCCTGGGGTTCCATGTCTTTTGAAGGCAGCAGAGCAAGGAAAAGACTCTTAAGATTCCAGTGCGTTTTGTAAAAACCAATCATAATGCTAATAATGACTGAACCATCGAAAAGCAAAGTTATAGACAGCGCCTGCAGACGCTTTCGGGTCCGGAGCCGGGGAGGGAACTTGTGTATTTTACAACTGCGATGCCTATCGGGAATGTGGCAATCGCCGAGGTGGGGCCTGACAGTAATCTTGACAAATGTGTGAAGTGTCAGCTCCTCCTGCGCTCCTTAGCGCCGGGTTTTGTGCAGTTTTGTACCGTATATACCGAGAAACTTGGGAGCAGGGGAAAAATGATTTCGACACACCCAGCTACAGTACCTGGTTCGTTAGCGGACTGTTGGAAAGAGAGAAGAAGCGGGAATGGGAGCGGGAAGAACGTTGCGTAATTAGACTCCCAATTATTGGCGAGAGCGGCCGCTTTAAGAACCACTGTGGGGACTGCCTGCGAAACGCCTTGGAGGCCGCTGTGTGAGCTGCGGCTCCGGGCTGGTGGCCACGCGAGGGTGTCCGCCCTCTTCGACCTGCCTGGATTTTTGTGCTGCAGAATGGCAGGGCAAACAGCGTGTCCTTCACCATCTAGAGCCCCTTAAGGGGTTGTCCAATTCCTATTGGGCTAATCAGTTTGAGACTCATTTACTTTTCGTGCCTGGGTCTGTTTGCTGGCTGCAGGCTTCTTTAGGGACCAAGATGTAATTAAAATATGTGAACCAATACATTGAAAGTTGGTGTTGTCATGTAAGTGACTGCTGTAGCTTTTCTGAGTGCCTCACAAGGGCGATGTGACAGTGAGGGGGCTCTCTGCTGATGATTCTGCCCACTAGTTCTTACATTTTGTGTTTCTTTGGTTTAGCAGAGCAGTTTCTTCCCCCAAATGCAATATGGGCAGAACATTTGGAATATTCGTTCTAACAATGGCCCGTCAAGAAGTGGGCAGATGATTTTGTCCCAGAATGTTCACACGTCGATAAATATGTTAATGTTTAATAATAAAGAGTTTGCTTTCTAAATGTTAGTTGGCTGGGTGTCCTTGATAGTACCAGTTTTGGTGGTAGTGGGCATTTGCGGTGACATCACAGATGTCAGAAACTGAAGCCTGGTGGGTGGGGGTACTGCACTTTCACTCACCTTTTTGTGCACGCATCTATCAGGAATGCCTGAGTCCTTTCACTGGGAAAAAAATGTGGAAATTCTGGGATTCACGGGGTTTGAGGAGTGGTTCAGGCAAATGTAAATGAGATCCTTGGATAATCAGGGATCAAAGTCCAGTCCCAAAGCCAGACCTAGGTCCAGACACCTTCCCAGAGTGCTTATACAGTAGTGCTCAGTACAGGGCTAGCGTGGAAGGGGAATTGGAGACACCTGGATCTCCAATCTCCCCCTCCTTCTGACAGCTGGACTTAGTTGTTCCTCTTCTAAAATCAAATCAAACTCCATCATTATTCCAACTCTGAAGGGAAAAAATATTGCTGGACAGTTTCTCTCAATTTAAACATATATTTTAAATAAATATTCCCTCCACACTTGATATGTTTCCATTGTATTACCAGCAGCGCAGGATGATACAGAATTGATGTAACACATTGTTGGCTTGAGTATTTAAGTTTTAATTCATACAGTTTTCATGAAGTTCAAAAGAATGCCATCATTTCAAGTTTTTTTCAGTGGTGCTTATAGGGAGCCTAGAATTATTTTATAAGAGACCATGGAAATCATCTAGTCAGACTTTTCTCTTTCTGGATAAGGAAACTGATGCCGAGAGAGGTTAAAAGACTTCTCCGGTCACAAGGAAAATTAGTGCTGATAAGAGTCAGGGCTGGTCGCGGTGGCTCATGCCTGTAATCCCAGCACTTTGGGAGGCTGAGGCTGCGGATCACCTGAGGTCAGGAGTTCAAGACCAGCCTGGTCAACATGGTGAAACCCCGTCTCTATTAAAAACACAAAAAAATTAGCCGGGCGTGGTGGTGGGTGCCTGTAATCCCAGCTATTCTGGAGGCTGAGGCAGGAGAATTGCTTGAACCCGGGAGGTAGAGGCTGCAGTGAGCGGAGATAGCGCTGCTGCACTCCAGCCTGGGCAAGAGTGAAATTCCGTCTCAAAGAAAAAAAAAAAAAAAAAAGTCAGAACCCTGGTTTATTACTTTCAATTAAGTATGTATTTTCCTATTGTTCACAGGAGAGTACCCCAGCCCTGAAATATCTCTAGATAGTGAGGATGATTTCCGAAGGAGTGCCTTCCCCATCACAACTCTCAAACCGCTGAACCTTATAGAAAGGAGATTTGCTTTTCTGGATAATTATCAACACCTTTAGGCTGCAGTAGAAGTGATGATTCTGTTTGCTTTTTGAAAAAAAAAAAAAAAGGAAGCAGAGTTGAATTGATGCTGTTCCCAGTGTCTGTAAACTTTGAGAAGTATGAATTCATTGTTTTAGTTAGAAAAAAATCTACTTATATAGGTAGACCTCATTAAACAAAACCAATGCAAGGACCGCTCCTCAGTGGAGCAGATTGCTTTTTGAGGTAGAGAACATTCAAGCAGCTGCTAGATTGATTTTTGTACTGGGTTAGTTGGCATTTTCACTAGGAGTGAAAACTGTGAGACTAAACAGTTTAATTTACTTAGAATGTCCCTCTTTCTCTCTGTGTGTGTGTGTGTGTGTGTGTGTGTGTGTGCCCGTGCGTCGGGGGGGGGGGCAGTGGTGATTCTCAACTTTCTAGGAATTTATTAAGTAAAGTGTTTAGAAATGGAAGGAAACAATTAGATAATTCTCAGTGCTCCAGGATTTTAGGCTCCTACATTTGAAAATACTTGCTGTCATTAATTGTCTTGAGATTTAGGCTTTTCCACTTTTCAGGAAATCTAGTAGTTTTTTGGGGGTTTTGTTTTGTTTTCCTTGGTTCTGCCCTATGCCAACCTGCTAGTTTCCCTTTTTATTTTAGCCTGATGAATCTTCCCTTTTGCTTTCAGTACTAACCATTGCTGGTAGTTCTTAACAGGTCTAGCTTTTACCAATATTGTCAAGTTAGCAATATTAGCTCCTGGGGCCCTAGTACTCTGTACTTCCACCCCTCTCCCCACCAGTACCATGCTGCCTGTTCACATGATGGACACCAGCTCTGATATTCACCCTAAGATATAATCCATAAGATGACAAACTTGTATTCAACACCGACTCCTACTCTGGCTAAAATGCTGAAGAGAATACTAAGAAATAGGGGATATGGTCCTGGTCATCAAGTTGCTTAGTCTGATTAGGAAAAAAAAAAAAAAAAAAAAAAAAGAGATACAAGGAAGCTTAAGTAAAAATATAAGGGGTTGGGCGTGGTAACTCATGCCTGTAATCCCAGCACTTTGAGAGGCCGAGGCAGGCAGATCACGAGGTCAGGAGTTTGAGACCAGCCTGGCCAATATGGTGAAACCCCATCTCTACTAAAAATACAAAAAATTAGCCAGGCGTGGTGGCGTATGCCTGTAGTCCCAGCTACTCAAGAGGCTGAGGCAGGAGAATCGCTTGAACCCGGGAGGCGGAGGTTGCAGTGAGCCGAGATCGTGCCACTGCACTCCAGCGTGGGTGACAGAGCGAGACAACGTCAAAGAAAGAAAGAAAAGAAAGAAAATATAAAGAGCTGACAGCCTACATGCTTTTCTGTAGAAATCTAATATTTTGAAGCAAAAGATAAGCTCTGAGTAGCATTTCAGGTAATAACCGCCCCCCTCCCCAACACACACATAAGCACACACAATTATTTAAGAGTATTATGTGTATTTAGAGGTGGAGAAATTTGTTCCTAGTGTCCCCGGAACCACACAGAGTAGGTGCTGACCACCAGCTTAAAGACTGGCTCAGAAGGAAGGTCAAATGGGAGAAGGCAGTCTTTGAGGGCTAACGAGAGGAAAGAAAACACACAAGGCTCCCTATGGTGTATCCCTTATCATGTACTTCGACACCATACACAGGAAGGCCCCTGAAATGGAATGTTTGCTGTTCTTTATACACTTGCTTTGGGTGGGGACATGGAAAGGGAGCTGGTGGGGCTCCACAGACAACAGGGGTAGTAATTTCTGTTCCCCTGAGAATATCAGTGGAGACAGCTATGACTCCAGGAAGGCCAAGAAGGGAGAGGGAGCTTCTTAACCAGGCTTTGTGAATGGGTTTCAGAGGCTGGCGTGTAAATCTCTGAAAATGTGTGCAAGACATTATGTATAGAAGCAACTTGTTCTAAAGGAAGTCTGTTCAGCTCTCCATAGCCTTTCAAAGGTTCTAGGATATGGAAAAGGCAAGCCCTTGCTCTTGGATGTCTGATTTGGTGACTGTCTTATGTTTCAGAGTCTTCCTGTTCAGATCCCAGACAGTTCTTGTGTTTTACTGCCATTGCCTCTCCCTGTGGTGAAGAATGGGGAGGAGGAAGGTGTGTGTATTTAGTAAAGGTTCTGAGGTGCCGCTTAATCTTCCCTGTCCCTGGCTGGCGTGTCCGTCCACCTACATGTCTGCCCTCAGTCTTGGAAGGACGGGAAGCCAAGTGCCCTGCACAGGGTAAATACTGGTATGATTCATTTTATTAATGCTTCTGAAAAATGACTGTGAAAACAAATTTATCCTCAAATGTTCCATCATCCTCAAACAGTTATTTGGATGACCTTCATGTTCTAGGAATGTATGTGGTCTTAATAGAAATTATATTTTGCATCAGGACAACACAAAAAACTGACAGTCTTATTTGTGCCAGTGCCGTCCTCAGAACTTTACATGGATTAACTTTTTAATCCTGTGAGATAAGCCCTGTTATTATCCCCACTTCATTGATGGGAAAGCTGAAGTCTAGAAGGGCTAACTGCCCAAGGTCGTATAGGTAGCATGGGCAGAGCTGCATTCAACCTGAGTAAAGGAGGTCCCCAGAGTCTATACTCTCAATGGGTGTTCCATACGCCCTTCCCTTACTGAAGATATCTATAAAGTATTTAATACTGCTTCTGACTCACAATAAGTGCTCTATAAATGACAACTGCCTTTGTTGTTTTCCTTGTAATTATAATTACTTTTCTTTTTTGTGATTTATCACTTGCATCAAACCTCACAAGCAGATAGGGATTGAAGATCTGAAAGGCCAACATGGAACTCCTTGAATTTCTTATTTTTCATGGGTTTTCCTAGACCCTGACAAGAGGTGGTTCTCTCCTGCCCCAAGAAATTCAAAGCTTTCCACATCCCACCCTTCGCTGGTGGCAAGACTTCAATAATTACTTCAGCCTTCGGACTCCATTGTGCAGGAGAACCTGTTAGAAGCTCTTCCTCTGTGGCTTCTGAAGAACCATCAAGATGCACAGGACTTCCTGTGGCTCTTTTGATCTTTTGAAATTGCAAGCACAGGAAGGAAAGAATGGATAGGGGGATAAAGAATAGCTATGATTGTTGTGATAATAGCATGTTGCATTTCTATAGAGCCCTTTCGCTGATGAGCCCTGAGCCTTAACAGCCATCACACTGTTGGCCCCTGCACTGTGAACCTAGAGGGTACCTTGAGTTTTTCTAGTGCTGCCAAACAGAATTGCATTGACACATACCTTAATCAAGAGAGAAGCAAGCCGTGTTGGCAACTGTGCATCACAGTCGATGTGGTGGTCATCCATGGGATGCCCCTAATAGCATCTGTAATTTTCAAGTAGATGTTGGGTGTAATTTGGTGACCCTTGTCTGTTCCCACTGTTGGAAGCCCCATAACTGATCTGATGAAAGCATAAAGTGAAGAAGAGTGGCGAGACCCTTTGTGAGATACCTGGAGCTGAAGAGTCAGGTGTGGAATGGACAAGAATGTTATCCACTTCTAAGTGACCTTGTTTTTTCTAATTTCTTAAGAAATACCTGTTTGCTTGACTGCCTTAGGCTGTTTGCAGGGGCCACTTGTACGTCAGCAAAACTCTTACTAGATGACATCACTGCCAGAAGTTCCACATGTTTCCAGGAGGCACATTTCCCACTGCCCCCACTCCCCCGAACTTGGAAAGATTCCTCAGTTTTAAAGTTATAAGTAATTTCCATGCCAGATAATGATCCTGTGAACAGATCCTTTTCTCATGTGGAAAAATATTTCAGAAAGGGTGTCTTGTCAATGAGAAAAATGACCCCATTGAAACATATGTTTATTTGCCATGTACTCATCTGACGTTTTGTGAATTCTATAAAGCCATGGAAGTGGATTGTTAGAAGTGTCTCATACACCCCTAGTGACTTCTTGAACTATCCCCCCATCCCCAGCCATGGAACTCTCCTATTAAAAAAACTAAGAGATAAGTGGTAGCAATCTTAACAAATTAGTGATTTTATCTGGTTAGGCCGTGTAATCAAACACGTGGGCAGGAAAGTGGATCCATTATGTTGTACTCATGATTGTGGTGCTGAAGGTAACCCCCATTGCCCTGTAGGCTGCCCCCAGAAGCAGGGGGTACAGCCAATAGTATTCTTAGAAGTTAATCAATTCTGTAACGGGTTGAGTGTTTTGGTCTCATTTTTAGTCCGAGGTGCCCTGATGCTGGCCTGTGACTAAGGGGAGTCAGTGGCTTGTTATGAATAAGAGGACACATGAGCTGAATCTGAGAAAGTTCAGAAGCATTTTATAAGTTGTTTAAAATACATCCATTAAAGTATATGATTATTTTTTGGTAATCATTTAAATCATTGTGCTGTGTGTCTACCCAGACAGTATTTATCTGTCTCTCGATGTTGTATTAGTATAGTATTAAAAAAATACACACATTTCACTTTTGATAAAAACTTTGCATACTGTCACTACTTTGTATAAGTTTTTTCCTGACTGCCTCTGGTTAGGGGGCAGGGAGCAAGAAGACCAGCATGCTTTCCTTCCTTTATATTTGGGAAATGGAGGTGCTGAGAGAAACAAGCCACA
Organism: Homo sapiens; assembly: GCF_000001405.40. Taxonomy (NCBI): domain Eukaryota; kingdom Metazoa; phylum Chordata; class Mammalia; order Primates; family Hominidae; genus Homo; species Homo sapiens. The sequence continues at coordinate 46,306,381 of NC_000002.12, forward strand.
CTGTCTGAAGTAAAACCTAGAAGTGGACCTGGTTGTCCATGGTGAGGGAAAGCCCATATGTACCACCTTGGGCTCCAGTTACAAGGTAATGAGCCATGAGCACAAAAGGGTGACTCAAAATTCAATGCCAGCCATTCTCATTACTAATGAGCAATTACAGCAAATATTTACAGGCCTCCTTCCTACCTTTATGACTTCCTGTTACTGAAGCACTTTGGAGTATTGAGAAAGATTGTCCTGGAAAAATACGTCACACACAGTTGCAGGAAAGAGTGCCTTTAAGCACACATAAAAACTCGGTTACTTGGCTTTGTTTATGAATTCCACATAGAAACAACAGAAAATTGTGCCTTTTGAGGAACTGCTTGAGAATCCTTCCTTCTGCATTTCAAGACAAGATTTTAAAAATCACATATATCAAATATATGGGGAAATGAGACACAATGTTTTTAGAGAGTGTCTAGAAATAATAGGACTGTGCAAGTTAGTACAGCAAAATTTTGGGTCAAAGCATGGGTCATTTGACAAACTCTCTTTATGAACATTACCTCTGCAATATTTTTCTAAATGAAAACAATCACACTTAATAGAATTAATCAGGATGGGAGCTAGAAGCATATAATTCACTTTCCACAGATTGGAGTAAATCCTCATAATGCCCCTTTCCTGTGTATTTAGTTAAAAAAGCACTCCAGTGAGATTGCTTTCGCAGTAAGTTTCTGTAAACCACTGTACCCTTGTATTTCTCTCCTGTGTTTCCAAGAGTTCTCAGATGCTATTTTCGAATGGCAGCGTTCACTCCAGAGCTGGCTGAGGTCAACGAAGCTAATTTTGGTGCCTTGGTGCCCAGGGTGAAGGGAGAGAGAAGTCCTCTGCAGAGCCAAAAGGACTCTCTGGGGCCTGGGTTTGGAGCAGTGTGGTGTTGCTGGACACACCACATTTCACCTTTAGAACCTTTATTTGTGTGCTTGCACAACAAATGTTTACCCAGATATTAAGATAAGGAAAGTATGAAGGTCACATTTCACTGGTGACAAGAGAGCTTCTATAAATGTAACCATATCGTTGTGCAGCGGGAGTCTGTCTTTTATTCTGTACCCGGGACTTAGGGGGAATTATTGGTGGGTGGGGCATGGGAGTTGAGGCTCTTCTTGGTTTTCTGGCTTTCTTGCTATCACTCTGTTTGTCTTGCCTCAGCTGATGTGCGCCTCCCATTTGGTAAGGGCCTTTGTCATGGCCAAGACATCTAAAGAAATCCTAGTCTGTGTGGCTGGGCACTGTGTGGTCCCCTGACTCTCTGGAGTCTTCCAGAGTTCCATGGAAATTAGTGCCCCCGTGCATTTCCCTGCCGACTGACTGGAAGGCACCCTGGCTGCTGAGATCGCTTTCCTGGTCCCCCAGAAGAGGTCCACATGGTGCTGATCCTGCAGCTGTTTTAGGCCTCCTCAGCGGGATTGTCCTATCCTCGGAGCACAGAGAATCTTCAGAGTGGGATAGGGGTTTCTTTTGTGGATTTGGGTTTCTCTTAGGGATCTCCAAAGATTAGCTAGACACTCAGGGCCTCAGTAAAGACATGGGTCCTTGGTCTAGTTTTCTTCCCAAGGGCAGCCACCATGGCAGTGGGAGTTCACCTTGCTGACTGCAAGGGACCCCACCTCACCTCTATCGCCCATTCACCATCATTCACTGTGCCTCCTGAGTTCCTAATACACAAGCCTCCTCCCACAGCCTCAAAGGCAGTGCTGCAGTACTCATTCCCACTTCTATTCCCTCACACTAGCTCCTCCATCTGGATGCTTTTCCCCTCTCTTCCTATTCAAATAGCTCCTACTTTTCTATTGTGAGCCCAGGCTTCCCGAAATCTTACACAAAATCACTAAGGGAGCGTAGAAATTTCCACAGTGGCACTCCCACTCCCTGCATTACTAGCTTTTGGTTGTTTGCCAAAGAGCCTGCTTATATTTCCTTGTTATCTAATGACACTTTATTTGTTTTTGCCTTTCTAACAATATAGCATGTTCCTGAAGGCCAAGGATGTCTGATTTTCTGATGTGCCCTAATACCTTGCTTGCTTTTTTTTGGGGGGGGGGGCTCTGAAATCATGCTTAGTTTTTTAAAAAAAATAATAGAATTGCTTTGTTCATGTCCCTTGGGTTACTTGGAAAGCCTGCCTCACAAGCTCTGCTTTCTTTATTCATGTAGATTTGACCCCTTTACTTATTTCCCTTTAAAAAGAAAGAAAAAGGAAAAGAAAAAATTTGGGGGACCACAGTCAGGTCTTATTGATACATAACTTTATATCAGATGCAAACGTCAGGCTAGTATTATATCAGTGCTTCACTTCAAGAATGCCTTATACACTAATGTGAGTACAGCCAAACAGAATACTCCAGCTTAATCTCAACGTTAAAAGCAAGATGGGGAAGTTGTGCAAGAGGGCACTAGCTCTCAGTTCAGAGATCATCTTCCCTGGGAAGCCTTCCCTGATTAACTGCACATTGGTTACCCCTGTGTTTATAGATGGTCTTCAGTCTGTATTTTGTTATTTGTATGATGCTTTTACAACTTGCTTTTGAAGGTTGGGGGTGGCGTATGTCCCTGATCACCACTCAAGTGGTAAGCCCTTCAAGAGCAAAGACCCAGTCATTTTTTCCTGTTCTTTTTTCCCCACAGAAGTCAGAATAGAGGTCTCTTGAGGTGCTCAGTAATTATTTGTAGACTGAGTAATTCTGTCTATGTCAGGAACTTTGGGAGTTTGGTGTAGAGAACTGGAAGCACAGGTAGACACTTTGCTCACATCAACCTAACTTATCCTCATTGCTTATCCACCATGCGTAGAGCAGGGTTTGTGGGAATCATCACTGTGTGTAGATGTTTATAGGTTCCCTCCCAAATTCAGGTGCTATGCTGTACGGTGAGGTTACAAAGAGGCATTAGATGGACCCTGCACTCAGGATGTCCTAAAATGATTTGTTTAAGCAATATAAGATGATTTATGTTAATGGATGTCCAAGCTGCCTTTACAATGTTGCCATCTTGTTAGGAAGTCACAACCAACTCAGATAAAACATTGAGCAAACAATGGAAGATTGATAGTAATTAAGTGAGAGTGAGTAAGGGTAAATAGATCTTGTGTGTTGGGAATAGTTAGGGAAGTGATTAGTGGAGATTAGAGGGAGGTTTATTGGAGGAGCATGAAGACCTAGGTCTGTCTTGAAGATTAGGTAGAATTTGGATAGGCAGATGAGTATGGGGCATTCCATTTGAGGTGAATTGCGTAAGTAAAATGAGAAGGCAGCAATAAACAGAGTGTGCAGGCCAGGACTGGTGAGCCAGTTCCTTCCAGGGCTGGATCTGGAGCTCTGTTAGCAGAAAGGAGATGAGGACCAGGCCTGGGCTGGTGTTGGGAAGTTTAGGGGCAGGCCTTCCTGAGTCATGTTGTGATGGAATCTTTGGGTTGCCTTGGGGCCATGGGAGCAGTGCATGCCTCTTCTGGCACATGAGAAGCTGCTCAGGGCATCTCCATCATTAGCCCTCCAACCAGAAGCCTAGCTCTAGTGTGAGCATCAAGTGGGTGGTTGGAGGAGGCCATGATTTGTCTTCTATAATATTGACCTCAAAGCCTCCCCTGCTAGCCCTTAGTAAATCAGGCATGTGTGAATGTGCCCAAATCACTCTGATATATGTTTCTTTTTGGCCTGTACCACTTCTCAGGGTAATAAACGCCATGTCTGAGTCTCCTAGTGCATGGAGTGGGAGCTGGAAGAGGACAGCTTGCTGTATCCTAAAATAGCAGTGACCCTCATCCCCATGTTCTCTTTCTGATGGTAAAGACTTTGTCCCCCTCATTATTTGATAAGGTTCTCTTTCTGATGGTAAAGCCTTTGTCCCCCTCATTATTTGATAAGGCTCTCATTCTGTCCCTTTCTCATTCTGGATTCTAGGTTTTTGAGTCTAACCATTATGGAAAGAGAACAGTCCCTTCAATATCCCACTATCTGTAGGGCATGACACAGCCAAATCCAAGTCAGACCATCCCTTTGATCAATTTCTACCAATAACTGTTCATTGCACACCCTGTACAAAGCACTGCGACCAAGCTGTTCCTTGACCTTCTCCTTTCCTAGTGTTTGGTCACAACACTCCCTAAAGCCCTAACTCAAGTTCTTGGGATGATACCACCAGAAGAGGGAAAAAAGGAGCCGTCTTCCTGAAGTCACCTGGGTAGAGCAGCTGGGGATTTTTCCCTCCTCGAGCAGGTGTAACCTTTCCCCTGGAGGAATTTAGAAACACTTAAAGTCATACCTGAACACTGTGGGCCAGGCCTTGGCCAGAGATCCCAAGTCACTGGAGAAGATTCCATTCCAGGGACCAGTAGAGGCCAGCGGGTCTCATCCAAGTCACTTTAGCTCATTCTGTCCACCGGTACTTTGAGGGAGGCTATATAACTCCTGAGTACTTTTGGCTTAGAATTTAACCTCACAATGACAACTGCGTGTTTGGCCTTTTTTTTTGAGACGGAGTCTCGCTCTGTTGCCCAGGCTGGAGTGCAGTGGCACGATCTTGGCTCACTGCAAGCTCTGCCTCCCAGGTTCACGCCATTCTCCTGCCTCAGCCTCCCCAGTAGTTGGGACTACAGGTGCCTGCCACGATGCCCAGCTAATTTTTTTTGTATTTTTAGTAGAGACGGGGTTTCACCGTGTTAACCAGGATGGTCTCGATCTCCTGACCTGTGATCCACCCGCCTCGGCCTCCCAAAGTGCTGAGATTACAGGCGTGAGCCACTGCACCCAGCATATTTGGCCTCTTATTCCTTTTCTGTCCCTCTAGTAATCAATAAATGCTTGTAAAACTGGGAAACTGCTGCCTGGCCCAGGCAGGATTGGTTGGTTCAATGACTCGCTCCACAGTCATTCTCTGCTCATTGCCTACTCTGTGCAGGCTGCTGAGCCTCAGGCCCGAGAGCAGGGAAGGGCCCTCTACAGTTAGGTGGAAAGGAGCCTGGACTGTCAGAACCAGGAAAAGACTGCAGGTGCCAGAGAGCTTTGGAGCACAGCGCAGCCCAAACTAAGGGACTAGTTTCAAGAATCTCCTAAGAACTCCCCTAGGCTAGAAAGTGTTGTTTACCCAAATCTTGCCATGGCTAGAAATTTGAGTCTAGCATCTACCTTCTCACAGCTCCAGGTGGACCTCCAGAAGGAAAAGGAAGATGTCCTACCAAGCTAACCTGTGACTAGATATCTGTTAGGGTGTGAAACCTGTGAACATATCCACGTCTTTTCCTTTGTGTTCATTTCCTTTTCTCTTCCTTTTTAAAGTAAAACATCCTTTTGAAAAGTTCCAACTTTGCCTTTGCTGAACTCCTAGCAAGTACTTTTCCCCACCTTGGCTAGTGAGATGTTGAGACATGGGCACACCTGAGGGTGGTGTGGTCACTGTGGCCGCCAGCCAGCCCAAGGCCTTGGGAAAGCCTGGTGAGCAGAAAACCCAGGCAGAAAGGAGTCTGGGTGACTGTGAGCATTGATCCCTTTGTTCCTGAGTCATCTCTTTTGAGCACATTTGAAACCATTTTCCATACCCAAATCAACATAATCTTGGTGATTCCAGGCCACCTGTATCTCCTTGTATGGCTCCAAATATTACCAGGGCAATGACGACAACTTAATTCTTCTTGAGTTAGATCTTCAGGGCCAAGGCACAGTACATGTTTATTTTGGAGAGAGACAAACTTTCACCCACTTGAATTTCTTTGCCTCCAAAATTAGCGTTGGGATGACCACAGGGTTCTGTGTTTCTTGGCTTTTATCTTGCCAAACGGATTGTAAATGCTCCCGAGTCACCTTCTCTTTTTTTGTGTCCCTGGCAAAGCCTACCTCCACATGGGGTTCAGAGGAGCTCTCAAGTCTCTAGGAGTTTGAAAGACTTTTCTAGATCTTTCTCTGATGTGTGTGACCTAGGACAGGTAATTTAACCTTTCTTTCTTTAACCCCTTTCCTAAGTGGGGTTAGACATATTTGCTGCTTTCTCAGAGTACTATTATGAGTTTGAAATGAGCTAGAGTTTCATAAAACCATGCATTTTTAAAGTCTATTATATTTTAAAAATCACTTTTGCAACTATTATCTCAATAGAACTTTGAAAAGTTTAAAGGGCAGACCTTCAAGGCATCATTATTAACAAGCACAGCAATATAATCATTAGGCACATTATTGCCTGTTGATGTGATTTGGCTGCAGTTGGAAGGCAGCCTTAGGAAAAGCTAGGGGACTCTTGCTCTCAGGCCTTTAAATTTCTTACCTGGCTGGGATTTTCAGAATTATTAGTTTTTACTAATAATGATTTTTGGGTATCAGTTCTATTTTTGCCCATACCCTGAGATGTGAGGAAATCTGATTATACCCAAGAGACCAAGGACACTTCCAGGATTCTAGATAAAGGGTCTGACCAGTTATGCTCCTTTCTACATCTGGCCTGTTTTTCCCTCCCCTGTGGAGATGGAGGTGGTTTGTGCAAGATGTGATTCTGTCGAGAATGGGAATATCCCTTCAACTCAGCACACCCAAATCTCTAAACCTAAAGAGCTACATCTGTACCATGTCTGCTCAGGTCCTACTTGTTGCTTTGCATCTTATGAGCAAGACCTAATTGTGGGCTCCCAAAGAAAGCAGATGACTTGCCCAAGGTCTTTAAGAGGTCAGACAGCTACTAGCAGAGAAACAGAGCGAATGTTGACACCTAAAAGATACCTTGTCCTTCCGGTGTTACTAGAAGTGGGAAAAAGGCTTTGAGTGCAAACGCCTGGCTGTGCTACATACTGACCATGAGATGTGACAGGCCACTCAGCTCTGGCCTCTGATCCTTCATCTGTAACATCTTTGATGCCCCTAATGCCTAAGCTTGCTCATCCCTCAGCCCCACCCATGAGGCTGGCCAGTTAACTTCTGCCTTCAGGTCTCAGCTTAAATATCACCTCCCTAGGGAAGCATTTTCTCACCTCCTTTAGTTAACCTCCCTCCTGTTCTGTTTTGTTTTGTTTTAGCAGTACTTCCCACATGTTGTTATTTATTTATTTATTTATTTATTTATTTTTGAGACAGTGTCTCACTCTGTCGCCAGGCTGCAGTGCAATGGCGGGATCTCAGCTCACTGCAACCTCTACCTCCCAGGTTCAAGCGATTCTCCCACCTCGGCTTCCTGAGTAGCGGGGATTACAGGCACGCACCACCATGCCAGGCTAATATTTGTATTTTTAGTAGAGATGGGGTTTCACCATGTTGGCCAGGCTGGTCTCAAACTCTGACCTCAGGTGATCTGCCCGCCTTGGCCTCCCAAAGTGCTGGGATTACAGGCATGAGCCACGGTGACCAGCCCCACATGTCATAATTTATTTGCTTATCATCTGTCACCTTTGCTGCCCCCTAGTATGTAAGCTTCATGAAGGCAGGGACCATGCATTACATGGTTACTGCCATATCCTCAGGGTTTGGGGCAGTGCCTACACACAGGAGGTGCTCCTTAAATGTTTGTTAAGTGAAATAATCTGAGGTTGTCAGGTCTTTGTCTTCAACGTTATTATTTCTTATATTTGTTCAGTGCTTAATTTTTTTTCAAAGCTCTTGATGTAGATTGAAGCTTTTGTCATTTTTGTCATATAGATGAAACAACTGAGGCACAAAAATGTGATCACAAAACCAGAGAGTGGCAGTGCCTACCTGAACAGCTCCCAGACCCAGACTCTTTCCACAGACCCATGCTGTCTCTCTTGGCACCTTATTTTTCTGTCGTGGTGATGTTATTGTTTGTCTTATTTGGCAATGTTTACACCGGAGGAGTAGAGGCCATTGTGTGTTGGTGGCGTCTGGAAATACACAAGAGAGTCCCAGGAGAATGCCACTGTCGGTTCTTACCACAATTAGCAATTGTCAGGTCAGGGGCAGTGATTGGGTCGGTGTCACTCTCTACATGGCTGGCTCTGCGTGTTGAAACACCACTGCCTGTACCTCCACAGATGCCAAAGGGAGTGTGGGTCCTAGGACTACAGCCCCATTTCTACCCAGCCCTGGCTATCTCTCCACTCAGATCTAGGTCCTTTCTGTTCAGGAAAACGTCCTGTTTGTGTAGCCTGCTAGACAGCAAAGGCAAGTGCCAATCAGCTGGATGATCTCTCTGGGCCTCAGTTTCCCCATCTTCACAATGGACTAGTAAGTGGGAACCAGTCAAAATTGGCTCAGAGATCCCCAATAGGGTTCTAGCTCCATTGTGAAATAAATTTCAAGTGGAGCCTCGTCCTGACTCCTGTTTTCACATGCTCCCTTAGAGGGAAGGAAGGTGGACGATTAAAGATGATTGGTCGGGAGCTGGAGGAAGGAACTCCCCATTCTCCAAGAGGAGGTTCTGTTGGAATAGAGGGGCAGAGACTTGGAAGTCGCTGTTGGGCATGGCCCAACCCACTTCCATGACAGCAGCAAGACCACCACCCTCAAGAAGGAGGTGGGCTGGGGTACGAGAAGGTGGGCTGCCCAGTGGTTTCTACAAAAAGGGATAGTTGTGCTTGCAGGAGGGGTAGTGTCTCCATCTCCTGATGCCAGGGAGAAGGAGGCAGGCTGCTGGGGTGACGGAGAGCACCCTCAACTAGGTCACACTGCACTCCCTCTGTGCCTCAGTTTCCACTTCTGTTAGATGGCTGATATGATCTCTGCCCTGCCAGTTGGATTGGGGCTTCCAAAATATCAACTACTGCAAAAGAAGAGGTTGTGGCCACTGTGACTCATATACATGTACATGAACGTATCTGAAGTTTTCAGGGCTGATACTGATGTGAGGCAACCCATGCAGGCAACCCGGAGGAACTGTGTCCCTCACTCTGAGACAGTGAGAACGGACTGAGCCGGAAAGCTGATGGCCGTGAGAGGAGCAGGTTTGAAAATCACTGAATGAAGTCATGTTGTACAGAGGGGGCGGGGGTGCATACTGTGGGACGGAGGTGAGTCACAGTGCATAAGTGTTGGGGAGTCACCTTGAACTTGGGCCAGAAGAGTAGAAATATTGAGACTTGGGTTTATCTGCCTCACATCAGGTACATCAAGTTCTGGATGGCTGCCCACTGGCCAGAGACATGAGGTGGACGGCTCCCTTTTGCTGCCCTGGGAAGGCCTTCTGCTGGCTTCGGCCCCACTGAGCAAAGTCTGCTTGTTCACTGGAGTTCACACAGACTCCTTGCCAGGCCTGCCCAGAATCCTGTCTCCTCTGACTTCCTGTGCTCTTGCATAATATTTCCTTGCTCCCTGAATGGCTGGCCCCAGTGCAGGAGCAGCTCACTCACACTGCTGGACCGAGGGCAGGATGTAGAGGGAGGGCAGGGATCTGCAAACGTCACCCAGGGGTGCTCTGGGCTCTGAGGGTGGAGGGCAAGAGGGGCAGAGCCCCCTCAAATTCTTTGGAAGATTATAGCACAAGGGGAGTTGGGAAGGCCCTGGGACCATGTGCACACACATCTATCTCCATGAATTGTCTCTCCTGTAAAATTATTTTTAAAGTTGCTAAGTTGTTTTCTTCTGATTATAAAAAATATACATGTTCCCCATAAAAAGTCATAGTAAAAGAAGGCATGGAGATAAAAATAAAAATCACCAAAATTCCATCACCCAGAGATAACCACTGTTAACTCTTTGGTGAACATACTTTTCTCTATATCATGAATATTGATATATAATTACAGAATACGGGCATACTTCTAAGATATTGTAGGTTCGTTCCAGGCCACTACAGTAAAGTGAATATCACAATAAAACGAGTCACATGATTTTTTTTTGTTTCCTCGTGCATATGAAAGTTATGTTTATATTTTAGCATTATGTCTAAAAAACAATGTACATACCCTTTTTTTTTTTCTTTTTGAGACACAGTTTCACTCCGTTGCACAGACTGGAGTGCAATGGGGCAATCTTAGCTCACTGCAACTTCCGCCTCCTGGGTTCAAGCAATTCTGGTGCCTCAGCACCCCCGAGTAGCTGGGATTTACAGACATGTGCTGCCACACCCAGCTAATTTTTGTGTTTTTAGTAGAGATGGGGTTTTGCCATGTTGGCCAGGCTGGTCTCGAACTACTGGCCTCAAATGATCTGCCTGCCTCAGCCTCCCAAAGTGTTGGGATTACAGGCATGAGCCACCGCACCTGGCCAACAATGTCTATACCTTAATTTAAAAATATTTTATTGCTAAAAGAAATGCTAACAATCATCTGAGCCTTCAGTGAGTCATAATCTTCTTACTGGGAGAGGTTCTTGCCTCCATATCGGTGGCTGCAGAACTGATTAGTGTGACGGTTGCTGAAGGTTGGGGTGGCTGTGGCAATTCCTTGAAATCAGACAAGAATGAAGTTTTTTACATCAATAGAGTCTTCTTTTCAGGAAAGACTCTGCAGCATGTGATACTGTCTGATAGCATTTTACCCACAGTAAAACTTCCTTCATAATTGGTGTCAATCCTCTCAAACCCTGCCACTGCTTTATCAACTTAGTTGATGTAATATTCTAAATCCTTTGTTGTCATTTCCACAGTGTTCACACCATCTTTACCAGGAGCAAATTCCATCTTGAGAAGCCACTTTTCTTTTCTCATCTGTAAGAAGCTCTGACTCATCTGTTCAAGTTTTATCATGAGGTTGCAACAGTTCAGTCACATCTTCAGGCTCCACTTCTAGTTTTCTTGCTATTTCTTCCACATCTGCAGTTACTTCCTCCACTAAAGTCTTGAACCCCTCAAAGTCATCCGTGAGGTTTGGAATTAACTTCTTCCAGACTCCTGTTACTGCTGATATTTTGACATCCTCCCACAAATTACAAATGCTGTTAATGGTATCTAGAATGGTGAACTCTTTTCAGGTGGTTTTCAATTTACTTTGCCCAGATTCATCTAGGAATCACTATCTATGGCAGCTATAGCCTTACAAAATTTCTTGAATAAGACTTGGAAGTCAGAATTACTCCTTGATCCATGGGCTTCAGAATGGATCTTGTGTTAGCAGGCATGAAAACAACATTAATTTTGTGCGTCTCCATCAGGGCTCTTGAGTAACTAGGTGCATTGACAACGAGCACATAAACATATGTGCTGTCATCCAGGTTTTGTTGTTCCACTGATAGAGCACCAATAAAGTAGATTTGGCATAATTTTTAAGAACCCTAGGACTTACAGAATGGTAAATGATAAGTGGCTTCAGCTTAAACTCACCAGCTGCATTAGTCCCTAGTAAGAGAGTCAGCCTGTCCTTTGAAACTAGGGATTGACTTCTCCCCTCTTGCAGTGAAAGTCCTAGATGGCATGTTCATCCAGCATAAGGCTCTTTCATCTACACTGAAAATCTGTTTAGTGTAGCCACCTTCATCAATGATCTTAGCTAGATCTTCTAAATAACTGGCTGCCGCTTATGTATCAGCACTTGCTCTTTCACCTTGCATTTTTATGTTATGGAGATGTCTTCTTTCCTTAAATGTGACGAACCAACCTCTGCTAGCTTCATACTTTTCTTAATGCAGCTTCCTTACCTTGCTCTGCCTTCCTAGAATTGAAGAGAGTTAGGGCCTTGCTCTGGATTAGACTTTGGCTTAAGGGAATATTATGCCTGGTTTGATCTTCTCACTAAGCTTAATCATTCCTTAACTTTTGATTTAAAGTGAGAGATGTGACTCTTCCTTTCATTCGAACACATAGAGCCCATTGTAGAGTTATTAAAATTGGTCTAATTTCAATATTGTTGTGTCTCAGGGAATAGGAAGGATTGGGGAGGGGGAGAGAGAGATACACACACACACACACAAACACACACACGCACACAGAGGAACAATCACTGGACCAGTCAGAACACACACAACATTTATTAAGATCACTGTCTTATATGGGTGCAGTTTATGCCTAAAAACAATTACGGTGGTAACATCAAAGATCACTGATCGCAGATCATTATAATAATAGCTATAATAATGAAAGTTTGAAATATTGCAAGAATGACCAAAATGTGGCACAGATATGAAGTGAGCACATACTATTGGAAAAATGGCATGGATAAACTTGCCTGACAAACCTTCAATTTGTAAAAAGTGCAATATCTGCAAAGTGCAATAAAGTAAGGCATAATAAAACAAGGCATGCCTGTGTTTCTTAACCATTTAACACGTGTAAAACTGTGCTACCATTTTTATTAAGTTCCCATATTGTTTTTGTGTTGCTGAGAAAGTTTTTGAGTGTTGTACCCTAACCTCTTCTTTCCCGTAAGCTCTGTGGTTTTTAGTTTTGCATAGTGTGGTGATTTTTAGGAGCTCATATGCCATGTTGTAGCAGAACTACTTGTAAATTCACATGACGTGTCTTCCCTAAATTCAACATTAATTATTAGTTATTAATAGTATTAATTGTGAAGCACAATAAAATGAGGTATGCCTGCATTATCATGTTACATGCTATTGTGAAATGCATTTTCTATATAGCAATATATCAGAACTATCTCTTGCTACTAAGTTACAAAGATTTAATACATAGTTGTATTAAGTTCCACTTATAGAGGTATCATAGTGAAACCCTTATTCATTGACATGTCCAGGCTCAGAAAACAAGCTATAACCAGCCCAAGCTTATTTTCAGACCTGAAAAGCAGCATCTTTTCTATATTTCTGACCAATGTGTTATCTGAAAAGCGGCATCTTTTCTATATTTCTGACCAGTGTGTTAGCTATGGTGCCCCAGAAATAGCTGCAAAATAAAAGGTTAAGTGCCATGTAGGCCTTTCTCTAGGCTTAGAATAATTCACTTGATTACATAGGAAGAGGCTGCAATGATGACAGCTTCCAGGGCTGGGCCAGACCTTACCCTGGGTAAAATGATCCTCCAGTGTGGCCCATATGTATGCTTTGAGCCAGGAGCTGCTAGCTGGGAGAACAAGTTTTTCTTCAGTGGTATTCCTGTGACCAAGATTTCAAATAAGCTCCATTTTTAATTTTAATTGGTTATTGTCCTCCTGAAATTTTATGACACAATCTATATCTTTAAAAAGGCACTCTTTCTTCTTTATACAGTTGTTTTCATGATGTTAAAAACTTTAAAGAAAGTATCATTCAGATTTGCTGACAGTTGGAAGATTATTTTAAAAATCCAACTAGTTTAGCTGAAAAAGGTGCTATCAGTGTTTCTGTCTCATCCTTGGAAATTGTATATTTTTAAGGCTTGTGATTAGCTTTTTCTCCTCCATTGCTGATCGTGGTTGGAAGTGTGGCATAGATTTACAGTAAACTTTGATATAATGGTGATTCCTCTTTGTTTTGGAGCCAGGTGCCTGCGGTATTTGCTTATTTTCTTTGATTCATTTTTAAATTGAGTTGAATGTTTGATTTAATCAGAAGTGATAGTATGAGGCTGGGGATGATTGCTTGTGGTTGGGAATTGCTTGTAAAGTTTACTGTTTAGTCAAGACAAATCGTTTCCTAAAGCTCTCTTTTTCAGATTTCTTGTCTATGTGGGAAAGCATGATAATGCCAGTCAGTTTAAACATATTTAAGAGTTCCCAGGCATCTTCGAACAGAAAAATTTGCAACAAAATTTGGCAACGGCAGAATGCGAGGATTTTTGCCTCATTTTGTTTATAGTTGTCTGCTCTTCAGGCAAATGATCTATTACAACAATCTGAATAATTACAGTCTCTCCTTCAATTTATTCACCCTGGACTCCTTTTTCTAGAATTACTGGCCAGACTCTTATTACACCAAATTCCTTGACTCTATTCCCGAGGAATGAGGATGGGACTAGGAGTAAAAGTTAAAGAGAGAAACTAATTGTTGCCTGCTTTTCAAAGTTTTCGGTGTGTGGAAATTTGTTGATTTTGTAATTGCTCCCTTAGTTGGTCATTACCCGATTCTGGTAGGGTACTTGCCATGTGTACACATTTAGGGAGTGCAAAGGGACAGTAAGACTTAATTGGTCCTGGGAATTGTTGAACAGGACTTTGTTGAAATGGCTACTTCTGTACAATGCACATGGAGCAGCTGTTGGCATAGCAACTCCTACGTGGAAAAGTGCACGCCGCTTGCAGATGACTTTTGCAGTGCTCAGTGTTAATTTGATAAATGGCTTTTCTAATAGCAGTTTGTGGGCTAATGGAAAGATCGAAGCAAACCTTCATTAACGGAAAGGAGAATAGGGATTTTGAAGCCACTGGGTGAACACACTGGACAGCCAGAGCTAAATCTCCATTTTCAGCTGTGTCTCTTTTTCACAGCAGATATGCTTGGAGTGTGGCAGATGAAAGTAAATTAAGAAAACTGTCTGCCCGTGCCATTATCATCTTAGATTTTAAGCAGGGAGAGGTTTTGGAGTCCTTTCTATTCAAGATACTTAACTTTGTGTGAGAGTTTAGTTTAAGAGTACTGTAGAAGCTTTGCATTGTGTTGTCGTTTTCCTTTGCTGGTAGTGGTGGGGTTAAGGTGGTTAAATCGTTTTTTATTGTGGTAAAATATACATAACAAAAAATGTTTACCATTTTAACTATTTTTAAGCCTGCAATTCAATGGCATTAAGTACGTTCATATTGTTGGGCTACAAGCACCACTGCTCAAGAACTTTTTCATCATCTCAAATGGAAACTCTGTACTCATTAAATAATAACTCTTTATTCCCCACATGCTCCAATCCCCGATAATCACTATTCTACTTTCTCTATGAATATGACTATTCCAAGTAGATTGTATATATAGACATATAAAGTATTTGTCCTTTTATGTCTGGCTTATTTCACTTAGCATAATGTTTTCAAGGTTCATCCAAGTTACAACATGTATTCAAAGTTTTATTTCTTTTTAAGGCCGAATAATATCCTATTGTGTGTAGACACTATATTTTGTTTATCTGGTCTTCTGTCAAGGGACATTTGAGTTGTTTCCACCTTTGGGTGTTGTGAATCATGGTGAACATGGTGTACAATTTGAGTCCCTGCTTTCAGTTTTTTTGGATATAGACCTAGAAGTGGAATTTCTGGATCATATGGTAATTCTGTGTTTATT
Source organism: Homo sapiens (assembly GCF_000001405.40). NCBI lineage: Eukaryota > Metazoa > Chordata > Mammalia > Primates > Hominidae > Homo > Homo sapiens. The sequence continues at coordinate 46,321,428 of NC_000002.12, forward strand.
TTTTTCAAAAACTGCTGTACTGTCTTCCATAGCAGCCATACCATTGTACATTTTCACGAGCAATGCATAAGAGTTCCAGTTTCTTCATTTCCCTGCTAACACTTGTTATTTTCTGTTTTTTGTTTTGTTTTGTTTTTGTTTTTAGATATCAGCCATCCTAGTGGGTGTGAAGTGGTATCTCATTGTGGCTTTGATTTACATTTTCCTAATGATCAGTGATTTGTCTTTATAAACATATTGCCTGTTCCTTGCCCCCCACCCCACCCCCGCACCCCCACAACAGCCTGTGTGGGAATGGAAATCACTGCCCCATTGTTTACACCTGTGAGGCAAACAAAGACTATCAACATAATGATATTTGGGAGTGAAAGGTGTCAGGGAGAGAAGGATGAAGGCACCATAAGGTTATTATATATAATAACTGGCATATAGGATATAGTACAGGCACCTCAGTAGACCTATTTTCAGTTCGTGCTGTGGAGCATGTGAAACTATTTTAAATAGAGGCCTTTGGGACTTAAGTAACTTCAACTCTCTGAATGAGGTTTAAGGCAAGCTTGCTGTGGGCTGGATCTATCCTGTATAATCCCTACTGATTTGGGTGATGTATAGGTACCCTTCCCTGAAATTCTTCCCTGAGAATAATTATTGTTGTCATCTACTACGGAATCCTGGGCCCACTTTCTTCCTTCTTCTTGGGGGAGGAAATCTCCCAGACATCTTGCCAAGCATTTGCTTAAGTCTTTGAACCGCTGCACTAGCTAATTTCTCCACCTGAAACAATATACAAACCCCTCCTCTTCTCCACCCGCTAGGTTCTTATGCTGGCAGCTCATATTTTTACAAGAAAAAGAAGTTAGAATGTATTGAGCACCTGCTATAAGCCTGGCACTTTGCTAGTCACTGTGTGGCAGATGACTACATCAGTCATGACTGATAAAACATAACTTCTATCCTTGTAAGTGCCGCAGGACTTATTTGTGACTCTTAACAACAGGGGTTCCAAACCTTAGTGTGCATCAGAACTGCCTGGGGCTTATTAAAACTCAGATTACTGGACCTCATCCCTAGAATTTCTTACTCGGCCCGCAGGTCTGAGGTGGAGCCTGAGAGTGTGCATTTCTAACAAGTTCCTAGATGATGATGATGTTGCTCATCCCTGGACCACACTATGAGAACCACTGCTTTCCATCAAGCCTGTGAAATAGATATTATTCCCATTTATAGATGAGGAGCTGAGATGTAGAGAGGCCAAATGACTTGCCTCAGTTCTTGCACACAGAGCCAGAGCCCAGATTTGAAGCTGAGAGGCCTCACTCCAAAGCTTCTGCTGTTTCCATTATATCAGGGATGGCAAAGGCATAGATACCACCTGTGCTTCCCTCACTTAGTCCACCCCCACGACAGGCAATATTAATCAATCACAGCACCTCTGAGCCCAGAGATGTCCTCGGAATCTTTCACACACTGCTCCTGACAGCCAAACCTACCCGTCAGTGGGAGCTGAAGTTTGCAATTTCTGTACTAACCTGTATGGCCTTTCTAAAATGGAGACATTACCAAGGAATCAATCTATTAACAGCTGAAAACAAACCTTGTGTGAGCTCCAGTCTTATCTGCCTAGGAGGGAAGAGCGTGGTAGATTGCAGGCTGTGTGAAGCACAGCACTCCCATGGCGACCTCACGGATCATAACTAGAGTCTACACTCAGCACACAGGCAACACAGGGCCGTTACCCTTGAAAAGTGTAAAAATCTAGACGAAGTTAATGAGGAGACTTTTTTTTTAAGCTGCTATATTTTGTCTAATTCATATATGCTACATTTTATTCTAAAAATAGTTATTCTACTCTTTGGCACTAAGTTTGGTGATGGATATAAAATAGTGATCAATAAACAGTTGTTAAGAAAGGAAAAATAAAGTAGGTGCCAAAGGCAACTGTGTCCACACCTGATGAGGTCTTTTAACAAATGGATGGGAGGAATAAACAAGACTGAATTATGTTTTTATATATCTTGCGCACCCAACAGTTCTTAGCAAGGCCCGTGGGCAGTAGATGCCCAATAAATATTTATCATACGGAACTACAAATCTTGCTTGTGAAAGTACAAAGCATAGGTGTATCCTGGAGGTAGGGAACAGTAACCCTGAGAGCAGACTGGTTTAAGGCCATCTCTGGCCAAACCAAAACACATTACAGAGGCTCTCTGAGTCCCAAAGTCATCCACAGATTGATGTCTTGCTTCTCTTCTTATGGCATAAGAGACTGGTAGAAAACTGACCAAACTCATCAAGAAAGTAATATTTTTTTTTCCTCTGAAAATTGTGAATTGTATCAGATATTGCCACTATTATGCCCCTAGGTCACTTGCTCATCTGTTTTCCACAGGGAAGCCAAAACAGAATTTTGCAAAGATATACATGAGTAATCAAAGGAAACTGACTGTATTGGGTGTGATTCTCCTGTCTTCTGAAATAACCCACCATGATCTTTTGCGTGTTTCTGCCAGCCCATACAATGTCTGGTCTCACCACCAACAACAAATATTTAGTCTATGGCTACTGTGTATATAGGGCAACCTCTTGTCTCATTTGCTGTTTGTGCAGCTTAAAAGCAAGGGCAGGGTGAATTATGGTTTTTTTGTTTGTTTGTTTTTGAGACGGAGTCTCGTTCTGTAGCCCAGGCTGGAGTGCGGTGGTGCGATCTTGGCTCACTGCAAGCTCCGCCTTCTGGGTTCATGCCATTCTCCTTCCTCACCCTCCTGAGTAGCTGGGACTACAGGCACCCGCCACCACGCCTGGCTAATTTTTTTGTATTTTTAGTAGAAACAGAGTTTCACCACGTTAGCCAGGATGGTCTCGATCTTCTGACCTTGTGATCTGCCCACCTCGGCCTCCCAAGGTGCTAGGATTACAGGTGTGAGCCACTGCGCCCAGCCCTAATTATGTTTTTATATGAATTGCACACCCCACAGTTCTTAGCAAGGCCCATGGGCAATAGATGCCCAATAAATATTTATCATCCAAAACTACAAATCTTGCTTGTGAAAATACAAAGCATAGGTGCATGCTGGAGGTAGGGAACAGTAACCCTGAGAACAGACTGGTTTAAGGCCATCTCTGGCCAAACCAAGACACAGTTAAAGGGAGCATTTATGTCCCTGTTTGGCTGTGATATGCCCTATAGACTGGGGCAAGGCTGTGGCAGCCTGGCCAGGATGAAAACGCTCATCCTTGGGCTGCCCCTAGATGCCAAACTTTTTCCGTACAAGTTTTCAAGGCACATTATTAAAAGCAGTTACGTAAGTGGGGAACTAACTGCACCTTATAAAAGGCTTAACAGGAGAGACAGAGTCCTCCATTTGGAGCTGTTTTGTTAAATGTTGAGAATAGAGAAGTCCAGAAGTGGTTGGTGTTTCTGCTCTACACTGAAAACGAATTGGGCTGGAGCCCATCTCACAGCCTGCCTTTCTTTCTTCTATCTCACCCAGCTTGGGCACAGGCTTTTGCTATACTGTTGGACTGGGCAGTTCCCCATTGATAGAGATGTTGTTTAATATTTAAGTATGTTGTGTAGCTCTTAACATCGAAAGAGAAGAAAAAAGGTCCAGTTTATCTTTAGGGTGAGCTGACCTTTCCAGATGGAGCAGGGAAATCTCCTGAGGACAGGACCCTGGGAGGAATCCACTTCCCTGCTTAAAAAGCATGGTGAGGAAGGTTCCCTTGGGCTTGTTGGATCCAGTACTCTCCAGTGGGCAGTGCTCTGTATGTTCTAGGTTAGAGTCTTAGATAATATGGGATTTTAAAACCAGTATTGTATTACATTAGAGTATTACTGCCCTTGGGAATTTTTTAGATAGTTCCTTTTGGGGAGAGAACTGTTTTGTCCTATCCATTGCAGATGGGAGCAAGAACATACAAAAGAGCATAAAGAAAAATTCTGCCGATGTGGGCATTTCCTTGAGGCTGAGGGACTAGGAGAGGCACCAAAGGGTGTCCTTCATTCATGGTAAAAGCCCTAATAGCCTCAGTGTTAGAATATCCTGTAGGCAGGCGAAGGATGACATGACTCACTTTGGTGGTGACCTCCTAGTAGTTCAACTGAGAATCCAGGCGGGATAAGATCAGTGCAGGGTAATTGTATGGTAGCTAGTCAACCTTTCCATTGCTTAGCCGGAGAATTCTGGCTTTTGTGCTGGTGATGTCAGGCAGGTGTTGGAGGAGGAGTTCCATGACCATTTTCTCTGTTCCTGCCAACAGGAAAGCTCCATTGGGACATACACGCTCACTTCCAGGGTGTTTTATATTCATCCATAGCTGCTGCATGGATAAAAAATTTGGCGAAAAACTTGAAATCCTATTACCATGATGATCATTAGAACTCATGTTAGGGCTTTTTGTTTTTAAAACAGGGACACAAAGAAGAAACAGAAGGCTGCCATATGCAAGGTTAGTGAAAGCCCCTTACCTTCACCCCATTTAAATCCTGAAGAGGGAAAGTAGCTAAGCTGTAGTGATCACTTCCTGCAAAGAAAACCATAATTATGGCGCCCAGTTATTCTTCATAAGGGGAAACCTTGGAATAGCATGGGTGCTATTTTGAATATTTGAGAAAACAGTGACATTCAATATGAAATGGAAATGATTCTGTGCTGCTGGGATTGGATCAGTTCCTTCTAGGCATCAGTTGCCCCTGGGGATAGCCTAGTTCTCCCTCCTGTGTGAATTTGGGAAACACTAGAATCTTGTAGTTGTTGCTGACTCTCCCACCAGCAGGGAACCAACTTATGCTCTTGGGAGAAGCAGGGGGAGTGGGGAATCTGCTTTTCTCTTTAAGCTTCCAATCTCAACTGCCTAATAACAAGGGAATTCGACTATCAAGATTTCCTGGAGTGGCTTAAGTATGGGCGCCAGGATGCAGTCTTCTGTACACAGTGAAAGAAAACGGGGGTAAAAACCATGATGAATAGGTGCAGAGAGGAGTGGCTAGATCACCTGCCTGGGGGATGAGCCTCCCACGTGACTGTAAGGTTGTGCAAGAATTGGGCAACATTTGGTCAGGGTGGAGAGGCCTTGACAAAGCATTTGTACTCCCACTAGATTCCTATCTCCTCCGTGGGGAAAAACAAGTATTTAAAGTTCTACACAGTGTTTTAAGAGGAAGAAATGGATTGCCTTACTACCCTAGCATACTTCATTTGTACATATTTGGAGTTCTATTCACTAAGCACCCACTGTAGGAAGGGCACTGGGCTGAAGATCCCAGAAAATTAAAGGAGACACCTTTGTTCCTGCCCATAGGAAATATAGTCTAGTGGGGGCCAGGAAGGGGTAAGACGAGCATACAGGTGATCATACTCAAGACAGGAGATAGTAAATACCCTGATATGGAAATAGGGAAAATGGTTCTAGGGGTTTTGGAGAGGAGAAGTGAGAGGGAGGCGGTAAGCCTGCAGGCCCTGGAGCCAGACTGCCTGGGTTCCAGTCCGAGATTTACCACCTATGAGTTGTGGTATCTTGGAGAAGTCACTTAAACACATTGTACCTCTGATTCTTCAACTGCAAAATGTAGGTCACTGTTGTACCTATGTCAGTAGATAATGGTTTACTGCCCATAAACATTGGTCTCAGCTTCAGGACCAGCAGGGGCCGTGCTGACCTTGAGCTAGTGACTTACAACCTCCAGGTCTCAGTTTCCTCATCTGTACAATGAAGAGATTAGACTGGATAAATGCTAACATTTTCTTTATTCTAAAGTGCCGTGATTTCATGGTTGAATATGTATTAAATGCCTGCTGTGTGCCCAATATTGTGTTGGCATAATGAAAAAGAGAAAAAGTAGGATATGTGGTCCCTGGCCTCAAGGAGCTATAATCTAAGTGAGGAGAGGACATTAATATACAGGAGAGTATTAGAGAATTAGAGAATATTAGAAATTAAAAGCTAGGTGGTATGGGCAGTGAGAACATAGGAATAGAGATTTTAGAATGGACCAGAGTAGTCAGGAGATTTGATAGTGACCTATCTAATGTTTAGAACCACAGAGACTTTAGACAGGAGCTCAGACTTGTTTACAAATCCCATGAATTCTGAAGCTTGGAACACTGCCATTAATATTTAAATTAAAGTTGAACTGCAGAAAAACAAAAGTTACCTATTTGGAATATAAGGTGGGACAAAGTTTATAAAACTCCATGTCTAAAACCGGTAGTGTGGATGGAAGCTATAAAGAGGCTCAAACCAGCTTCCCATATATCCTTGGATGACAATTCCATTAGAATATAGCCCCTGGCACAGAGTAGGCACACACAAAAATTCATCTGTTGAGTGACTTGTGGAAAAAGTGTTCTGCCCTGTTCAGCTTTGAACAGCTGTGGGCACCCTGGTGGTGGTCTCAGCCCCACCTCCAGAGGGCAGTGCACAGAGGAGGCCCCGCCAGAGCCCTCCTGCCAAGTCTTTGGGAAGAGCTTAATATTGCCTCATGCCTCCTGAGCCAGCCCTCTATCAAAGGTGAATTCTCTGCTCCCAAATGTTAACCTACCTCCGGGGGGGCTACACGTACTCCCTCCCCAGAATTGTCTGAACTTAGGTTTTGAGAAAACTTGGCAACAGCCTCAAATTTTTCTTCCAGTCTAACTATCCTATGGTCCCCAGAGTCCATATGCAGATCGGGCTGTTAGTGACCCTGGCTTACACAGGTAAAAAAGAGACTTAACAAAACTTGGCAGAGACTGCTAAGTGCCAAAAGAGTGGTGTAGACAGTAAGTGAGGTCACCCCGGCCAGGAAATTGGGGGCACCTCCTGGAAGGAGGGAGAGCTAGGAGCTTGAGTGGGTCTTGAAGAATGAGTAGAGGCCACGATGGCAGGTAAGACAGGTGGAGGCATTAAGTACTTCTGTCCCCATGACCAGTTCCCCCATACCACTCTTCGTTAACCAAACATGGGAGGTGGCAGGCCCATTTAGATCTGGTGCTTTATTCTAAGGGAGGAAATGAGATGAAAATGACAGATGAAGTGCAAGCTTGAACTCCCTGGCCTCAACCAGTCACTGAGAATGGCTGCCCATCCCCCAAACAGTCAGTGATGGCCTGGTTTGATGGGCCTGTTTATGACCTCCTGGCTTGAGAGCAGCAGACCACAAACCTTCACAGAGCTCTCTGTTGAATTTCCTTCCCAGTACAGAACCCAGAAGTCCTAGTTATAAATGTCACTACACTTTATTTATGTAGCATCCTCTGTGAAAACATGAGTATATATCATATCTACCATCAGAACGTACCTTCAGCAATCACTTAGAACAGTGGGGAGGACAGATGGGGTCTTCAAGGTTCAGAAAGGTGAAATGTACAATATCTTCCCATTGTAACTCTTCAGAGCAAATCAGAGGTGAAAATGTTCAGAACACAAGTCTGCCTTCCAGGCCAGTCTTCTAAGCACCTTTTTCTTCTCTTTCACATTTTACCCTTGTCTCATTCCCTGTTCCCTCCTCCTTTTTGTTCATAAAAAAAATTATTTTTTTCCAAATAAGCAAAATGGAGTCAAACTTTGCATCCTCAAAATGTATGAAGTAAACATTATTCCTAATGAGCCTCTGGGAAAGTGCTCACCTTTGAACTTGGCCAAGGATTATGCAGCAAAGAAAAAGTCTTAAGAACTTGATAGAGTGTTAGAGCTTCCTGGGTTTTTAAAGTCAAGTTGCATATTACATTTCTTTTCCTTAATAGGGGCATTTCCAGAAACCCTTCCTGGTTGAGTAGGCCAGTGTCTGAAAGTGAAGCGCTAGGATTGGTTACTGACTCTGGTTCAGGGATTGTCATCTGGGTGCGAGGCAACCACAGGGTAGGAGGCACCATTGCTAGAATGCTCTTTCTTTCCTAGGACTCAGCACCTATGCCGACAGTCCTTGCAAGACAGGAGGGGAACGTGTAGGCTATCCTATTTATGGTAAGGGGAGGCCTATGGAAAAACAGGAAGATGGTCAAGGGAAGCTGGCAGCAAAAAGGCAATGAGACCGAGGAGTTGTCCCTGTAAGATAAGCTCTTTTCCCCTTGGAGACCTTGCCTATTAATTGGCCTGTGCTCATCTCTATAGGCTTTCTATTAAAACACACACACGGCCAGGCGTGGTGGCTCGCGCCTGTAATCCCAGCACTTTAGGAGGCCGAGGCGGGTGGATCATGAGGTCAGGAGTCCGAGACTAGCCTGGCCGAGATAGTGAAACCCCGTCTCTACTAAAAATACACAATTTAGCCAGGTGCAGTGGTGGGCACCTGTAATCCCAGCTACTTGGGAGGCTGAGGCGGGAGAATCGCTTGAACCCGGGAGGCGGAAGTTGCAGTGAGCCGAGATCACACCACTGCACTCTGGGTGACAGAGCAAGACTCCATCTCAAAACAAGCAAACAGACAAACAAAACACACACACACATCCTTCTTAAAGACAAAAACACCTCTGGCTGTCTGCATAGCTTCTGCCTGCCTCTGTGGAATATTACACATTTTAAATTCCCCAACTATTGCCTCACAGCCAAGAAGTTCACTTATAGGCATTGAGATGAATCATTCACAGAATGACTTAAATCCAACTAAGAATGTGTAACTGCTGAACATTCTGATTGAGGTTCCAGACCGTTTGTGATGCCACATGTTTGTTGTAACAGGCAGAATCATCAGTAATACTTTGTTTCTCTTTTCTTGAAACTTTCCCTCCAAGTTTCCATCTTAATGCTTTAAATCATGACAGAATCAAACAAGCTCTGTGCCCTCTGCCCCTGACCCCCGTGATGGCATGAGCTTCACCAAGCACCCCCATTCCCACAGAGATCTGGGATAAAAGGCTTTACAGAATCCAGAATCCAGCTCCGTTTCTGAGCTGTTATCGCTTCATAGCACAGGCTGTCTTTTTCTCTTCCTACACGTAGAGCTAGGCACACATAGATGGGTAGTGCACTGTCCCTGAACTGAGGCTCTCTCAAGTCCAGGCTACCTTCTGCCCAGCACCTACTTAGTGTAGCTTATCTTTTAAAATAAGCCATCCTGCAAAGAGCAGGGTTCCCAGTGGCCTTGAGGTTTGTCAGAAGTTCTCTAGAATTGGCAACTTAGCTGTGACCTCAGAAGTCTTGGCTCTGGCAAAGCAAGGTCTTTGCGCTAAAACAGGCTCAGTGCCCATGGAGATAATCACCTCTTGTAATATCCACACAATCATCTCATTGTCAAAGCACAAGGAATGCAAAAATAGAAGAAATGCCACAATAGGGTTGCCCCATGGTTCAGCTAAACCAGGATTCTGCTTCCGGCTGAGGGCACCTTGGGACACCTTAGGAGGGATGGTCCCAAGCATTGTTCTGGAGTTCAGCCCCTGTTGGCAAGACCTGTCCTCCTACAACCATAGCCTCACGGGGCCTGATTTTGCCCCATCTTTTTGGGACTCCTTTACCACCTCCTTGTCCTGGCTAACTCTCCTTTGTCCTTAAATTCACAACTGGGGAAACCCTTGAGGAGTCTTTTTTTTTTTCCTCCCCATTTTGGGTTATGTCATCTTTCTTGCTCCCAGAGCACTTGCTCCTGACTTCTGTAGCAATGGCCTCAACACTATTGAGTGTGTAGTATTTCTTAGGCATGGTTCTCTGCATACATGTATATATTATTTATTCCTCACAGAGGCTCTGTAAGGCAGGCACTCATAGACGCTGAGGTTTAGAGAAACTTAAGTAACTTGCCCCAGGTCATAGAGTAAGTGTCCAAGTCCTCAAGCCCGGGCAGTCCTGCTGCATCTGCATGGCACATGCGCTTGGCCTGGTCTGCTCAGTGTGTCTCCCTGACTGGGCTGTCAGTTCCTGGAGGGTAGGGATCTGTCTTCCCTTCTCTATCCCCAGTGCCTGGCATGTAGTAGACACTCAGTAACTGTCAAATAAATGAAAGCCCTGGCTCATCAAACAAAGACCAGATGTGATTTAAATTCCAAGGAGCCATACTTTTTACAAAAATGCTAAAATGCCAAGAAGTACTTTTTCATTAAAACAAAACAAAACTGTTTTAGCTATGTAAGGGTGGCCTTTTAGAACTCTGACTGCTTTAGATCTTTCCTCTAGGTGGCATAGAGTTGTGGGGTTTGGCAGACCACCATGGGAAAAGAACAGATGCATTTGTCAGAATCTCTGTGGCCATCAGACGTCACTCCAATGAAGCCAAAGCTCCGAGGTTTAAAAATAATTAAGGGAAATAACTAAGCGGAGAGACAGAAAAGACCACTTCTTAGTTGATTCTGGAAAAATGAACCTTTTCTTTCTACCAACCGGCACCGAAATTCAGAGTATCCTGGACACAGCTGAGAGACTACTCAGGGAGAGCCACTGCAGTCACACCCCACCTCCACTTAGGTCTCCCTACACTCACTCTAATCTTCTAAATCGTTTAATCAGACACGGCGCTGCCTCTGAGGCTTCAGGACTTTCAGGCTGTTTTTTTTTCCCCGGGCTTAAAGTCTTTCTCTGCTGCTGACTCACATGTTAATTATTGCTTTGCATAAAGTAGAATTAGCAGTGCTCCTGCACTCACCTGCCTGCGTGTTATACAACTGTTTTATCTGCTGGACAGAACTGAGTGTGCAGGCCGGCCTGCCATGGTGTCACCAGCGGCCCTGTCTTCAGCTGCCAGGGCAATGAGCATCGCACAGAAACCAACCATTGCTTTAGAGGCTCTGGGGAAGAGGCTGTGGGGTGTGCTCTGCTTGTCCCAGGAAAAAGAGGGTTAAGTGCCAAGTTTTGACCAAAATCTTATAAGAATGGTCCAGGAGTTTCAGTTCCCTGTCACCTGTCAGTGTTAATGGACAGAACTGGTGTTTCACAGAAAAAAAAAAAAAAATACGTGTGTGTGTGTGTGTGTGTGTGTGTGTGTGTGTGTGTGTGTATCAACTTGTTTTCTCTTTGGCTGCTGGGCTGGATAATGAAGTAAAGATGACATTATCTCTAATAAAAGTGATTTGCAGAAATCACTGACGGGACCTCAGTAGCAGAGATTCGCCATTAGCAGGCTAGCCAGATAAGAGGGGCAGCTGGGTTCTGTTAACCCCCTCCTCGTCTGATGTGTGTCTTGCAGGGAAGTCAAAGGCGGAGGAGTAGAGTAGAGTGGACTTTTTGAAGTTTGGGCTAATGGACAGTGTTTTTTCCAAAGTGTGGGCTGTTCTTTAGCCCCACTTGCTGATCTTTAGGGATGTCATTAGGTTTTCATTTTTGTTTTGTTTCTTAGGATTTTTGTGTTAGTGGCTTTTTCCCCCTGGGGCTTGGCCCATTTTCTCACCTCTATGTTATATCACCAGAAGGGTGGAACCCTGGCCAAGCCCTGGCATCCTCTGCCAGAAATCTGAGTCCAAGCAGGGCACCTACACATGTGAGGTGAGGGCTCTGGGCCACGGGTGTTGGGCAACAGATTGTTCTGTAGTGTCGAGGAGGTGGGATCTGAGGCAGAAACCTCCCTGGCCTCTTAAGGATGGGACGGGTCAGGAGGGGAGGGGTCTGCCCTTGTCCGGACTTGTTCACCTGTGTCAGTGAGAGCTGACTAGCAGCTGGCTCACGAAACACACCCATGATGTGGACAGCGGGCACAGCCAGCTACTTCTGTGTGAAAACATCCTTAGTATACAGGGATTTGTTTCCTGGGGACAGTGAGGAGTCATGGGGTGTTAAGCAACCTAGTGATGAATATAGCCACCATCACTCGCCTTTATTAATCCACTTTCTACTGGAAGCACTAAAGCATTGGAACTCTGCAATACCCCCACAGCTGGGGGACCGTGACTGATTTAATCTTCATGCCAGCTCACCATACCATAACTGAAAGGGCTGTATGACACTATTATTGTTGGAGTAAGGTACTTTGATACATGAGAGGTTTGACATTTTGCCTGTGCCCTCAGAGAACCTTAAAACTAGGACTAACAAGGTGACGGTGCCTTGCAGTCAAGTAGCACAGATTGTCTAAGTGTTCCAGGCAGGAGTGAGGAGGAGACACCAGTGTAGGCTCGGTAAGATGCTCAGAAAAGCCTCTGTGGAGGTGGCAGGCCTATGTTGGCTCTCAAACTTTAGGGTTTAGAAGGTCAGAAAGGAAGAAGCACTTCAGGTGGAACAAATCAACTGGGGACATGGCTGGGCAGCAGAAAGGGGTGCGGAGTTTGGGGGTGGCAGGGCATAGTGTGGTCTGGCTGGAGTAAGCGTGGAGCTACAGGATCGTAGGAGCTAAGTTTGGAAAGGGCTGGGAGACCTCAAGGAGCACGTCCAGCTTGGACTTCATCATGAGGATGGTGGGGAGCAATTTTCATTTTAAAATGGGGGAGCGACAAGCTGAAAATGGTTTTGGGGAAAGAGTGGTGGGCTGGCGAGCTGTTCCTTGCCCCAAGATCTGACTCAAATTTTATTCTTGGTCAGTGGTAAAGAAAGTGAGGGGCAAGGGAAACAAACAGAAGATGGGGACTAAGGTCTGTGGAAATAAATAAAACACCACCAGAGCCAGAGGAGGCGTGTGCCCTGGGTGAAGTTTGTTTTTCATCCCATGGGTAACATTTATGAGTTACTGTTCAGCAAGAATGCCTTGCGGAGGTCTCTGTGGACTGAGCTGAGGCTCCAGCCTGTGGCAGCCCAGGAATTGCTGCCATATTTAGAGCTTCCAACAGAGGGTTTCATTTTCCTTGGCTTTGGTGCCAAGAAAAGAGGGGTTCTCACACTTGCTGTCCAGCAGGGCCAAAGCATGACCAGCAGGAGGAGCATGGAGGTTGGGTTCTGGCACTGCCCACCACCTGGCACCTCAGCCACTAATCAGACAACAGGCTAGGCAATTATCCGGGCATCTGACTTTAGCTACCTGTCCTTTTGTTTAAAGCCCTTTCGTGTGCTTGGCACCTTATGGATACTCAACAAGGTCTGTTTAATGAATGCGTTCTCCCCACCCAGATTCTCAATGCCTTGCTCCCTGTTCTCTAGCCTGTCTCCCGACCACTGGCACCTCTGCCCATTCCCAGTGTGTCTTTGTCATCCCTCTGCCATCCTGATTGCCTCCCTGTATCCTGCTCTTCTTTCAAAGCCAACCTCCAGCAGAGTTCTCCCTGTCTTCTCCAGCCTTGCAGGCTTTCTCCTCCCAAACTCCTACAGCCCTGACTGTTCAGCCCATTCTTCAGGACTTGGCTCTTCACCTCTCTGCAAGCTCCCTGAGGTCAGGCATAGTTGTTCCACATTTCATTCTACTGCTCACAGCCCCATCGTAGGAAGAGAGAATCATTAATATATATTGAATGAGCAGAGGGAATAAGCCATTGCTGGGGGAAAAATACAGTTTTATTTCCCAAATTGCTCAATGTTATTTGAGAGCATGATAATAAATTTGGAAAAGACTTTTAGCATTTCCTGTGGCTTTTGATGACTTCTTTACAAAGGAATGGAAATGTGCGCAGACATCTCACTTCTCATCAGAGCAAGAGAGGGCAGAATTGGGGGAAAGCAAGTGTTCGCGCTGTGGCATGAATCAGATCCCACAATACTAGACATGTGACCATGTGAACAGGCCTCAGATCAGGATTCTTTATAAAGGAAGCCCAGGACAGATTCTCTACCAGCTCTCTCCTCTTTCACTTTTCCTCTTTCTTTGCTTTCCTTTTTTTAATAGGGAGGGGAGAAGGGGTTATGAGGATGGGGGTAGGAGAGTGAGGGATCCCGTGCTTTCTCCCCCTTCTCTTGCTGTTTTGAAATACTTTAAATTCCAGGAACCAGAAGTTCTGGCAACATGTTGGGATTAGTAAGGCAGATCCTAGGATATTTCACTATTAGCATGTGATCAAGCATCAGTCCTGATTAAAAGTCTAAACAAATGTTTTCTTTGAAATTAAAGTGTCTGAAATAAAGAAGAGAGAACTGACCCTTAAAATCATATTCTGTACTTGAAAAGAGTTCTGACAACTGTCTGTCCCGGTTATGTGCACCCCCGCCCCCCACCCGCCTTTTTCCATCCAGAATGTTTGACGACACTGCCAGGGGAATTTCTGCCCCCTCCTTCCTGTATATACCCAGTGCTGGCCTCTGAGGCAGTCCAGCTCTGTTTTCTCATGACACAGTGATTATTTTTGGCATTGCAGATATTTTTTCTAATGTTATTACCCAGCCCCCTTCTTGGTTGCCTTTTGTGGAGCAATCTTTTGGGTAACTCCCTGTAAATTTGAGGGTTAATTTTAGTTCGGTGTGGTAGAGGAGGCAGTGGGAGAGAGGAGGAACGACTTCTACTCCGAAGCGCCCCACCCCCACCTTAAGAGGAGCCGGAGAGGTCCTCTCACGCCCTGCTCATGAAAGAGCTTGCTTTCACCAGCTCTGTGCTCACCATTCATCCTTTCTGCCGGCGGGCTTGAGGATATGGATATCCAGAGGTGACGCTGGGGGCTGCACCTCGGGGATGGCATCTTAATGACTTGACTTGGCGGGTGTTAGAACAGCCCCATTCAGAGTGAGTTCACTCCCTGCGCAGTTGGCTCACTCGGCCTCTGTCCATAGAGTTCTCTTGTTCACGCTGCAGGAGGAAATGGAGATTTCCAAGTGGGAAGGAGCCTTCCCGATGCTTTAACTCTTCACTGAAGGGAAGAGGAGCTGCAGAGAGCGAAATAAAATCTAAGCCGCCCCAGCTGCAGCGCCTGGGAGAGGAGCAAGGCTGGGCTGGGGATGGAGGCCAAGGCAGCTGGGATCACTTTTTCTTTCCTCCTTGAGAGGGAAAGGAAAAGAGCAAAGGGCATTTTTGATTGTCTTTCACAATCAGCAAATATTTACCCAGTTTGTCTGCCCTAGCCCAGGTTCCACTGAAGGATACACGAAAGTGGAAGATGTTGTGTCTGTGCCCTTCCCCTGGTACTTACAGCACAGTTATAGGAGTAGAACGTTTGCATAGAAAAGCCACCAAGACAGGGAGGCCTTTAATAAGGGCCTATGAGTAGTGTGGGCAGGAAGTACCCTGGAGAATGTTGCTAAGGGGCCAGGGACACTGCTGGAAGAAGTAGGGCTTGGGCTGGTCCTAAGGGGTGGGTTTTGAAGAAATAGGAAGGAATAAAATGATACAGGTAGGGAAGACTTGAAGGAGGAGAGGGACATTAATGTAGGGCTTAGTAAAATCCCATAAAGAAAGCTACAAAGAGAACAGGATTCTTCCTGGCCAGAGAGAAGATTGGACTTGTTGGACTTTACGTGCCTCAGATTAGGATGGCAGCAGGCAGCACTAACCCTGCCAGATGGCATCTTCAGTCTCAAGATCGCACGTGTTCCTGGGTCTCTTTCTACTCAAAGTGTGAGGTCACAGACTAGTAGAATCAGCATCCTCTGAGGGTTGTTAGGAAGGCAGAATCCCAGGCTTCAGCCCAGATCCTACTGAGCCTGCACTGTAACAAGATCCCTGGGTGATTCCTGGCCACAGCAAAGGTTGGGAAGTGCTGCTCTGGGTGACTCCACAGGCAGCTGTCAGCAGCACTAGTTCAGACCCCAGATTTGATTCACAGAGGTGACAAAACACCAACAGACACACACACCTTGAGTGTCCGCAGGGTGACTCTTCCCAGATGGAAACCGTCTATTCTAATTAAGAGCCGGGTTAGAATTCTTAGGAAAGATCTAGAACAGTGAGCAGCTTTGAGGAATCCACAGAACTGAAGTCATTGACGTGGTTTTTATCCGATGTCTCCAGTTTGTACCACTTTGTACTACTGATGCTTTAGAGGACACCAAAAGAACAGGTGTGGGGTTCTTTCCCTGAAGAGTATGTGGTCTAGTTAGGGAGACAGAAGCCACAGAAGTGAAATCAAGGAGAGCAACACAGGGCCAAATCGTGCGTGTGTAACCTCTGAAATGGGACTTGGAGGAGAAGTCAGTGCAGGTGAGGCTTTCCTAGGGAAACGGATGCATGGGAGATCTTGAAATATGAGCCTAATTCAGACAGGCCTGGGAGATGGAGAGAGTATATTCCAGGCAGGGAGTGGGAGGGGCAGCAGCAGTAGCTAAGTCCCCCCTAGAGACTGAAGTGGGGCGGGAAACTGCTCCCCACTTGCCCCACGGAGTTTGCTTCATGCCGAGGAATCCGTTTTACATCTCAGGCCTTTTCTTCTTGATTCAACCGCCGTGCAATTTCTTTGTCAATTTTCTTAGCTGAAGGCAGTGTTGTAGGAACAGGATGGCAGCACAGGCAGAAGGGTTTGAGCCAAACCACAGATGGTGTTGTTGGAAGCTTGTGAGATCCAAAGGAAGAAGGCTGCTGATGGGTAGAAGCCCTAAGGAAAAAAATCTAAATCAGATCTGGTAACAGCCTGGGTGTGGGGAAATACCTTCAAGCCCAGAGAGGTGGCACCAAAGAAAACAGTCTGGTGAGAAGGAAACAACCTGTGGCAGCTGTAGACTCCGCAAGCAAAGCACAAACCTTTTTTTTTTCTTTTTCTTTTAAAGACAGACTTCTCCAAGCTGAGAACTATCCCAAGGGGGCTGGTGTGCCAGCTGAGGGGCTGGCCTCAGGCAAAATGGTGGCCAGCGTGTCTCACTTTGCTGCTTCCCAGACCAAGTGTATGTTTCAAAAAGCTCATCAGATTTAGTATCCTAGAAGGCTTCACCCTCAAGATGCCCAGCTCAGCTAAATCTTTTGAACCTGAGGGACTTGCTTATTGGCCTTGTAGGGAAGGTCACCCAATTACAATCAAGAATATGGGATTTAGGGTCAAATGATCCAGGTTTGAGTGCTGGCTCCATCACTGGGTGATGGCTGGGCATGCCACTAACATCCTTGGGGTCTGTCTCCTTATGTGTAAAATGGGAGTGATACACCTGCTCTGCAAGATTGATTCAGGATTAAACAGAAGCAATATGCTGAGAGTTCTTTACTAACTGGAAAGAGTCACATGTGGTTGTTTCCTAGTTATATAGTCAGTATCTCAGCTTGCGGAGGTTAATTAGTCTCTTAGCTGAAGGCTGCATGGTGTCAGGGGTCGGGCAGTGGCAGACATCAGAGGCCACAGAGAGCAATGGAGAGCCACGCAAATGCCTCCTGCACCCGCTGGCTTTCTCCCTGCTTTTTCATGAGTGAAGACAGCACCGAGTCTTCTCTATACATCCCTGCAGTGGATAAGATGAGGGGTGGGAAAGATGGAAAGAACACTTTATTTTTACAGTGGGGGAAGAGGTCCTGCTCATCAGCAAGGGTGGCCCTCTTCTCAGAACTGGATTAGAGTCAAAGGAAGCCACCAGTTTTAGCACAGCTGGTCTTCTCTTCAGATGCTTTGACCTGCGTATGCATGAGGAAGAGAAGCAGCCTAGAGAGAGCTGGCCATGGGAAAAGGAGGCTGAGCCTGGTTCCAAGGCTGAGACTGTTGCATGTTCTGTCTTCCTTCCCTCTGATACTGCCCTCTGAAGCACCGTGACCCATGCTTTGTGCTCAGTAATGCTGGCTGTGGTCCTGAGGATGCCAGTGTAGCCAAATCTGCCAACTCAGCTTTCATGGGGTGGGGGTGGGGTCACTGTGAGGTGGCTACGGGGAGCTGGCAGCAAGCTGGATACATATCTTTTATTGTAAGAAGTAAGCAATACCTGATGCCAAGGTAGTTGTCATGGCATTATTTATAACAGCTAAAAATTAGAAACCATAACGAAAAGCAATAAGGGAATAGTAAAATGCATTGTGGTTCAGCCACATGATGTGATATTGCTGGCTATTATGAATATTTTGAAAGAATTCTTAATGGGATATCCTGTTAAGTAAAAAGAGCAAAGTATTAATTTATAAATCCAATGAGATCTCAGCTCGTTTTCTTCATACCTTTTTGTATTTTTGAAGTTGCTTATACTAAATATGCATTACCCTTATCTTCACCACGGCATTTTTAAAAAGGAAATTATGTGTTGGGAAAAGCTAGGTTATATGATGGACAGATAATGAAGGTCTGTTTCTAATCGTGCCACATGGCCAGTGCTGCTTGTCAGCAGGCGCTCTGTTCACAGGGCCTTGAAAAAGCCAGAACTCGGGGCTTTTGTTCCAGTTCCACATACTCCCATTACCTTTCTAAACCTCAGTTTTTCCTTATCTCTAAAATGGGAATGATGGTAGCTGCTCTTCCTAGCCTACTGTGTGAAATTTACAAATTTAGTTACAGATTTCCAGATTCACTCACGAGTGTTTTAGACTGTAGTGTGTGATCCAAATGTAAAGTGGTATTATTCACTAATATGTAGAATAAAGAATGCCCCACTGTCTTAGCCCATTTGGGCAGCTACAACAAGATACCGTAAACTGAGTGGCTTATAAACAACAGAGTTTCATTTCTCATGGTTCTGGATGCTGGGAAGTCCAGTGTCCAGGTGCCAGCAGATTCAGTGTCTGGTAAGGGCCCACTTTCTGGTTCATAGCTGTGTCTCCACATGGTGGAAGGGGTGAGAGGGTTCCCCTGGGCCTCCTTTGCGAGTGCACTAATCCCATTCATGAGGACTTCACTGTCATGAGTTAATCACCTCCCAACGGTTCCACCTTCAGATACCATCACATTGGGAGTGGGGATTTCAACATAAGTATTTTGAGGGGACGTAAACATTCAGACCTTGGCACCCACTAAGGCTTGGGCTTGATGAAGCTAAGCACAGGGACAGTTCATTATGATTATTCCTGTGTACACACAGCTTTTCCCAGCTGGGCTGGGGAGTCCACGTGTCCTCCGGTTACGTAAGGAGCTGGGTTATCTGGAGCCCCAGATGGGCTGCTTAGTAATCGAATCTGCTGCTCTTTTCTACAAGGCTGCCTGGGGCTGAGAAGGCCAGAAGATAAGTATCTCCAGTCAACCCAAGCAGAATTGACCATTAGAGGGCCATGCTGGGTGAGCCCCAGACATTACTGTCAGCGCTGAATGCAGTCCAGGCCCTCTGCTCCAGGGACACAGACCGTTAGAGTAGGTCAGAGAGCTGGAGGCTCAGCCCCAGCGGAGCGGAGGTTGGGAGGCTGAGGTATGAGATGCTTTCCAGGATTCCTCTTTCAGGGAAGTGGCAAGTGAAAGCATTTGTCCCTGTTTTAACCACTCCAGTCTCATGTCTTCTCTCTTCTTTGTCCCCTCTTGTAGACTTTTGATATACTAGTGTGGATTATTAGTCTTATCTCCCAGATGGGCTGTGGTCTCTTTCAGGATAGAGACCATGCCCCTCAGGAGAGGTGTGTGTATTAAAGCATATTAATGCCTTTTTTCTCTTGTCAAAGTCTGTCTGATCTGGCCAGCTCCTCCTGAATTTGCTAATTTAATATTTTCCATTCTGAATTTGTAACTTTTTGTTGTTTTGCTTTGAGATGGGTTCTCACTCTGTCACCTGAGCTGGAGTGCAGTGGTGCATGGCTCACTGCAGCCTCGAGCTCCCAGGTCAAGGGATCCTCCTGCCTCAGCCTCTTGAGTAGCTGGGACCACCGGTGTGTGCCACCGTGCCCAGCTAATTTCTAACTTTTTTAGAGATGGGGTCTTGCTGTGTTGCCCAGCTGGTCTCAAACTCCTGGGCTCAAGCAATCCTCCTGCCTCAGTCTCCCAAAGTGCTGTGATTATAGGCATGAGTCACTGTGCCTGGCCTATTTTCTGTTTTCACTATCTAACATTGATACCTTTCCTCCCTTTGTGATAGATTCCCCTACTGATCCCTGCAGCCTTTGGACATCAGAATGTACCTAGAACACTGACCACTGGAACACTGCCTTCATCTCAAACATTTTTGTCACTCCTTTGGAATGGCCCTCACAGCCAAGACCATTCTTTTCAATACCTTCAATTGTGGCAAAGTCTTATCTTTTGAGGGCACATTTTATCCTATCAAACAACCACAATCCATCCACAGCTAAGTCTGGTGACTAACGGGGTGGGTAAACTGGATAATATTGTTTGGGGTTTGAAATGAGGTGTGTCCTTTGAAGAGTTGTGACTGATTTTCTTATGTGGCTCTGAAGTTAATTCTAAAAGACTTCCCAAAAGACAGAGCGATGGCCACCTACCAGCATAAAGTTATAGGCTTCTCCCAAGGTGGCTTCTTTGAAGGGTAGCCACCTTCTGTGTGGCATCTATTTCACATGTCTCATTATTTTCATCTCCCTCTTCCTATTAGCCATAGCATCTGGTACAGTGGTGATCACACCAACTCCTAGATAAATGACTGTTTGGCTTATGATGGTGACTTCAAATTTGCTGGACACAGTGAATATGGACACAGTGCATGGTAGAGGGAAAGAGTGTGGTTAGGTTTTGGAAGTGGACCTGGGCGTCAGTCTTCCATAGACACATGATCACAGGCCTGGAAATCTATGTTTTCATAAGTCCTCCAGGTGATTCTGATGCAAGCTAAAATTGAGACCCACGGCTCTGCAAAACTGGGGCCAATAACACTGCATCATTTAAGTGAGGATCAAATGAGACCATTTATTAAATGCATCTGGCCCCAGTGCTCAATAAATATGTTTCCTTTTCATCCTACTCTTTGAGAAAGGTGACATAGCTGTTTGCATCTCCAAAAACATTTAAGTCCAACCCCATCTGCCTCCCCCCACCACACACACACCCACCCATCCATCCTTCCTTTAAAAACTGGCTGCTTTGGAACCGTGGTCCTCAGCCCTGGCTACACGTGGGGAGCTTTTAAAACTCCCATTGCCCAGCCTGCACCTGAGACCTATTAAATCTGAATCTCTGGGGATAGAGCCCAGGCATCTGTTTTTTAAGGTTCCTCTGGTGACTCCAGTGAGCAGCAAAACTGAGAACCACCGACTTTGGTTCTGCCCCAGTTAAGTATGGGGACCAGTGACTCTTTCTCATCTCTGGAACCTGGAGCTGGGTGTGTTTCTCCTATCAGGCAGCCCCTGTACAGCAGCCACAAGCCTCATAGAAGTGTCACTAGACCTCTCCCAATTGCATTTGACCTTTATTTCCTCCATTCTCAGCTTCTTGCAAATTGGCTCCAGCTTGGAATTTCACCACCAACCAATAGACTGATCCCAGCTGGCTTAATTAGCCTCAGTCATCTCTTTACCTGCTGAAATCCATTCTGTTTCTAAGCCATTTAACCTTATAGGGTAATAGGCATATTGTTTTGATACCTGAATGGCCACAGGCATTAGGCATGTGAGTCCTAATCACTCTAAAAGTCTAGCTAATTAGGCAGCCAACCCCTCTGTGTTACTGGTGACAGACATCTTGGGGCCTCACTCCAGGCTGTGTTCATATGGAAGTCAGGAACCAAGATCATCTTGACCAAGAGCAGATCATCCTTAGATTCATGACCTAAGTAGCGATCCCTAAGCCATGCTCGGAGCAATGACCTAAAAGTTAAGATGTTTTTAAGATAACGAAGCTCTGGGCAAAGAGGTTTTTCCTGGATGAACTGTAGCATATCTCTGCTGACAATTTTTGGACATTTCAGTTTTGTTTTATCTTTTGACTGGCTGCCTGGTGCTTAAGTGGTTGTTAACTTTAGCTGGGATCAAACGTTTCAGAATGTGAGTTTCCACCTCGGGGAGAGTAACTATAAATTTGTGCATATGAAAATGTCCAGGGGGAAAAAAAACAAACCCAAAACAAACCCAAAACAAAAAGAAACACCTTTTTCTCCACCTGCGGCATAGATAGATACTGTGGCAGGGTTGGACCTGCTGCTTTTATGGAACACTGCAGAGCCACATCTGATAACATTCCCCCACCCTCCCAGCACTACTGTGACCGGCACCTGTGTCTGCTAAGGCCCACAGCACTTAGTCCCTTCTTCCCCCGCCGACCCCATCTGAACTCTGATGCTGGTTCTTAGTCCTACTCTTAACATTCCAGGTGTTCTCCTAAGGTGAATGGGTGCACACTTAAAGACATGAGGCTCCCCTCATGAAATTTTTGTCACTGTATTTAAAAAAGTATTAGCCCTTCTTCCCAAAGTATGTGTGAGCATCCAGGTTGTGGGAAAGTATCAACACAGCACAGGGAACATCAAAGTTGTACAGTAAATGATAGTCTCCTTGCTGCCAATGGAAAAACTTTTGATCTTGGACCCAGAAGAACTAGGTTTGAGACAATGTTTTTAGCAAATTATTTAATCTCTCTAAATCTCCACATCCTCATCTATTAAATGGAGATGATAGTTTCTATCTCTCAGGGTTGTGAGAATCAAATGAGATAACACATGTTAAGAAGAAGTGCTTTCTGTAAAGGCATTATTATTTGTCCTTTTAGGTTCAGCTGAAATCCCACCTCCCTGACTTTTGAACCAAGAGGCTGCCTAAGATTCTCAATCTTCCTTTTTCTGGAAGCTAAGGTGTTGCTGTTTCTTTATTTCTTGCCAAAGCCACTATCTCCTACAGTTAAGCAGTGAAAAGAGTATTCGCCTAGGAAGAGCAGGGTTCTAGCCCTAGCTCTGCCACTGATTAGCTGGGTTGCTCTAGGCAAGTAACTTACCTGCTCAAGTGTCTGTTTCCAGATCTGTGAAAGGGGAACAGTGACAGTACCTGTCTTGCCTACCTCACTTGGTTGCAAGGATGGAATTAGATAGGGATCCCCTGTGTGTTTCCGGACTTCTAAGTGTCTGCTCACTGACTATAAACCCTTAAATGGCTTATGTAGGCATTGGCTTTGTGACATTGGGCAAATGACATATTATTTCTGAGCGTCAGTTTCCACATCTCTAAACTGTGTAAACAATACCTACTTTATTTTGTTGTTAGGAAGAGTATAATGAACTAATATATGAAAGGTTTTTGATAGAGCACCAGGCACAAAAAGCACAGCAAGACTCATATATCAGATGCCATTGTCAGAGCATTGACTCCAGATTGCCTTTTCCCTACCTGGCTTTTCCTCTCTGCCTCTTCTTCGAGGAAGGGGCCAATGGCAGAGGGAAGCTTTGTGCATGCAGATATTGGCGTTAATGCCATAGCCTGTGCTGGGATTGCTTTTGCTTCAGGATGGCTTCCCTTGGCCCCTGATGACGAGGTTATGTGTTGATGATGCTTTTGTTGGAGAGCACAAGGGTTAGTAATGAAATCCAGCATCTTTCACCTGACCCTCCTGATCCAAAGGCATGATGTGTGCGGTTTCAGCATCCTGCCCTCTTCCCATCTTCCTTTCCTGTGCCAGAATACTTGCAATTCTTTAACTTTTTCTCCACAATCAGGTCAGGATTAAAATGCACGTGGGAGGGACTAATATAAAAACTGCCACTAAAGGTCTAATCAGGGCAAGTCCTGAGAAGGTGGGGAAAGGGGGGTGCAGGGGTAGGTGTCCTGAAGGTTGGAAGTCAGGGAGAGAGGGAAACAGGGATTAGATAAAGGAAGCAGAGAAGGGAGACATGACGAGAAAAATAGTTTCACTCATTTCACAATTTTTCTGAAGGTTCTTCTTGACCATCAACAGCTGTTGGACGATTCATCCTTTAATCCGAGTATATGATGCTTAATCCATCCACGGAGCTGGATAGTCTGTCTTTTTAAATGAAGTATGTTGTAAAATCAAAACAGTGCTTCTGCCCCAAATCTTGAGGGATTTGAGAGGCATGCTCACATTCCATGAATCCCAAAATACAGATTTTCTGTCCAAATAGCAGGCTGCAAAGCCAAACAAAAGGAGAAGCAGCCTCTGGGATCTCAGATGGCAGGACAGAACGAGCCAGCTAGAGCTGATTGGATTGAGGCCTTGAAACCTATGAACTTCGCTGGATGCTTTTTTATTTTATCTTATTTATATTTTTATAGAGACAGGGTCTCACTATATTGCCCGGGCTGGTCTTGAACTCCTGGGCCCAGGTGATTCTCCCATCTGGGACTACAGGTCCAAATACTACCATGCCTGGCTTAGATGCTTTTTAAAAAAATAAAAAACATACTTGTTTCTTCATTAAATACGCAATATAGGTTATTTATAGAAACACAAGAAAATACAGATAAGCATTACAAAGCAAAACAAAAACCAAAAAAACTCCCTTTAACCTCACTACCATGCAACTGCTAACATTTTTGAGTAGAAGGAGACAGGACAGTCATTGGTGGTTAAGTGCCATGATTCTGGGGCCCACCTTCCCAGTGCAAAGCCCGACTTCCCCATTTACCTGCTGGAGGCCACAGGTAAATTACTTGGCCTCTATGGGGCAGTTTCCTCATATGTAAATTAGGTATAATAATAATAATAATAATGCCTACTTCCAAGGGCAGTTGTGTGAGTTTAAATAAGCCAAGGTAGTACTGCTTAAAACAGTCCTTGTAAGCACTATGTCTGTGATACCTATAATAATAGTTATTATGCATCTAGCCTTTCTCCTATATAATTTATAGGAAGTATTATGTATAATACATTTCTGTGAAAATAGAATTGTCCTGTACTGTTTTGTAACTTTTTAACTCTTATGATTGTCTTTTCATGGCCATCTTTTTAATTAGTATTAGCTAACATTGATTGCTTACAGTTGGAACAGGCTTAGTGCTAAAGATTTTACATAAATTATCACATTTAGTCCTCACAGTTAACTCTGTAGGGTAAGCACTATTGTTACCATTTTACAGATGAGGAGACTGAGGCTAAGCAGTTTAAATGATTTATTTACAGAGCTAACAAGCAGAGAAGTTAGAACTCCAATCTAAACATTCTGGCTTTTAAATATTGCCCGTGCTAGAACTTGCCATGGACTTTATAAGAAAGTCCAGGATTTCTTTAGGACTTCTAAAAGAGGCAGGCTTCAGTGCGTGTCATCTTTCGTTCCATCCTGCAGCAAAGAGGAGAATGAGGCTGAGACAGCCTGGCAACCTATGCTGGCAGGGCTTAGAGAGAAAATGTTTGTGCCCACTCCTTTTTAATCCTTGACAGAACGCACGTTGGTACTCTAGACTGTTGGGTGTCTGGCTAACTGTTCTGGGGCTGTAATGGCATTTTCAGTTTTTACTGTGGAAATCACTTTCTGGTATGAAGCGGGATCTAGGGTTCAGTACTACTCTTAATTTTTTCTGATTGTGTCTTATGCAGAAAAAGAACCTTAAAGCAGTTTTTTTATCTTGTTCTCCAGAGCCCTTGACAAAGCCATCTGAGCCACTGATCATAGCTTCCTTACCCTTCTCTTTCCATCCCTGGACATTCACCCCTATCCCCAGATATTCCAGGGCTAGGTCCCAGGCATTGGTAGTTAATTTAATCAGCCAGTCTTTGCCCAGACTCCACCCATGTGAAGCCCTGTTCTGGCCTCCACAGGGAATGCAAGAGGAGGACTTTGGTTGTGAAGACACCAACACACACAAAAGCAGAGCTAACAATACAAAGCAGGTTGTGTGTGGCTCAGACAACTGGTGTGAGCCCAGATCAGTCTAGTAAGGGAGTGTGGCTGCACTGGGGGTTGGGGCCATGGGGATGTCCTGGCCAGAGGTATGATAGGCTGACAGTAACCTTTCCGGGACTAACCCCTTCTTCTCCACTTAGGAGTAGCTCGGAGAGGAGGAAGGAGAAGTCCCGGGATGCTGCGCGGTGCCGGCGGAGCAAGGAGACGGAGGTGTTCTATGAGCTGGCCCATGAGCTGCCTCTGCCCCACAGTGTGAGCTCCCATCTGGACAAGGCCTCCATCATGCGACTGGCAATCAGCTTCCTGCGAACACACAAGCTCCTCTCCTCAGGTAAGGCCAGCAGGCTCCCCTAGGCTGGGCAGATGCCAGCCTTACCAGCATGTTCCTATATGCAGGGGACCCTTCTGCTGCCAGAGCTGGAAAGTCACCCCACTACAGAACTTTCACCCACAGAAACACCATCATGAGTGATTTATTCCTTCATGTTAAACATCTCTCTTCCAGCAGTGACCTTTACCGTGAATCCAGCTGTGAGAGGAGGGCAGGGACAGGACCAGGGAAGAACATGGGCACCCAGAGGCTGTGGAGAACACGGGCTGGGAGAACCAAGGACGGCTTTTGCTGACTTCTCAATTTGTTGCCATCTGGCCATAAGACCCATCCTCCACACTAGATTGAGTCCGCAGGAAGCATTCTAATCCTTAACTTCCAGTGCCTTCTCCAGAACAGCAAGAAGGTGTGCCCGGATGATCTTTTCCCTCTGAGAAGCCAGTTAGGCCAAGTAAATCATTTAGTCTCTCTGAACATTGGTTTCCTCGTGTATAAAATGGGGTTAAACATACTTCTTGCCCAGGGTGTCGGTGAGAATGGACTGAAATGATGTCCATAAAGCACCTGGCCTGGCTGAGCTCACTCACACTGGGGAGTCCTTGACATCACCCCTCCCTCGGAAAATAACTGGTTCTCCCCTCCCTAGCACCTCTGCAACTCCAAAGTTCACAAGACATTTGCTTTTTCTCAGTTACATTCTTCAAGAAACCATTTCCTATGCGTCCTGACCAGAAACAGGTGTCTTGAGTAGTCTTCTGGTTTCAGATCCTAGGTGACATTCTCGTCAGGGGTGTCAGTTCTGTAAGGACGCTGGGCAACGAGTTGTGCTCCTCCCCACCTGGTCTGGTGCCACAGGTGGGGACAGTGTCTGACGGGTGAGCATGAGGGAGGCACTCAGGGAGGGAAGGTTCTTTTGTGGTTGTTTTTCAGTTTTCCGGAGTAAGCCTGGTGCCTTGGAGACGGTGGACTCCGCCATCCTGTTATGAAGTGGCTATTCTGGGAAAGAGGGAATCCAGTGTGAGGCTGGGAGGCCAGACCAGAATGTACTATTCTGGTCCCTGTAGTACAGGAAGGATATGGGGGACAGACTTTCAGAAAATAGGACGACAGCTCAGTGGGCCTGGGGTTGGAGGGCTAGGCCTAAAGAGGCGAAATGTGCAGACAAGAGCAGGAGAGCCAAGGGGGAAGATATGCTCCATAAATACTTTCAAAGAACAATGCAAGACAATGGCAGATACATGATCCTAGATGCTGCAAAGAGAGAACAGTGGGCTGAGCCCTGGCAAGGCTTGGATTGCTGGATATAAGAAAGGCTGGGAGACTCCATCACAGGGCATTTGTGTACCCCTCCCTTTAAAAAGGCTTGTCTTACTGGATAACTGAGGGCCAAGTTGGCTAATGTTGCAATCATCTTTACATAAAAAGAGTAGACAGTGGAGGATTTAATGACTGGATGGAGGCCCCTTCCCCACAGTGAGAACCCTCTCCCCTGCTTTCCTGCTGTGGTACTTGAGATTTTGCTCTTAGACATTAATTCCTTTGGATTAATCATTGCTTCTTTCATCACCACTCCCAATTCCTCCACCCACACAAAGCCCCAGAAGGGGTAATACAGGTTGAGTATCCCTTATCCGAAATGCTTGGGAGCAGAAGTGCTTTTGATTTTTTAATTTTTTCAGATTTTGGAATGCTTGCATTGTATTTATCAGTTGAGCATCCCTAACCCAAAAATCTGAAATTTGAAATGGTCCAATGAGCATTTCCTTTGAATGTTGTGTTGGATTTTGGAGCATTTCAGATTTCAGGTTTTCAGATTAGGGACAGTCAACCTGTATATTAATTGTAGAATGCCTCTGACTAAATTTGGACTCGTTGTGTTTCTCCTTATTTCACAGATAAGTGAAGCACAGACAGGTTAAGATTGCTCAAAGTCACACATTTAGCACATGGTGAACCTGCACCTGGAATTCAAGTCCTTTTGAATTTTGGTCCATGGGAAAACAGACATGGGACAGCAAGAGCATTTTGTAAACCTGGTCAGGCAAAGATGCTGACAAGGGCTGGGGTATGGGGTGTGGGGGAAGGGAGAAGGTAGGGGAACAAAGGTCAACAGAAGCAGCTGGGGGCCAGCGTGATGGGGAGGAGGTCCTCACACATTCAGAGAGTTGTCCTGTCCTTCCCCCTAGTGCAGGGCTTCGTTTTGCATGCTTGCCCTCCTGAGCCTGGCTGTCCATCTCAGTGGTTCAAAGGTTGGCCTCGAAAAGGCCACGAGTTAGGCTGGACTCCCTGAGCACATCTACCTGTGTGTGTTCTGGTGTGAGCCCTCATGTGCTGATGGGAACCCCTGTGTGCTAAACACACCCACAGAGATAGGACCAGAGTGGCCACAGTGGGACATCCCATATCTATCCCATCTCCGGAGCCTGTTGAAAGTTGTGGACACAAACTTGCCTGCCCTCTGGCTGGGCTCGGCCCTAGACCAGCTAGAGCCTTTAGCCTGTCAGCTCTGGTCCTCTCTGTCCCAAGGAAAGAAATGAAGGAAAAGGATAAAAAGTTTCTACTTTTGGCCATGTGGTCCTGATGTCCTTGAAGGAGAAATTCTCACCAAACGAGCACAGCCCAGGGAGGAGGAGATGGTTTCTCAGCACCCGCTTTTCTCTGACTTCTCTCCCAGGCTCCTGCCACACATTCGCTAGACTGATTGTTAAGTTATTTTCAGAAATTGTAAGACAAGATCTTTTTCTTTCTAAATCGTATTTTGCTTTTCCAACACATGTAGCGTTATGAAGAGGAGTACGGGATTTGTGGGCAGATAGACCTGCATTGGAATCTTAGTTTGGCTGCCTTCTTTCTCTGCAATGTAGTAAAAATTTCTCTTTGAGCTTTAGTTTCCTCATCTGCACAAAGGGAATAATGGTGCTTACCCTGCAATGTTATTTGGGGATTGAGATAACAGATATAAAAGGCCTTATCCTCTAGCCTGCCACATATTAAGCTCTCAATAAGTTATAGCTTAGAAATAAAAATTATTATGAACAAATATATTGATTTATATTAAATATAGGCTTCTGGAGAAATGATGTAAAAGAAAACCCAGTGTAAATTCTTACTATCCTCTAACCTACTTTCTAGCAATTTCTATCAAAATGCAGAGTCGTCAAACTTTTCCAAGGCAAAACAACCCACACATTCATTATTTAAGCATTTCTAACAAAGGTGAGTACCAATTTTGGCTCACTTTATAATAGGAAATAGCTGGTTGCATACCTCAAAGTTCAAAAGGCTAAAAAATACCAGGTTTTTCTTTAGAAAAGTTTCTCTTTACTTAGTAACACGTTTCCCTTTGATTTTCACAGTAGGCTGTTCTGTGTGGGAATGTTGGAGAGGAAACCTCAACGTTGAGAAATTCAGGCTGTGGGTCTGGGCTGCCGATTGAGATTCGTATCACAGGAAGCAAACTGAAACAATAGCTTTATGATATTAGCTGCCACGCTGGGCTGAGGACAGAACACACTCTTACAGGAACATCGGTGGAAATGCCACTTGATTGTCCTAAATCCTCTTTCAAGATGAGCCCCACAAACCATGAGCGAATCAGGGTCAACTCTGCATTCTGAGGGCATTAAACCGCAGTGAATATACAAAATTTGCTTTTCATTGTAAAACTGAATTTTGGGCTTGCCCAAACTCATACATGGCGAAATCAAATTCATTTTCCATGGACCTGGAGATCAGCGTGAAGCAAGGTTTCTAAAGAGAAGTGTCAGTTGCATTATGGATTCATCATCATTTGCTTAGCGAAGACATCAGTTATAACAAGAGATTATATTTTCCTGATCTCTAGACTACTAAGGGAAGGATATTAAAATGTGAGACAAGTGATTTTAAAGTTTTTAAGGCTTGATATGACCTTTCCATGCAGGAAAAGTGGGACAAAGAAAGAATTGTGGAGGCAGATATATGTTCTGGTACCCTCTCACACCCCACTTTCAGACTTCTTTTCCCAGGCTTTCACTCCTACCTCCACCCCTTTGTCCCACCCACTCCAAATCAAGGCCTTTTTCTGTCCTGTTTGGAAAGAACTCAATAAGCTGATTCATGTGAGGATGTTAATGGGTGAGAACAGCTAATATACAGTCTCTTCTAGAGATACTGACTTTGTTCAGATCATTCCTTTAACTTAAACTAAAAAGTCTCGTCAGTCAACAGGTGTTTGCTGAACCCAGTCCTGTACTACATCAAGGGTAATACAGAGAGGCAAGATAGGATAGTAAGATACATGCAAAGAACAAAGGCATGAATCTCTCCTAGTGGACTTTCAGGACTCTCAGGGAGCCCAGGAAGATCAGGAAGGACACAGTGCCTTCTGTCAAAGGCATCAGAGGAGCCCAGGCCTGCTAATGGTGGCATTTAAAGGTATGGCTAAGGATCCAGTAAGCGATCCCAGAGTGATTTCCCTGTGGCTTGACTGGCACTGCTCTTGCAGTCTGCACATCCGGGAGGGCGGGGTTTGAGGGGCCAGGCTGTGGGTCAGGTGGAGGGGAGGAATCAGTTTAGGCAGAGCCTTAGAAGGAAGGCCCCTGTGGTGGTCACAAAGTGGTAACTGCCAAGCACATCTGAACCAGGAAGACCCCATCAGAATGGCTTTAAGAACAGTCAGAGCAGTCCTGGAACTTCTCGGAGTAGGAAACAAGAGGCAAAGCGACCTTGGTGGAATAAAAGTGCAGCCAGCATTCTGACCAGCAGCACCGTGGGGCAGCCTGGTCTCTGAGACCACTCAGGAGCCTCTGCTCTGCCACTCTGCCTGCTCTCTCCCAATGCACAGCCCCTGCTGCCCAGGAAGTCCCACCCCACATGGGCGGTGCTGCCTGAAGGAAATGAGCGTTGCTCCGGAAAAAGTGCTCCAAAACCTCAGCCCGCGCATATCCTGGCTGTGGGGAGTCATCAAAGCCTGTTTACCGGGGCTATTTTTAGCATTAAAGAATCTTGTTATGCTCCCCAGGACGGGCATGCACTTTCTCAGCAGAGCACCTCTGGTTTTAATGAGCCATCTCTCGTCTTTGGGGTCAGACCCTGAAGGGTCCTCGGAAGCAAGTAACTGAGATCTGGAGCCCAGGATGATTTACAGACCCACTTGGTGGCTTATTGAGCACCTACTCTGGGCTCCTCACTTTGTTCTGACCAAGAGTTGATGCTGGATTGTGGCATCACCTTACAGCAGTTTATCTGTCTTCCCCACCAGTCTGTCGATTCCGAGGGAAGGAACTGCCCTTACACCTTTCAGTATCCCTGATTCTCCTTAAGACAGGACTGAGCACACAGTAAGTGACACTTCTGGACAGATTACCTTGTGCCTAGCATAAAGCAGACATGAACACAGTAGAAACTTAATAATGGTGTAGGGAGCGCGTGCATTTTCCCATGTCCGTAACACTGAGTAGGATATTAATGGTACGTCAGGGAAGACACGATGTTCATAGGGGAAGAGGCAGAAGGGTCTTCAGCAGATTTGTGACATGAGCCTCCACGGTGAGGGGCTACCTCCTGGCTCCCCAGTTTTCACTCTCAGCTCCAAGCTGGGAGTGACCTGGCCAGGTTCCTTCAGAAGCTCCCAGGAGAACAAGCAGGTGCTGTGAGGGCAACTAGTTCCACAGAGGGAAGAGACCCTGTCCCGGCCCTGCCGTCACAGGGTCCCTGGGGCCAACCTGCTGGCTTCCTGGTCCTCCAGCCATTGTGACCGCAGTCCCAAGACATTCTGTTACCCTTCGTGGCCCTAGATTGCCCCTCTCCCTCCCGGAGGCCAGCTGACCCGATGCTGCTGTAGCCGATTTCGCCACCTCCTGGAAGCAAATGCACTGGGCATGGGTGGAAACCAGTTTGGCTGTGTTGGAACTGTTAAAAACAGGAAATTTTAAGCAGGACTATTTCCTCTGGGACTAGTTAACCCAAATAGGGTTGTCTTGGGATTACTTCAGATTTTGAAGTCAGCGTTACCACTGAGATCAAAGAAATTGAAGAGAAAATATCTTCTCGGTTGGCTAGAAACCACAGGGTTGGCCTCTGTGTATCTACAGAAGGTGGTCACCTATCTGGTGTGATTGAAGTGGCGCTGAAAACCTCTCCTCACTCATCTCCAAAATAAGTCACCACCTGCCAGCACAGGGTAATTAAGGTCACTCGTAGGATCTTTGAGTTGAGGCCATAGCTCTCAGCATGTGGTCCTATGAGTAGCAGGGTCAGCGTCACCTGGGAACTTTTTAGAAAAACAGATTCTCAGTTCTACTGAACCAGGAACCCAGCAGGGGCCCGTCCAGGGCCAGCTTCATGGGCGTGCAGCACAGGCAGTCTTAGAGGGCGCCACACTTAGAAAGTTCTCAGGCTTGGTTTAATTTTTCCAATGAGAGGTCTCACATTTTTATTTTGCACTGGGCCACGCAAATTATGTAGCAGTGCTGGTCTCAGAAATGTTTCTTTCAGCCTGGCCTATAGATGATTCTGATGCATACTCAAATTTGAAAGCACTGAGTTAAGTCATTTTCTCCCCTAAAGCCCCTGTTCAAATGAAGATTTTAGCTGGGAAAGCTAACATTCACAGTGGCATCGCCCACACCTGGGACATTGCATCATCGCTTCAGCGGGCTGATGAGCTGGCAGAGAACAGGTGTATCAGCAGAAACCCCAAGCAGGGATCAGGTGTGCGTATGTGTATGGTGTAAGGTCATTCCCATGACCTGTGGTTCTCCCCTCTCCAGGCTAGCCGCCTGAACCAGGGTGTGCAGAGGAAAGAATTTCCCTTGTTTCACCATTTTAGCAGAACAGAGGGAAAGCCACCGGGGCATTACTCTGTACAACCCAACTCTTGGCTCTGAAGCCTTGCCCATCCCCGGACAGGACCCACTGTGATCCTCTGCAAAAGGCATCTGTGACTCTGGCGTGTTCTCTGATCCTGTGTCCTGAAAGATAGCTGGTCCCCTTTGCCTTCACTGAAGCCTCTTGGTAGGAAGATCTTGTAATGTGGATTTGTTCTTCTTGAGGAATAACAGCAGGTAACCCAAAGCTTAAATTTAGAGGCTCCAGGAAAAAGATAAAAGAGAAACCCAGTTCCCTTGCAGAAAGGCCCTTGAACGACATTTCACAGCATTGATGTGTCCCTGGCCAAGTGGCCCATAAATTGAATTGCATTCTACATTCCTTAGAATAGTCTCCATTTGGAAGACTCCTTTTAGTTCAGTGAATGTTAATGTTTGCAACTGACATATTACTCTCATCCACTTGTTCTGTAAATCAAGTGAGGCATATTTTGATTGATGTTTGCACTGGATAAATACAAATTTTCATAAGTAAATGTCTTTGGAGTTAAATAATGAACTAGGAGAAGAGGGCTGAAATAAAGTCTGTGGTTTGTGTATAACAACCAAAGGCCTGGGGCCTAAGAGGTTTCTTTTGGTCTGGGACAAGAGCCGAGTCTATATTTTTCAGATAGCAGAGGTATACTAGATAGGGCAGGATACTCAAAGTGTGGGTGGTTCCGGGTGGAAGTTTTCCTAGGCTGCACCCAGCAACCACCTGTACGGCCTGCTGAGAATGCAGTTGCCTGCTCACTCTGTTTTGCACCTCTGGGCTTCACTCTCTCCAAACCATTCTGTACGCCATTGCCAGACTAATCTCCCCAAAGCAGTGCTTTGAGATGCACTCCTCTGATCACATTTGCTTGACATGTGAGGCCCCTCCAGGACACTGGGCCTGCCTCACCAGCCCAATCTCTGAGACTGGGAAATGGATTCTCTTCTTCAGCCAGATGGGCCTCTCTTCAGTCCTAGGACTGAAGCTTGCTCCAGGTGTTTTCCAGTGTTCACACAATCCCGTCTGGTTCAGAAGGCCCTTCTTGCATTCCACAGAGTGAAATCTGTTTTTTCTAAGACTCTTCAAATCTTCTTTGCAACAGTTAGTTGTCTGTGATCACCCCAAAGCGACCCCCTCGTCCTCTGACCCCTTAGAGCTCTTCCCATCTACACTTTTCCTTGGGAGCCCAGCTATGACACCCTTGAACTTTTATTTAGCTTTGCATCTCTGAGTGCTACATATTCCTCACCTGGGATCTGAGCAATTTGAGGGTAGTGCATGTCTTGGAGCAGAAAGAAGAAAGAATTTACTGTTCTTATAGTTTTAGGCACTTTACGTACTTATCCTTACAATTCAGAGATGGAAATTGTTATTCCCATTTAGCTGATGAGGAAAGTGATATCCAAAGAGGTTGTTACTTATCCAGAGTCATAGCCTAATAGGAGGCTGATCTAGGAATAGAACCTGTGTTTAACTCCAAAGCCTATGAATGGTTGAGTGTGGCTTCTGGATTCAGCTGTCAAAGCTTGCTAGCTTTGCAATCTTTATACCTTTGGACAAATGGCTTAACCTCTCTACACTTCATCTGTAAAATGAGATTAAGAATAGTAGCTACCTCGTCGGTCACTGTGAAGATTACATAGCATGCTTAGTGCAGTACCTTTCATGTAGTAATTGCAGTATATATTAGCAGCTAAAATTTGTTCCTACTACTACGACTACCATTATATTCAGGCATACTTTGATTGATGTTTGCACTGGATAAATACAGATTTTCATAAGTAAATGTCTTTGGAGATAAATAATGAACTAGGAGAAGAGGGCTAGAGGGCTGAAATAAAGTCTATGGTCTGTGTATAACAGCCAAAGGCCTGGGGCCTAAAAGGTTTTTGTGGTCTGGGACAAGAGCTGAGTCTATAGGCTGTACAGGTGGTTGCTGGGGGCAGCTTGGGAAAACTTCCACCCTGAACCACTCACACAGCAGCTCCTACTGCTCTCATTACTAGTGCCAGAAGTACTGTTGTCACAACAAGCACACTGTCCTCACAGCTCCCGTCAGGGTGTCCTCTGTGCAGTGGTGCCTGCTGCCAGGCGGAGGCAGACATTCAGATGGTTGGCAGTATGCGTTTCCAGAAAAGTCCACCCAATGCCTTTGCACCATCCCTGGCAAATGCCTATCTGTGCCAGTCCCATCTGTTTTCACTCCACATTCATGCAAGCTGTCCCACCCCCCCCCCTTTCCAGTTTGCTCTGAAAACGAGTCCGAAGCCGAAGCTGACCAGCAGATGGACAACTTGTACCTGAAAGCCTTGGAGGGTTTCATTGCCGTGGTGACCCAAGATGGCGACATGATCTTTCTGTCAGAAAACATCAGCAAGTTCATGGGACTTACACAGGTGACACCCTCCTCTATCTCTTTCAAAAGAAGAAATGTTTCCATTTGGGGGTAGAAATGAGTGGAAGGTGCTAGCCACAATCCCACTTGACCTCTCCCTGCAAATGCCCACGGTGACCCTCGCTGACCTCAGGCCACACGCCTCAGGCCACGCTCCCACCCCCAAGCATTGGGTTTGGCTTTGCTCATGTCCATCCTGGTAGACAGCTCTCTACTGACTCATTAACAGACCAAGTCTCTGTCATCATCAGTAGTCCCCGATTACATCTTTCTGTCTGTGGACCTGACACTGGACTGGGATTATGAGAAAACCCAATTCAGTCTCCTCCCTGCCTCCAAATCTGGAAGGTGGCTCAGCTTACTCTTGGAGTCTTTTACTTCACTGTTAGGAATAATGATGCCTAACCTTGTTTTTGAAACAGGTGGAGCTAACAGGACATAGTATCTTTGACTTCACTCATCCCTGCGACCATGAGGAGATTCGTGAGAACCTGAGTCTCAAAAATGGTATCCTTAATTGTGTTTACTTCCTTCTTGCCCCCACTGGGTGGGAATCTGCCTCCCCTTTGTCTACGGGTATAAGGGAGATAGCTCATGGCCCTTGTGATGCAGGAAAAATGGATGTCCTTAAAAAATTTAAGTATGTAGCCTGTGAGATGAGATTGGGGCATTGAGAGGATCCAGTACTCAGAAATATCTCCTGCTGGCCCTGCATGGTGCCTGGTGTCCCACTACTAGGGGACACCTTTGGGTTAGGACACTGTCTCTAGGAGGTTTCATCACCCAAGAGTCAAGCATCTCTGCCAAATGACACCACCCAAACCAATGAGGAACTAGTCTGTGCCAAAGTGCTCATAGTAACTACTGTAGTTATCTATTGCTGTCTAACAAACCACCTATAACATAGGGCTTTGATGATTATCTCCCAGGGTTCTGTGGGTTCAGTGGGTGGGTCTTGTACTCCATGTGATGTCAGCTGGGCTGCAGTCATCTGGGGGCCAGACTAGGCTGGGGTGATCAGGATAGCTCACACACGTCTGGGACCTTGTGGCAGGTGGCTGGAACCCTGGACTCAGTTGGCATGCTGGGACAACAGGACTGTTCTCTCACTCTATGGAGACT
Source organism: Homo sapiens (assembly GCF_000001405.40). Lineage (NCBI taxonomy): Eukaryota > Metazoa > Chordata > Mammalia > Primates > Hominidae > Homo > Homo sapiens. Next base: position 46,357,424 of record NC_000002.12, read on the forward strand.
CAGAGACTCTCCCTCTCCATATGGTGTCTCTAGGGTAGCCAGACATCTTACGTGGCAGTTTAGGGCTCCCAGAAGCACTAAAGTGGAAGCTGCCAGGCCTTCTGAAGGCTTTGTCCCCAGATTGGCAGAGCATCACTTCTGCCCCATCTTGTTGGTTAGAGCATGTTACAGGCCAGCCCTGGCTCATTGTGGGAGGAAACTACACGAAGCCATGAGTGTCAAAAGGCATGGCTTGTTGGAGCTACTTTTGGAGAAGAGCTACCACAGGAAATGGTACCCTGATGAGACGCAGGTCAAGTAGGTTTTGATGGAGAAGAGGTTTAAAAAGATGTAGCATTCAGGACCTTACCCATGGGGATACCCAGCAGGTGCCAGTAGATGAGAGGACCCACACAGGCAGAAAGCACGTTGCAATGGTTGCAATGGCAGTGGAGCTTCCTGTCTTGTAACTGTGGCCATTCAACAAAGGCATGAATAGGGACATTGTTAAGAGGACTGAAGCTTTGGTCAGAATTGGGGCTTAATGACTGTCAAGGTCCCTTCCAAACCTGAGATTCTGTCACTGGTCTGGGGAGATTCTGTGCATGTCTAGATGTCCTCTTTAACAACCTCACCTGTCACTGCCATGGGGCTTGTGCTTGTCCAGCCTGAATAACAGAGGCAGTGAGGCTAAGCCTACAAGGTTTGGCTCTTATTACCACACACGCTGCAAAAACAGACACTTCATTGGCTCACCTCCACCCTATTACAGACTGAGTCTGCAGTCCACATTTGGGCCTGCAAAGTACAGAATCACAACCACCTCCTCTTCTACCACTGCCACAGCTCCCTCACCCAGCTCCTCTGCTCTCTCTTCTGCAGGCCTTAGACCACCTGGGTCCTAGGGTACACTGGCAGAGAGCACCCTGTAGGCTGCTCAGTGTCTTGTCTGGTTCTGTGGGGAAAGGGCTACCAGACTTTCTAAAGCTCTCTAAAAAGAGGATTCATGTTCTGCATGGGTAGGTGCTTGAAGCCTGAGAAAGCCTGAGAAAACCAAAGACTGATTTCTTCTGTACTCCAGAAACCCTTTGGCCTTTGGGTTCTTAGTGTCAGTTCAGCCACTGACCATAGTCTGAGTTTGAGTCTGTGACCAGAAGCAAGTACCCTACTTCTCTGTTCCTCAGAGTCTTTCTTTTCAAATTGATGGTATTGGACTAGGCAAAGGCGACAACCTTTCAGTTCTCAAGTGCCATGATTCACAGCCAAGTGACCTCTAATTATCTGAGTAGAACTTTAGATCTCTTGATCTGCATATTGAGGACTTGGGATCAGTCAAACTCAATGCAACAGCAAATCTTCACTGAAGGTGCCAGCCTATGGGTGGACTCGTGATCTAGACCTAAAGGGTTAGTGTGAGTTCCTAGAGGAAAAGAAAGCCATGAGGCAGATTGTGGAAGGCTTTGAAGGCCAGGTGGAGGGCCTTGAACTTTATTCCATAGACAATGGGGAGCTATTGAAGGTTTCTGTGCAGGGGTGGAGTGATCTGTGTGGAGCAGTGTTTAGAAAGAATGAACAAGGCCAGGCACGGTGGCTCACGCCTGTAATCCCAGGACTTTCGGAGGCCAAGGTGGGTGGATCACGAGATCAAGAGATCGAGACCATCCTGGCCAACATGGTGAAACCCCATCTCTACCAAAAATACAAAAATTAGCTGGGCGTGGTGGCGCGTGCCTGTAGTCCCAGCTACTTGGGAGGCTGAGGCAGGAGAATCACTTGAACCCAGGAGGCAGAGGTTGCAGTGAGCCAAGATCACGCCACTGCACTCCAGCCTGGCGACAGAGCAAGATTCTGTCTCAAAAAAAAAAAAAAAAAAAAAAAAGATCAAATGTCAGCATGGGGAGAATCCAGAGGTTAGCAAGTTAAGAGGCCTCAATAATACCCCAGCAACAGCCACAAATGAATCCCTCCAGCCCCCTTATACCCAACAACTGGTCTGGTCCTGGTGGTGGGGCCAGATCCCAAGATACAGGTATATCTCATTGTATGCTAACCCCACCTCTGAAAATTAAAATGGCAAGAATCATAATTTGGTATGGGAGAAATGGTTTTATAATCGTGATGAAGGAATGTTCTCTCTTTTTTAAAAAAATTCACTATTCAGTCTGTTACTGAGTGGGGTCCCCTAAGGATGTTGAAGTTTTGTTCAAGGGTGCCACAGTTCCTTTGACACATAACTCTTCAGGAATATGTCAGTCAAGATCCTCTGGAAGTTTAAGTGCAGGGGCTGGTGACTGTTCCTGGAGGAAGGAGTGTGACTATTCGAAACAAGGCTCTAGATTGTTCTATGATGCTGGGTAGGGGGCAGGATTATATCTTTGAAAGTAGGTACCAGAGATGGTGGTGTAGGCAGGATTTAGACACAGACAAGTGGGATTCAGCTGGCACTCTTCATTACTTTGTTTTACAAAAAGTGGAAAATGGTTCTGAATCGGGAGGCTGTTTGGCAACTATAAGGAAGTAAGCTATATTGCTGGTCTTGGTGATTTAATTTTTGCTGAGAGAGAGGATATGATCCAGGTTGAGTTAATCCATAAAGTGGACTTGCTCACCAAGTCCACTGTAAGGAGATTCGTACCAGAGTTCTCTCTAGAGCCTTGATACATATGTCACTTCAGGGACAAAGCTAATGGCATGGTATCCTGAACACAGCTATTGCAGTTTGCAAATGGGGTACAGGAGGGGTTAAATTCCTCCTGAGAGACAGGTTATAAAGGAAAGACGGGAGTGTCGGAGAGACATTTCTAACCTGTGAGGAAGGCTTACACCCTTGGAGTAACTGTGGCCTCACTCAGACTGTCCCTTGGAATTTCTGCGAGAAGACCTGGGCCTGCCCCAGGAAAGGGTGGCTGAGTTAGTGGCTGATAGGCAGTCGTTGTGTCGCTGCTCTGAAGGCACCACTGACCATGTTCCAGATGCAATGGGAAATCAAATGATGGAGCAGCTCCTCCCTTGTGGGAGTTTATGCTCCAGTTGAGGAGATAAGCTTGAGAGTGGGAACCATTAGTTCACAGGCCATGATGGAGCTCAGTGTTGATGGCAGACCACAGGTGCTAAGAGAGCAGATATTTGGAAAATATAAACAATAGGCTGCCAAGAAAAACTGCAGCTGGGCCCCTCTCATGAATATCCATATAAAACTGACTTCAGCTGGTTCTTCCCATCCTTCCACATCCAGGCTCTGGTTTTGGGAAAAAAAGCAAAGACATGTCCACAGAGCGGGACTTCTTCATGAGGATGAAGTGCACGGTCACCAACAGAGGCCGTACTGTCAACCTCAAGTCAGCCACCTGGAAGGTAGGGCAACATCAGGCCTGGGTTGGAGTCCCAGGTGTAGGGTAACGGCGGTGCAGGGGATGCCTAAGGCCCTACCCCCACCCCCAGCACTCTCGGCTCCATGTCTGACCCTTCCACGCCTGTCTCAGGTCTTGCACTGCACGGGCCAGGTGAAAGTCTACAACAACTGCCCTCCTCACAATAGTCTGTGTGGCTACAAGGAGCCCCTGCTGTCCTGCCTCATCATCATGTGTGAACCAATCCAGCACCCATCCCACATGGACATCCCCCTGGATAGCAAGACCTTCCTGAGCCGCCACAGCATGGACATGAAGTTCACCTACTGTGATGACAGGTAGGGGGCCATGGGTGTGTATGCTGTGGGCAGAGATGGGTCTTACCTGTGTGTGTGGGGAGTTGTGCCTGTATTAAAGGTGTGGAACTGAACATAGACGTGGTATTGCCGGGTGCATGTTCGTGGACCTGTGCCACTGTTTCATTGCATCAGTGCCCCTCAGAGGTTCCCGGTACTGTATTTGGTGGTCTCCCATTGACAGAGCCTCAGGGTCCATCTGCAGAGCTTTCCTGGTGTGCAACTCTTCTCATCATTGTGGTGTGAACATATTTCTCCATACGTGTATCAGGCTCCTGAGGAAATTCTCAAGGCAGTCTTCTGCCCCAGGAGAAAGAGTCTAGAGACTTCCATCTGTACTCCTGCTTCAGAGGCCAGTAAGGAGCATCAGCTTCTGCCCTGGAGACTGACCCTCTTCCATTACTGACTGAGCCTTTCCCTCCGCCTTGTTCCTTCCTGCATGCAACTCCATTCCGGCCAGTGTCCAGCCATTTTGAAGAAGATGAAGGTAGCTGAGCCAGATGCTAACCCCCCAGTGCCAGGCCCAGTGTCTCTTAGGAGACACAGTAGTGATTAAGAGCATGGGCTTCAGGACTAGATGGCTTAGGTTCAAATTTAGTAATAAATGTTCAGTGTTAGCTCTTATTATCACCTTTATTAGAGTTGTTGAAAGAGTGCCTAAGACTGCTTAGGCATGTCATGCCATCTCGGGTTCTTAGCTCATTTAGAAGATTGAAGCAGGTGGGGAAGAGACTGGGGTTGTCATAGGAGGGAGTATTTAGATACCCTACAGCTCCTAACTCCCCCACCAGCCCTGCCTCTGGGACTGTGGAGCCTGATGATGGGAGGTAGGAGGAGGAAGATGGGGAGAACAGATGCCCGGAGCAATGGCCGGCCCCAGGGAGGGAAGGAAATGCAGAAGACTGGGCCCAGGGTAGGCCTGGCTTGAGTAAGCGCCACTGGGGCTTGCTGAGCAGCACCCCCCGCATGCGCCCTTCCTGGCAGAGATCTCCCTGCCTGACCTCAGCTTTCTGCAGCATCTAGAGCCGCCATGTGTCCCAGGGTGACAGTTCCTGTGGCAGCTCTTTGCCACCCCCAACTCTTTGCCACTCTTCTCTCATCTTCTAGGGTTTCTCCTCAGGAAACCCTCAGATCTCAGTTTCCCCTTCTCCAAAATAGAGATAACACTTTCTAACCTGTTTCATGGGGTCACTGTAAAATGAGATAATGGCTGTGCAAGCACTTTGAGAAGTCCAGACACCACAACACATGTGAGGCTTCTTGTTATTGCTTATATCTTACTTCCTGTCCTTGGCCTCCTCCAAAGCAAAATCTTCCACTAAACTCAAGGAGCTGAAACCACTTCTGAAGGCAGTTAGTGGCTGGGGGGCAGGAAGAGGAAGAATCTGACCCCCAGATCAGCAAGAATCTGCCTTGTCTTCCTCAGCTAGCAGGAAACCATGGAACCCCAGGAAAAAAAGCTCCTGCTCAGCCTCCCCTAGGCCTACCCACTTTTCTCTTATCAGCTGGACATCCCAAGGGCATCTGGTTTCTTCATGGGAGGGACCCTCCTCTCCAGGATGGGGTTTCTCTCCTCTGATTCCAGACCGGCCTGGTGTTGGTTGGTCGCCCCTTCTTAGAGTTGGCCACCACTTGTGGCACAATTTCAGAACTTTTGTAAAAGTATCCTTGAGTCATTCCTGTCCTTCAGTTCTGACCACAGTAGGGCCAGGATTCACAGCCTTTGGAGCTAGTGGGTAGTTATATAAGTAGAAAGAAATGCTCTAACCTCATAGGGAGAAAATGTCATGCATGAAGCCTTCCGTCCTGGAACTTCGACACAGTCACCATTTATTGTAATTGTTAGTGGTGGTGGTGGTGGTGGTGGTAGTGGTGGTGGTGGTGGTGGTGGTGGTGGTGGTGGTGGTGGTGATAATGATGGTGGTTCAAGAAGAAGATTGCACTTTTAGTGACAGGCACTGCAGGAATCCATGTTATAGGTAAGGTTATTTATCAGATGCAGTCTTTGTATTCAGGTGAACATTCTGGGCAGAAGACACAGCTTTGTGTACCTCAGTAGTCTTGTGAGATAACATGGACAATCCCACTGCATAGCCCCTGTGTCACTGGCTTTGAGGTGAAGTGGCTCAAGCCGACGTAGCCATATAGCCTGGGAGCATATATAGTGCTGGGGATGATGAAAGTCAGATACGTGCTTCACCCTGGTGAATGAAGCACATCCGTAACATAACTCCATAAGCACTGGGAAAACCCTACTGTCCTAGAAAATAACTTGGCATCCCTACATAATAGAAAAGAGATTTTTTTTAAGCTTAAGATTTTGATCCTTGTTACAGTGAGAAGAAATCCTCTGGAAGGGGTAATTCAGCCTTATCCTTTATTCATTATCTTGGTTTAAATGAGTTTCAGGTAATTTTCTGAAGGTACTAACCTTTGGACAAAAGAAGAGGGGGAGAAACACAAGGAATTGGATGTCTAAATGTGGCTGGAGAGGAAATGTACATAGAAAGGGGAAAGATGCTGTGCTGACTTCTTAGTTTGGCTCAGGGCTGGTAGCCAGAGTAGCTTCTGGCTTAAAGGAAGTATCAAGCCTCGTGATTTAGGGCTTTGTGACTCATAATGTAGAGGGTGATATTGCTTATAAGTTCTGCGAGACACACTGCATTTTCAGCAAAATCTTGCCTTTCAAGAAACCTAATTACATGGCCCCAAGTCTGAATTCAGTGGTGCTGGAGAGCTGCATGTAGAAGCATTTAAAGACATAGAATGCTGTGTCACACAGAAGTTGTGTTTAACCGATTAGCAGATTAGTTAACAAGGGCACAGACATGGCTTAGACAGTTGATGAAGTGACTATTTTAAGTCCTTAATCCCTAAGTGTTATATCTTAATTGCTTTGATGAGGCCTGAGATATTTTTGGTTTTGGTAGCTTGTTTTGTTTTCACTCTTTGTGGTGGGATGGGGAGAAGCATATGCACATGCACACATATATACACTCTCCGCCTCAATTCCCCTTTAGAGACAAATCCTGCAAAAACCAATGCCTGTCCAAGATACCTAATGGGGTGAGGGGTTCTCCATTTTAATCAGGAAATTCACTAGGTTTAATGACATCTGAGACACACAAGGTGCTGTGATTCCCACAAAGGGGATTGTTTTCCTACAAGAAAAGTTAGAATCTGAAGAAAATGTATGGCAGTTAGAATCCACAAAATCAATTTTGAAGCAGTTTGGTACTTGTCTTATATATACTGAGACCACAGACACAATCAAGCAAAAAAAGAAAAAGGGTCATGGAGAAAAAGATGAAAACCGACAGGAAAGAAGGGAGAGAAAAGACAACTCTAATTTTACATTGAACTCTCAGGTCAAATCAGTTGAATCTGAAACAACCTATTCTGAAACATCTGAAATAGAATAAAGGAATACAGATGGTTCAAAATGCATTTGTCCTCCTGTTAATGAGGGATCAGAGTACCATATTAAGTCCTGCATTAATTGTTTTTAAAATAGTAAATACTTTTAAAAGTAAATTTCATAACAATTCATGTCGGTCACATTTATGTACCTATGGTCAACTGCTCTAGACAAGGGGAGCAAGTTGAGTAGCAGGGTAAAAGAAAAATATCCTGATTATTAATGGAATTAATGATCTCTTCTTCATTTACGACTCAAACATAGGCAATATACTCTGTTTCCCGAAATACTGAGCAACCAGTTACGAACTGTCATTTACTGTGCATCTGCTATGTAACTGTGTGCCAGAGACCATTACATCAAAGTAAAAGAGATGATTCCTGATCTTCAGGAGTTGAGAGTTTGAGACATAAGCCATTTAATGAAACCACAGTGAATGGTACAAAATACAACATTCCATTTACCCAAAAGGAAGACAAAAGTTGTTCCCAAGTAGTTTAACTTTAAAATAGGGTGGTTCTTAAATTCATGTGGAGGTGCCATCTAGTGGTGAAAGAGGTAACTGTGAAGGAAGCCAAGCCGTCAGGGAGATAGAGGCCAGGCCTTTCTAATTATCATATAATCCCACTGCGATTTTGTCAGTTGTAGGAGTCTTCCTGTATCTTAGAAATAAATTATAAAACCAAATTATGTGGATAGGAGCAGTATCACCAGGGGAAGAGGTTTCAAAATTACAGTAAAAATTTCAAATCAACAAAGAGGGTCATACAATTTTTACAGGTAAAGAACTTTAGGGCAACCCTGTTTTGTCATTGCATTTAGGGAACATAGGACATATTAATATCAGGAGTTACAGTTGAATAAAGATGCCTACATTCCAAGTTCTGTGGATAAATTTATGGTGAATTGTTTTTCTACAAAGAAGTTGAGAATAAGTAAAAATGGTGAAAGTGAGGGAAACGTTGAGGATCCTAAAGATAATGTCAGTAAGGAGAACTATAAAGAGCCATAAGTGGTAAAACACACACACAACCTTCCTATGTATACTCTTACCCCTACAGGTACCCTGTAACACTCCACAGACAGGATAGAAATGGATTTCCCGTTAATTACAGAGCTGGTTGTATAGATTTCATATAACCATGTAGTATTTGAGGAAAACACAAGGCTTAAGTACTGTTTAAAGCAAACAAAATCTAGATGAAAATATATTAAAACCAACCGAAGGCACTGAAATCTGAGTTAGTGAACAGCGTACATATTAGTAAGGAAACGCAGTGTCAAAGCTTATAAGCACATATAGAAACCAAAATGAGATAAATCACGGGGTGCTGAGGAGAGGCGATGGGCAGAGTGTGGAAGGAAAGCAAGCCGACTTGAAGTATTTATTAGCAGATACATTCTTTGGAAAACAAATAGGTGGTTACAAAGTACTTAAAACTTTCATCCTCTTAAACAGTTTAAATACTCTCTCACCATCTTGCTTACATGATTAATTTACCTAGCAAATCCTTTACTCGTGTAGGGAACAGGGGTAAAAACTGCAGCCAGATCTTGCGTGACTCCAGGCGGTGGCATCTGAAGTCAGGCACCGTGGCGCTGCACCGCACGTGGACGGGTGCTGGCGATTACATGCGGGGAAGAAGAGCGAGCCTTCTCAGGCCTGTGGGTGGATTTCTTTCTGCCACTTGAGGTGGCAGCACTCACGCTGTAGCCAAGAGAATAATTTTTTTGCGAGCACTCTGCTGTAGGTGGTGTATTTTGAATAGAGCTTCTAAACAGTTTTGAGAGTAAAGAGCAATGAATCATTCATTTTACATTTTGAAGGCACATCTCACTCTGAAGTCCAGTGCTCAGAGAGCTGACCCACGTATTTACTTGGGGTAACACCAACTTCAGAATTTAACAACCCCCTTTAAAGCTGTATTTTCTATTTCCTTTCATCCTTCCTCTGCCTCCTTGTGGCTGACTATCTATCTGCATCTCTCTCCTCACTGCATCCTTGGTCTGCTGTTTTTTGACTTTATTATTAAAAAGTATCCTCTGTTCTTATGTTTGAAATCTGGTGAATTAAGTCCTTGTACATTTCTCTCTTCTCTTAGAACAGCCCTACTGAGTTGACTTTGAAATTTACGGGTGACCTCAAACTGATTTTCTTTTTCCCAGTGAGTCAGGGGTCCTTAATTAGAAAGAAAGAAAAAAAAATAGTTCCCTGGCCCCTGATGGAGAGAGCAGATGAACTTGTGTTATCACAGCCCAGCTCGGAAGGCTTGTCTGGAGCCTGGGGGAAATGAGCGGGGAAGGCCCTTGTGTGCCGTAGGAGCGACCTTATAAACAAGCTCGGTTCATTAACCTCCCCACTGGCGTCTACGTGCCTGCACGTGGGGGCGAATGACCATGAGCTTTAAGTTGGGGTTTCCTGGCTTTGTGAAGTTTGACAACTCAAATGTTCTTCAATTGTGTTTGGGATGTGGTGTATTTCCCAGTTTTTATAGTAGTCTGTTTAAAGGAATGAAGAAAGACATTAAATATTTATTTTAGTTGACAAGATAAATGAAAGCTGCTACTGGGAAGATATCTGGCAGTTCTGAAATCTAGGTTTGTTTTTCCACTTCCAAAACATGCCCATTGTATGCCTTTGAATGGATGATACATTAATTAGATAAACATTTTATTATGAGGCAGATTATAATAAACATCTACTTTGAACATTTTAATTTAAAGATTCTAATCTCGAAAGGAAATTTAATTCCTTCAGAGAGTAGAAAGACATCTTTCCTAGAATGCCAGTAGGCTCATTTTGGAGGGTCTCTAGAAAATTCTAGACCTGCCCAGGAACAGAAGCAGTTTATCTGGCAAGTCAGTGAGCCTGCAGATGGCCAGACCATTGTTAGCAGGGCTTACTCATGCAGTTCTAGTTCCCAGGCTAAGCTTGAAAGTCATCCGACCCAGCAGCGAAGCCATTTGATCGTAGGACCAGCACTGTTCTGTCTCCTTGTTCCCCCCAGTCTCCACCTTTGCCAAGGTGTACTTGGGCGCCAGCCCCAGGGTCAGGTTGCCAGATAATGTATCCATTGCTAATGAGTTCAGAGACCTCTCTGCTCAGGGCCAAGCGACGGGACAGATCCTTCTGCTCTGAGACTGGCTGGCTGGCACAAATGAGCTGCTAGGATCTCACTGGAGAAATCTCCACTGGGCTGAATCAGCTGAGACCTAAGCCTCTCAGCCCTGTTGAGCTGCTCCTTGTTTGACAAAGGCTTTAACCCCCAAATTCTCACCCAAGCAGAGAACTTGCCTCTTCTCTGCCCACTTCAAAACCAGATGACTTACAGAATGAAGAAAGGATGGATAGACTATCATGACAGGTTCTGTGTGTGTGTGTGTGCGCGTGCATGTGTGCGCACACACATTGAGACAGTTAATCATATTATTCTAGAAAAAAAAAGTAGATCCTTAGTGCCCAGGTTCCTTAGCAGTGCTGGGATAAACAGGTGTCTGTTTGTACCGTAGGTTCAAAGAGAAAATCAATCTACTGGTCAGCTGTTGAGGTTTTTACTAAGCACCCGTTATAGAGGAAGCAAAAGGAGAAAGTGGTCCCTGAGTTCAGGGGTTGACAGCCTAGGATGTGAGGAGACAAATGCATAATTTTCTGTAATATTGTGCATACTCCTTAGGACTTCACGAGAGACGTTGTGCTGGAGGAACTGGAGAGGGCTCTGTGGAGAAGATGAGGCTTTAGCTGGTCCTGGAGGTGTCAGGGCTTGGAGAAGAGGGGAGAAGAGAAGGCATAAAGCTTCTGCAGCAAGAATGAGTTTTCCAGGCATAGGGAACTGAGGGGAGAGGGGTCTTCCATGACAGAGGGTACATAACATTTTACAGATGAGTTGAAAATCAAATTGCTCAAAAGATGGAGAGTAGGTTCTGGGGGGACTTGGAAGTTACGCAGCATTTACTGTTGGTGTGGTTGGCAAAAGTGAAAGCTGTAGATACTTAAATAAGAGTATGGCAGGTTGCAAGTAGTATTTTAGGGCAATTTGGTCTGACAGATGTATGCAAGTTGACCTGTTTGGGGGGTGGGTTTAGAGCAGAGACAGGAAATGAGGAGCCACTGCTTCTGCTTTCTGCTTCTGCTTTCCTCTCCGTGTTATTGATCCCCTACAAGGATAAATTATAGGACTGTATCCAGGAGTCATGCCTTCTGAAGTAGAGTTGTAATAATGAGACTGTGGCATCACTTCTAACTTGTGATAGGCCAAGTAAACAAGACAGTGAAGCCATTATTTAAAGTCTGTGAGAGAACCAAGATTTTGAGAGATAATATGGAGGTATTATATAGCCTAGGATAGGACATGATATTGGGTAAAGCGGCCAACCTGGTGGTTCTTAGGCAGGGCTTTGTTTATTTTAGTGATTACAGCACAAAACAAAGGGTCCTAAGAATGTTAAGTGATTCTTCATGGTTCTCCACATTTGCCCTTTCCTCTGCCCACTTCCCATCAAAACCAGATACCTTACAGAATGAAGAAAGGGACACTGAAATGACAGCCAGTGGTGTCATCTGAGCTGCCTATTAGAGTATAATAAGGCACATTTCTATGACTATGATTTAATATTTCTTCCTCTCAGCACCTCCTTGCCTCCCTCGTTTCCTTGAAATGTGAGGCACAAGTAGAAAGTGTCCGAGGGCACCTGAGGTCACAGGCAGGACCTGCAGAAAAGTGAAGGTTTAAGCACAGACGGGTTCTGCCTGCCTGGACTCCCTCTCACGTGCTGGTTGACACAGAGACAAAGGTGGCTCTACCTGGGGCCACATAATTTTCATGTTTCATTTATACTGCCTTCTACTAGAATGAGCTTGATGTAGCAACTGGAGGCCCCAGTTTTCATTCTTGCTCTGTCCCTGGACACCTGTGTAGGCATCGAGCAAATTGTCTGCCCGTCCTGGATGTCTACTCCCTCATCTGCAAAAACTTGGGGTGAGCCCCTTCCAGTGGTTCTTGGAGAACAGACATATGTGTGTACCGGGGTGGTGGGGAGAGGGAGTCCTCAGAACTGGTGCTTTTCTCTCCTCCCAAACATGGCTTCAGGAAGGGCAGGAACAACAGGGGTTTGGTTAAACCTGCAACTGTAGATTGAGCACAGTGTTCTTTTGCTTGGATACATGGTACAACAAGAAAGTCTGGATTGTGTTCATCTGCATGTGTGTGTTTGATTTGCCTTCTGGGGTTAGCTCCTGCCCACATGCTGTGCTAAGTTAATATGGTCTTTCTTCCTTACATGCTGCCTTTTTAAAAACTCAGAATCACAGAACTGATTGGTTACCACCCTGAGGAGCTGCTTGGCCGCTCAGCCTATGAATTCTACCATGCGCTAGACTCCGAGAACATGACCAAGAGTCACCAGAACTGTGAGTTCCAGGAGTGCCCCTTGTGGCTTCCTTGTGTCTGTGGTATGTGGCCTTGAGTGGGGTGTGACTGGTGAGACAGAAGACCAGGTCACTTCCTCCACAGAGCTGCTGTCTTGTGTGGCAGACAAGACTTATGCCCTCAAGATGGTTAGAAAACCAAGGCTGCCACCAGCCTATAGACTCCTTCGTGCAAATTAGAAAAAGGACACTTCCTCCAGGGAGATGCACCCGTGCCAAGGTGCACAGCTGAGGCAGTGGAGGGTGGGTTGAGTCTCAGTCCCCCATACCACCTCCACGGAGTGCCTGTGTGCAGTCAGTGGTTTGCACACCTTGTGGAACAGCACTGTAGAGAGTAAAATAATTCAACATATCATCAACTTGGGTGCATGCTATAGATTCAAGTACATACATTCACAGAAGAGGAGGGCAGGGGGAGTTGAGGAAAGGACACTTGAGTTGGACCTTGAAGGATCGGGGAGGCTTAGGCTGAACAGAGGGGAAAGTATTACGGGTCCAACTTAACACATATGTTGAGGTAGGCCACAGTTCTCAGAGAGCTTGCTTGCTGGATCAAGGGAGCTTTAGAAAAGGCTGTCCAGGCAACCCAGGGATGGCGTATGGAAACTCTGCTTTGCAGTTTGAAAGAAGCCTGAGTTATGTAAGGACTCTGGAAGAGGGCTGCCACATAGAACTTTCTGCAGTGGAAATGTTCTTGAAATGTGGCTAGAGAAACCGAGGAACTGAACTTTATACAATGTAGTTTTAATTAATTTAAATGTAAATATCCACACTTGGCTTGTAGCTACCATATTGGACAGAGAAGTTCTAGAGTGTATCCTTGGCCATGTTCCCAATTCAGGCTTCCTATAGGCAGGTGATCCAGGACCGTTCCCTTGAATCCATGCGACTCATCACTGTGCAAGGGCTCTGGGCCTATAACCCTGTACTTGGCCCACTGGGGGTGATATAAATTGGTAGAATTGATTCCTGCCCTAAGTGACCTTATTTCTGAGGAAAAAAGAGGACCGTGGGCTCCTTGGGAACAAGGGGCTCATATCTTTAACCTCAGTATCTAGCATAGCGTCTGGTACAGAACAGGCACTAAATGCACTATATAAACCGATGGGCAAGACTGTATTTGGAAAAGAATGCTTCAAAACGAGTGCCCACAGTGGTGCAGACAGTGGTGCTGAGAGGATTATGGGAGGATTAAAAACGGGTAAAGTAAGTCTGAGAAGATTCCCAGTGGCCCTGCTGGCAATGGAGAAAACGGAAGGGCAGCCATTTGTCCATGGCTCCTAAATCCACCCATCTACCCCAAGGCTAAGACAGCCAAGTTCAGTGCAGCCAGCAGAGTCACAACCCCGCAAGCTGTATGTGAACATGGTTAACCCACTCTTAAGGAGTGAGATCTTTCTTTTCTTTTATTGGTTCCTCTGCCTCTTCCTCATGGCTTTTGGGTTTGATTTGACAGTACAACAGGGCCCATTATGATATCTCAGAGAAGTTTCTCACTGTGCTCTCTGGCAAAACACACACGCGCACACACAGACACACACACACAAACAACCTAGATTCAGCCCCACTCAGGAACCCAGAGATGGGGTAGGAGTGGAGGTACTCTTTTATGCCTGTGAATGTGACCCCACCTTAGCCTGCCCAAGCTTTGAAATTGTAACATCTGGTTCCAGCCTTCCCTTTGGGATTCCTTCATGCTTCCTGGTCCCTGAGGGGTTCCTGTTTTCAAAGGCAGGTGACAGAATCATCCAGGCACTGGGACTTAGCGGCCCAGGCTCTGGCCCAGCCGACCCACTGATTCCCTAGGGCCTGGATTTCTGGACCTTCCTGACTTTAGATGTAAAACTGGGGAAAAGTCTAGCCTTCCTTCCAAGCTAAGGGTGAAGCCAAGGCAAGAGACAAATGTAAAAATTTCTGGGAATTCTTGGAGGACAGTATTACCTTTTATCTTGTAGGATGGGAAAGCAGAAGAAGCTACTGTCAAAGGAAAAAAAAATTGTGACTTCTGACTAGGCATATAGAAAGGATTTTCCCTCTTGTTCTTCTTAGAACATCTTCAATCCATAAAAAGGGCTAGGATAAAAATGGTTTATGTTTTCTGCTGACTCTAGGGAAAATAAGGTGCTTTTTACTGAATCCGTGTATTTACTTATTAGGCACACTGAAAGGTAACTCACAGCCCAAATAGAAATCACAGGCTCTCTCTCCCCTTGATGGAGCCAAGTAAAGCTGCCCTGAGCTCAGAAACCCATAGCTAGCAAAGGGACAAACCCATAGCTAGCCAAGGGAAATCTGCTTGGGTTGGAAATTGGATTAATGACAGTTATGACACGAGCTTGCCCCTTGCCCCCGACCCCTGTCTCTCATTCGTCCTTGAGGTTTTGCAAGTCAAGTTTCACTACAGACTGACACACATGCTCTAGACTAACTGGAGGCTCAGGTTTGAGACAGGTCCAGATTCACACACTGGGATCCCCCATTTACACACATGTATGTCTTAGCCTGTAAAGGTTTACCGTTGAAATGCCTGGAGAAGCTCAACTAGATTTAGATCATTGAAAGCTGTAATTTCCAAATGGATTAATAATTTATACACTGTTACTCTGGGCGTGAGGTTAGGGGTCAGTCTCCCTTTGTTATATGAGGATATTATGTGCTTTTAGGCTTTTTATGGCCTTTAATCTTATTTTCCTATCTATTAAGTAGCAGGCCCTTCACCAAGGCTGGCATTAATGACCAGATGATTAGAAAGCTGGCGTTAATTATATTCTACTGACAGAGCAGGCCCTTGCCTGCAATTGTTAGAAATGCACTTAAAACCTTTGCTTGCTGCACTGTTTGATCAAAAAGAGTAAGAGCCCTGAATTTGGTTTGCATTAAGGACCATCTAAATAAGTTAAATACAGGCACTTGAAATTGTGCAAGAATCATTTTACTGCAGCAGAGGAGCCTCAGTGGCACAGATAAAGGGAGAGCAGAGAGGACAAAAGTTATTTCCTTGGTTGAGTCCATGATGGTTTAGGACAGCGGCAACAGCAAGTTTGGTCTTCCCAGTGATTTGTGGACCCAGGTAATAAAGAGACCATTGTATTAGGAGCCACCAGACATGTTGTGTAGCTCAGACTCTGTCACTATTGTCTTGTAAGCTGTGAAGCAAATCATAACCCTCTGGCCTTAGTTTCCTCATGTTAAAAGAAAATACTTATCCTCCCTGTGGCACAGGGTTTTGTTTAAAAGATTAGACAAGATGATACAACCATTTTGGAAATAATTTGGCAGCTTCTTATAAACATATACTTTACAGGTAAGCCAGCAATTGCACTCCTAGCTGCACCCACGAGAAATGAAAATATGTCCATACAAAGATTTATACACAAATGTTTATAGCAGCTTTATTCATAATAATCAAAAACTGAAAACAACTCAAACATCCATCAACAGGCAGATGGATAAACAAATTATGGTATGTCCATGCAACGGAATACAACTCACTGATGAAAAGGAATAAACCACAAATGCCTGCAACGCCATGATGAATCTCAAAACATGCTGAGTGTAGAGAAGCCAGACACAAGAGTAGATACTCCTATACAATTCCACTTACATGGAAATCTAGAAAAGACAATTCGAATATATAGTGGCAAAAAGCAGAAGAGTGGTTGCCTGGAACCAGGGTGGGAATGAAGATTAACTGCCCAGAGGCATAAAAAATGGGGTGGTGGGGGCGGTGATGGAAAAGTGCTATGCCTTCACTGTACCTTTGTCAAAACTTGTTGAACTGTATACTTCAAATGGGTGTGTGTTTTATTGAAGGTAAATTTGACCCCAATAACATTTATTTTTAAAAATTAAGAGCAAACAGAAAAAGCTTAGACTAGGAATCTTTAATTTGAACTATAATTCTGTCTACTGTTTCCACTGAGGTGGTCTTTCAGCAAATGACTCAGTAGTTTTAAGCCTCAGTTTCTTCAGCTGTAAAGTGGGAATAACAACAGGCACCCCATGGTGTTGCCTATGAAATGCAGTGATGATGACCTAATCCTTAGTGAGCGCCCTATGTGCCAGGCACTGTGCTGAATGCTTTGCAGAAACGAATTCATCTTATCAGATAGTTCTGAACACTGCAAAGCACTATACAAATGTAAGTTACAGGAATTCTTGCACTTTGCAGGTGCTTGTTAAATTGTGAAGAAGAAAGCAAAACATAAGTGTAAAGGATTACCAAACTGCACTAGTATGAAGAGAGCCATGTTCCTCAGCTGTACAGGGCTGATGAATGGGGAGGAGGCCTGCGAGCCTACCAGGAGAACCGGGGAGACTCTCTGTCTACCGAGAGCCTGGATATCCTCCCGAGTGGCCCCTCATGAGACTATCTACCAACGTGTAACAGACTGTCTGTGACAGGCCATGGGCATAATATGTATTAGTATCTCTAAGAAAGAGGTGGCTTTTCCTATACAAAATTTGTTGGTGACAGTTGGTCAACACTTATGTACCTGATAAGCCATGTGGGTACAGTCGATCCTCAGTACAAATGGCAGTGGTATGCTGGGTAGCTAATGATGACAGTTATTACCGTTACTACTATTATTATCAATATCCTGTTTTGCAGAGGAGGAAACCAAAACCAAGAAGGATTGTTCCTTTCCCCAAATCCCAAGCTAGCAAGATTTCCCGATCCTCCCTCCATGCCCTTTCCTAACGTCTCTGTGATTTGGGAGCTTCTGAGCTGGAGTTCTGTAAATTCCCAAGGAATGGGCAGTTCAGAAAAATACCAAAAATTCTAACATTATTAGACTTTAAAGAGATTTATTGATTCCTTTTGAATGGCAGCAGATGGAACATTCTGGACTGGGGAAGGACAGTCTGTGATGTGAAACCCTTCCCCAAGGTAGACAACAAAAGCGTTTTTTAAATGAACACTTAGTAGAACAATCTAGAAGAGGAAAAACCTCATAAGTAGGAAGCCTAGCTGGGCGGTTGGGAGAAGGAGTATAAGTGATTTATTACAGCTTATGAAGAGACTGTGTGTGGGCTGCCAGGGTCCCAGCTCTTTCTCAGCCCCAACTGAGAAAGGGTGGGGTGGTTTGCCTCTGCCTTTGCTGTGGGTCACAAACCTTCAGTGGCCCAAAAGGTGGCAAGCCTGACAGATGACCTGGAGAAATCAAGGATATCAATGTTTTAAATGCTTTTATTCATAAGCAGGGTATTGGTGGTGGGTCTGCTGAAAAAAAAAAACAAAAAAAAACAAAAAAAACTGCCCTGAGGTCAGGCTTTCTCCAGGCTGCTTAGAAGTCCCCCCACCTGGAGTGCTTGACGGGATGGCGCTCCTTACCCAGTGTGAAGGGGCTTCTTCTCATTGAACCCCATGAAGAAAGTAAGGCAGGTTCTGGACTTGGTTCTGCTTATAGCTGAGCTGGTCTGTGAGCCTGACTTGTCCAGGGATTGGTGATGGGCCACTGCAAAGCTGCATAGTGAGCGGGTCCCTCCCTCAGTAGACAGCCTTGGGCAAGTCATTTCACCTCTTCTCACCTCTTTTTCCTATATTTAAAATGAAGAGTTGGCTGAGGTGATCCCTAAGCTCCCTCCCAGGTCACTCTCCCTGGTCCTCACTGTCGTGGCGCCCTGTTCTGTCTGTTCCCCTGCAGATTAGACTGCCCTCCCATGCGATCTGCTGAGCCTGTGGTGCACACCCCTGCCCCACCTCCCTAAGCTCAGCTCTGTTTCTCCTCCCCTAGTGTGCACCAAGGGTCAGGTAGTAAGTGGCCAGTACCGGATGCTCGCAAAGCATGGGGGCTACGTGTGGCTGGAGACCCAGGGGACGGTCATCTACAACCCTCGCAACCTGCAGCCCCAGTGCATCATGTGTGTCAACTACGTCCTGAGGTAAGCATGTGAGGGCTGGCGGGCCTTGGTGCAGGGTATGTGGGGGTGCCCAAGCTTCCCAGACTCAGGATGACAGGCCTAGGAGATGCCAGGCCTCTCAGCGCCCTGGGCACCACCTCAGGGAGGTCTTGCAGGGCTAACCCTAGTGACTGAGAGGACTTCCTGTGGATGTCTTGGAACAGTGGGATACTGGGTTGGGATTTTTTTTTCTGCGCTTTCCCTGGCATCTGTCATTTATGCCATGCATCTGACCCAGGTGGGGAGGCAGATAGCACACAATAGTCAATATTTTCTGAATGGGGAAAAAGGAAAGAGAATCGCTTATGCTTTTGGGAAAAAAAAAAGATGTCATGCCTTCACTCTATAGTACCTGGAAAGAAAGCTAGAGGAAGTCATTTCTAGTTGTTTCTACAGACAGAGAAAAACAAAAGCATCAGGCCTCATATATACCACCCCACTCAAGTGCAATAATATTTAATAAAACAGGATCCGAAACAGACATACATTCAGAGGATACCTCTGTTGTCACTACCTCCATGGCTCACACACTTCTATTGTATGGTTCTTTATAAGACGCCAATGCCTGGAGTCCTACCCATTTTTTGTCGGAGAGCTTAGCTATGAGGGTTTCCATGCATCTAGGGGAGCAGAATTTTTCTAGAAAATGTGGAAAGTCTGAATGGCTCTTTCCCCCCCATTAGTGAGATTGAGAAGAATGACGTGGTGTTCTCCATGGACCAGACTGAATCCCTGTTCAAGCCCCACCTGATGGCCATGAACAGCATCTTTGATAGCAGTGGCAAGGGGGCTGTGTCTGAGAAGAGTAACTTCCTATTCACCAAGCTAAAGGAGGAGCCCGAGGAGCTGGCCCAGCTGGCTCCCACCCCAGGAGACGCCATCATCTCTCTGGATTTCGGTGGGTGCTTCTTAGCTAAGCCAGGCCCCTGGAACCCCGTTGGGGCTGGGAAGAGTTCTTACTATAACAGGCCTCCCTGGCTGCAGCTTTTTCTTAACCAGAGCTACCCCAGCCCCCCAAGTCTTGTTAATCACCTGTTAGAGGCCAGGCCCTGCTGAGCACAAAAGAACACCACACGCTCCTGCCCTGATAAGACCATCCCATATCCGACCTCACCAAGTGCTGTACGAGGAGGGGTTAAGAGAGGACACCCCCCTGAGGGTCGATTCTCCACCATGGGTGGTGAGAGTCTGAGATGAGAGGGAGGGGAGAGGTGAGGGATCTGCTCCGAGGCCACTTGGACACTGTCAAAGAGAAGGGGCAGATTCCTACCAGGGTCTGGAAGGACAGATGGCTTGTTCAGGCAGAGGGCCAAGTTGGAGTAATGTTGGGAAGGATCATTCCAAAAACACAGAGAACATATTGAGGCCTGGGATTAAGCCCTCAAACCCACGACTTCATTAAAGTGTCTGCCTGTCCCTGGGGATGTAAGTCACTGGGGACCCCGGCAGGGTTTTCAGCCCTCGGCTGCTCCAATCCTGGAAACACCCTTGAAGCCCCATGCTCCCCAGTTCGCAACCCGCTGCCACCCTCTCCTGGCCTTGCTGTGGCTGCCGGAAGAGTGGTGCTCACCCTGGACTGTGTCAGCCCCTTTTAGATGGGTTCTACAGCGGCCACGTGAGGATTGCAGCTAAAGAGAATCTGAAACGCAGCGGGCCCTTGGCCAGTAGGTCTCGCGGCTTGTTTTGTGGCAGTACTGAGGCAAATAGCTCAATAGCCCAATTCTCCTCTCCCTCTCATACCTTCCTTGTCTACCCTTCCGGATCTGTTCCTCAGGGAAGAGTGGCTCCTAATATATTTAGTCTCTGAAAATTAAATGTCCCAGGAGACTGTTCCGTTTAAAGGGAGTCTCTACGTTGACTCATAGCCAGAGTCAAAGACCCATGTGTTCCAGCTGAGCCCCAGGGTGTTGGGGGGGCCTAGCCCCAGGCATGCCTTCCAGACCCTCTTAGGGCCTTCTCTGCGGTTTTTGGGCCTCCTCTGCCTTGGGGTGAGCCCGATGGTTGTGGGTGTTCACCTCCCAGGCCCTTGTCTCCACAGGGAATCAGAACTTCGAGGAGTCCTCAGCCTATGGCAAGGCCATCCTGCCCCCGAGCCAGCCATGGGCCACGGAGTTGAGGAGCCACAGCACCCAGAGCGAGGCTGGGAGCCTGCCTGCCTTCACCGTGCCCCAGGCAGCTGCCCCGGGCAGCACCACCCCCAGTGCCACCAGCAGCAGCAGCAGCTGCTCCACGGTGAGCAGCCCTCTTATGGCGAGGACACAGAGAGGGCTCCGTATGTATGACTGCTGCCAGATGGCTGAAGGGACATTTGGGACAGGTACTGTCCTTCTCAGGTTATCACAGAGCCCCCTAGAGTGGCCGTGACACTTACCTACCAGGTATCAGAGCTGTTTTCTTCCTTTTAGTGTTCATCCCCCAACTCCATTGAAATAAGCTCCTTGAAGGGCTTTGAGCCCCCAGCTCAGTCCCCATACAGGGCAGTAACATCCCGTATGTGGCACAGAGCTGCACAGTTTGCACAGCCCTGCTGGCCACAGCCTGTATCCTGTTTGGTCCTCAAGACAGGACAACCTGTGAAGCGACAGTAGCCTCATTTTATGATGAGGAGACTGGAATTTAGAGAGGTTGATGAATTGACCTAATTCATACAGCTTGTTAATTAGCAGCCCCTCTACAAATAGTTGTGTGGTGGAATGGAATTGAACCTTTGGGTCCAGGAAGGTATTTCTTCTTCCATGCTGGACTTCTGGGGAGACCAGTGCCATATCTTTGACTCTGTCCCCCTCCTTCCTGGCCCCTAGCCCAATAGCCCTGAAGACTATTACACATCTTTGGATAACGACCTGAAGATTGAAGTGATTGAGAAGCTCTTCGCCATGGACACAGAGGCCAAGGACCAATGCAGTACCCAGGTAGATGGCTGTGGAGATCAGGCTAGGGTGTGTGCCTGCTGTCTGGTGGACAGCAAAGGCTCACATCCATTCTTGTAGCCTCATCCCTTTGTTGTAAAGAGCAGTGGAGACGTTTGGCCAAGGCCCAGGTCCCCTAAAGAGGTAGGGGTACAGGGTAATGGAGCCTGTGGTCACCCCCTCCTCCCACTGTCAAATCCAGCTCTTCCAGCATATGTGTCTCCTACTTAGATAGCTTTCTTAGCACACATGAAAACCGAAATGATACCACTGCACCTTTCTTTAAACAGGCCCTACATTTAACAAGCATAGCCAGATGTATAAAACATGTATAAACATAGGGGACAATTAATCCCTTTATAAACACATTCATCTTGTGATTTTAAAAAAATAATCATTTTTATATGAAATGCACTTTAAAATAAATAACATCTGTTTGACAATTTTTCATTTACATAAAACTTTTCAGGAACACATTTATTACATAAGGCCAATGTTCTTGCAAAAACTATGTAAACAAGGATAAGGTAGAGGGAGGGGTACGTGTTTTACAAAACCCCAGGGAAAACCATTAATCCCCCATTTGTCTTAGTCTTGAGTTCAACCAGATTTCTGCCTTGCCACTTAGTTTGTTTCTTGATCCTACTTGGCACAAATCCCAGCTACTCTGCAAAACATGCCCAATTTTAGCTTTTCTATCACCCTCCCTCCTCAGCACTCCTGTAGTATATATCATGTGGCACTTAATCACAGCTATCTGCTTCTGCTCCTTAAAGATTGCTTAGTATTGCAGTCATTAGTCAGCTGACACCCACTGAGGGTGTCAGTCTCTGAAGTTAGAAACTGTTTTCCGCATCTGCTTGTATTCCCCTGCTTGTATCATGCGTCCGTCATGATACTGCCACCCTAAGGGATGATCTGAGTATCTGCTGATTGGAACCAAAGTCTCTGTCCCTGGGGTCTGGCTGTTAGGCTGTTACTCTGCGAGAGTCCACAGATGGACCTGGGCACTTACTGCTTGCTTAGGCCCGTGCCAGCTTACAGGAGGGAGAAGAGGACAAAAAAAAGCCACAGTGTGCACCACAGGCCTAAGCATTGTAGGACAAGGATAACCACCACAGGCTGGAGTAGGCAGGGCTGACTCTGTGGAAGAGGGGCTGCCTCGGCTTCAAGAGAGAAGGCGGGCTCCGGACAGGTGGGATGGGGAGAGGAGAACATTTCTCAATGTGCAGGGTGAAGAGGGGATAAACATGGGGGAAGGCTGGTACATGATACAAGGTCGTGTACATGACACAGCCAAGTCTGAGGTTTTCCTGATAGGCCCTCGGGAGCCAGTGGAGGCGTTTGAGCAGCACTGTGAAACAGTGCTTGAGATGAATGGCTCTGCAGGAGCTGAGTTGGAATAGTGTTTGTGAGGTCGTACCAACCCCCTTGCCTCTTTGCCGGTGCTGTCTCCCCTCAGACGGATTTCAATGAGCTGGACTTGGAGACACTGGCACCCTATATCCCCATGGACGGGGAAGACTTCCAGCTAAGCCCCATCTGCCCCGAGGAGCGGCTCTTGGCGGAGAACCCACAGTCCACCCCCCAGCACTGCTTCAGTGCCATGACAAACATCTTCCAGCCACTGGCCCCTGTAGCCCCGCACAGTCCCTTCCTCCTGGACAAGTTTCAGCAGCAGCTGGAGAGCAAGAAGACAGAGCCCGAGCACCGGCCCATGTCCTCCATCTTCTTTGATGCCGGAAGCAAAGCATCCCTGCCACCGTGCTGTGGCCAGGCCAGCACCCCTCTCTCTTCCATGGGGGGCAGATCCAATACCCAGTGGCCCCCAGATCCACCATTACATTTTGGGCCCACAAAGTGGGCCGTCGGGGATCAGCGCACAGAGTTCTTGGGAGCAGCGCCGTTGGGGCCCCCTGTCTCTCCACCCCATGTCTCCACCTTCAAGACAAGGTAAGTGGCAGATACTCAGCTGTACCAGCAGGGCCGAACCGAGAGGCACCCACTAGTAAGATAGCTGGACCCCCAGGGAGGCCCCTGCCCCTCTCCCCAGCCATCTGATACCCCATTTAGCCCTTCTCTGAGCTCAGACTTTGGGGAATCACCTCAAGCCATGTGAGGCCTAGTGTAGGATGGGTTTTTATCTGGGCTGCCACTGAGGGCAGGCAAAGAAGTGGCTTGTTGAGAGCCCTGTACCTCAGTGTCTCCCTTCGGACCACCACCAGAGTGCCTTTCGTATCTCGGTTCATCATCTGAGCCACACAGAAAATTGAGTGATGATTTTCCCTGGTTGAAAACAGCAAAAAGATACCCCTGCCTCCCCTTGCCTTTTGGCTGCCCCCGGGTCCTCG
The DNA here is from genome assembly GCF_000001405.40 of Homo sapiens. Taxonomy (NCBI): domain Eukaryota; kingdom Metazoa; phylum Chordata; class Mammalia; order Primates; family Hominidae; genus Homo; species Homo sapiens. The sequence goes on from NC_000002.12 coordinate 46,381,116, forward strand.
CCACTGCAGCCTCTCCCAGCTGTGCCTAGGCTCCAGAAATGCCTTCCCATCTCCCCAGCATGCTCATTTCACCAGCTGCGAGCTCACTGGGCTAAGGCACAGGGGTTGGTACATGACCTGCCACTCCCAGGGGCCGCTGGTACTTGCCCTTTATAGAGCAGCCAAACTAGTTTTCAGTGGGAGCAAAAGGCAGAGGAGAGACATGGGCAGAAGAAACCCTCCTAAGGACTAACATTGCCCAGCCAGGCAGCCATCCCCCAGACCAGGAGGCTTGAGCCCTTCAGCATCTTATAGCTGAGGAAGGAGACAGAGCTCGAGCTCGGCCTGCAGGTGCACAGCCTGCCTCTGAGACTCTGCCTTTTGGGTCTTTGAGTCATCACAGGCATCAGCATTGGGACTGGAAGGGCCCCTAAGATGAGAAGGCACTGAGTGGCATGTGGCTCCAGACTCCCTCATAGCCTGCTCTCTCGGGCTTGGCAGGTCTGCAAAGGGTTTTGGGGCTCGAGGCCCAGACGTGCTGAGTCCGGCCATGGTAGCCCTCTCCAACAAGCTGAAGCTGAAGCGACAGCTGGAGTATGAAGAGCAAGCCTTCCAGGACCTGAGCGGGGTGAGTCATCCCCACTGGCCACAGGGGCCTCTCCATAGCCCTTAGGGAACCCAGGGCTGCTGAGAGGGGTGGGGATGTGGCCCTTCCAAGCCAGCATAGCCCTTAGGGAACCCAGGGCTGCTGAGAGGGGTGGGGATGTGGCCCTTCCAAGCCAGCAAGTGCCAGCCCTGTTCCAGGCCCACCCAACCCACCCAGTCTGGGGACCTGGTTCTCTGGCCATTTCCCCTTTCCATCTGCCCTTCTTACTCCCAGGGGGACCCACCTGGTGGCAGCACCTCACATTTGATGTGGAAACGGATGAAGAACCTCAGGGGTGGGAGCTGCCCTTTGATGCCGGACAAGCCACTGAGCGCAAATGTACCCAATGGTGAGCAGCGGCCACAGGCCTGGGCCTCCTGGGGGTTCTGGTGGAAGGACTGGGGCTCGGGAGCCCATCCTGGTTCTTCCATTCACCACAGGCCGTACCTGCCTCTCTGAGCCTTGTTAGAATGGGGCGATGTCCTCTGTCTCTCCCGCAGTCCCACACACCCAACTTTTCCATCTCCACTCTGACTTAGATGATGCCATCAGAGGGTCCTGAAGGTTGGCTGTAGTTCTGGTGACTCTGAGCACCTTTTATAAAGGAAAGGGATGCTAGGGCTTCCTGGCCTCTCCCCTCCCTCAGGCCAATGCTACCGTCACTCTCTGACTTTGGTCTTTCAGATAAGTTCACCCAAAACCCCATGAGGGGCCTGGGCCATCCCCTGAGACATCTGCCGCTGCCACAGCCTCCATCTGCCATCAGTCCCGGGGAGAACAGCAAGAGCAGGTTCCCCCCACAGTGCTACGCCACCCAGTACCAGGACTACAGCCTGTCGTCAGCCCACAAGGTGTCAGGTGGGTGTGCCCAGGATCTGTCACCCCCATCCCAGGATTCGATGCCAGGGGAAGCCCACGTCTACTTTTTTTCCAGCGTCTGCACAGTGCCAGGCACAGGGAGGTGCTTGACTTGAAGTCACCTATACAGGGCTCAGGTCTCCTTGGATTTAGGGAACCTCCTCACAAGTTCCTTGTGACATCAGTGATCAGGCCCCCCAGTGGGTGGGTCTGAGACACAGCTAAAAAACTCAAACTCAGGCTAGAATACTGAAGGAAAGAATGCAGACCACTACCGACTGCCCAAAGAGGACTGAACACTGAACACTGGGTTGGCGACCCCCAGAACACTGTACCACTGTTGACAGGAGCACTTTCAGAAGAAAGAGCAGGCGGCCACAGTGGTGAGGGCCTGTTGAAGAAGAGAAGAGAAAGTTCAGAGAGAGAGAGTTGGGAAGCGGTCTGGGCAGAGGCAGGGGATCTCCCGTCTATGCAAGGATGAGCTTGCTGCGTGGAGAAGGGAGTGCTCCTTCCCTGGGGCTTTAGGGAGAACCCTCCCATGATCAGGTGCCATCCAGGGCTCTTTCCACCCTGAGAATCCCGGAGCCTTGCCCCTTCCTCAGTTCTTCATGTGGATGTGTTTTGGGGTGTCACTCTGAGTTCAGGCAGGTGCTGAGAACATGCCAAAACTTCCTTCAGGTAGAACAGCCTGGAAAGCTCTGGTAGGCCCACCCCACTGGACTTGGTTCAACTGCAGGCACCAATGCCTGCCTTCAACCCTGGGCCACCTTCATCTTGACAGTATCTTGTGAAACATATATGTCTTCATGAGGTTTGTTTGGCCTGAAAATAATTCGTGGTTTATGGAAAAACATACCAGGCCCCTGTTCTAAAAGGCAATTTCCTCAGCAATAGAGTTTGGGGAAGGTTATAGTTCTGTGCTTCAGAGTCCAGGCTGTAGAAACACCAGACAGCCCTGGCTTAAATTCTGGCTCTGCTGTTGAGTTCAGGGGCTGGTATATATTTATGTGCAGTAAGAGGTAGCCAGCACTATTCTTCCTGTTATGTGAAGCCCACGAATTACCTTGAATATTGAAATCAAGGGAAAATCATATTCTTTTCAAAAGAGTTGAATCATATCAAACTCTTTTCTGACCATGAATAAGAGAAGTTAGCAAGGGATGGTGAGCAGGTATCCATTGATACTGTCCACAGGAGCAGTCAAGCTGGGGAGGCAGGCATGGACCCCAGCAAGGATCTGAGCTAGGAGGTGCAGGAGGCAATGGCCACTGGAACGAGGCTCTGCAGATAAGGGAAGGTGGGTGGGCATCTCCCATCGGAGGGGCAGAATGCAGGGCTTCCAGGCTCTCTGCTGCCACCTAAGCCTTTCCTCCTTGGGATGGGGGCCTGTGTGTGTGCTGCGAGTGTCCCCCCTGCCACTCCCTGGTCTGCCTCCTCGGCAAGAGAATAGCACAGAGGCAAGAAGAAAGGACTGCTGAGGGTGGTGACCAGAAACTGGATTTTCAGACTGTTGAATCTTGAGGCAGTCTGTGTTTGCATCTGTATGTATGTGTGTGTTCTGCATGTTCTGTGTATGTGAGCATAGGTGCCAGGTGGTTCAGCCTTTCCTCCCTGCTGCCAGGAGGCATGGGGGTCAGCAACCCCAGGCTCTTCCTGAAGCTTCCACATACCTGTGCTGCAGCCCGCACCTCACGCTTTCCTCTTTCTTGGGTCTCAGCACCCCACCTGAGGCAGTGGTTCTGGAGGCAGACACGTTCCCCGGGCATGCAGCAGGCCGTGGGACAGACACCACTGAAGGAGCAGAGTGAAATTAGGGCTGCTCTATTGGTATCCCCCAGTCACAAAGAAGTAGACACTTTTCCAAATGTTCGATTTAGGCCTTTAAGTTATGGTACCAACCCTTCTTTCAGGCATGGCAAGCCGGCTGCTCGGGCCCTCATTTGAGTCCTACCTGCTGCCCGAACTGACCAGATATGACTGTGAGGTGAACGTGCCCGTGCTGGGAAGCTCCACGCTCCTGCAAGGAGGGGACCTCCTCAGAGCCCTGGACCAGGCCACCTGAGCCAGGCCTTCTACCTGGGCAGCACCTCTGCCGACGCCGTCCCACCAGCTTCACTCTCTCCGTCTGTTTTTGCAACTAGGTATTTCTAACGCCAGCACACTATTTACAAGATGGACTTACCTGGCAGACTTGCCCAGGTCACCAAGCAGTGGCCTTTTTCTGAGATGCTCACTTTATTATCCCTATTTTTAAAGTACACAATTGTTTTACCTGTTCTGAAATGTTCTTAAATTTTGTAGGATTTTTTTCCTCCCCACCTTCAATGACTTCTAATTTATATTATCCATAGGTTTCTCTCCCTCCTTCTCCTTCTCACACACAACTGTCCATACTAACAAGTTTGGTGCATGTCTGTTCTTCTGTAGGGAGAAGCTTTAGCTTCATTTTACTAAAAAGATTCCTCGTTATTGTTGTTGCCAAAGAGAAACAAAAATGATTTTGCTTTCCAAGCTTGGTTTGTGGCGTCTCCCTCGCAGAGCCCTTCTCGTTTCTTTTTTAAACTAATCACCATATTGTAAATTTCAGGGTTTTTTTTTTTTTGTTTAAGCTGACTCTTTGCTCTAATTTTGGAAAAAAAGAAATGTGAAGGGTCAACTCCAACGTATGTGGTTATCTGTGAAAGTTGCACAGCGTGGCTTTTCCTAAACTGGTGTTTTTCCCCCGCATTTGGTGGATTTTTTATTATTATTCAAAAACATAACTGAGTTTTTTAAAAGAGGAGAAAATTTATATCTGGGTTAAGTGTTTATCATATATATGGGTACTTTGTAATATCTAAAAACTTAGAAACGGAAATGGAATCCTGCTCACAAAATCACTTTAAGATCTTTTCGAAGCTGTTAATTTTTCTTAGTGTTGTGGACACTGCAGACTTGTCCAGTGCTCCCACGGCCTGTACGGACACTGTGGAAGGCCTCCCTCTGTCGGCTTTTTGCCATCTGTGATATGCCATAGGTGTGACAATCCGAGCAGTGGAGTCATTCAGCGGGAGCACTGCGCGCTATCCCCTCACATTCTCTATGTACTATGTATGTATGTATTATTATTATTGCTGCCAAGAGGGTCTGATGGCACGTTGTGGGGTCGGGGGGTGGGGCGGGGAAGTGCTCTAACTTTTCTTAAGGTTTTGTTGCTAGCCCTTCAAGTGCACTGAGCTATGTGACTCGGATGGTCTTTCACACGGCACATTTGGACATTTCCAGAACTACCATGAGATGGTTTAGACGGGAATTCATGCAAATGAGGGGTCAAAAATGGTATAGTGACCCCGTCCACGTCCTCCAAGCTCACGACCTTGGAGCCCCGTGGAGCTGGACTGAGGAGGAGGCTGCACAGCGGGAGAGCAGCTGGTCCAGACCAGCCCTGCAGCCCCCACTCAGCCGGCAGCCAGATGGCCCCGCAAGGCCTCCAGGGATGGCCCCTAGCCACAGGCCCTGGCTGAGGTCTCTGGGTCGGTCAGTGACATGTAGGTAGGAAGCACTGAAAATAGTGTTCCCAGAGCACTTTGCAACTCCCTGGGTAAGAGGGACGACACCTCTGGTTTTTCAATACCAATTACATGGAACTTTTCTGTAATGGGTACAATGAAGAAGTTTCTAAAAACACACACAAAGCACATTGGGCCAACTATTTAGTAAGCCCGGATAGACTTATTGCCAAAAACAAAAAATAGCTTTCAAAAGAAATTTAAGTTCTATGAGAAATTCCTTAGTCATGGTGTTGCGTAAATCATATTTTAGCTGCACGGCATTACCCCACACAGGGTGGCAGAACTTGAAGGGTTACTGACGTGTAAATGCTGGTATTTGATTTCCTGTGTGTGTTGCCCTGGCATTAAGGGCATTTTACCCTTGCAGTTTTACTAAAACACTGAAAAATATTCCAAGCTTCATATTAACCCTACCTGTCAACGTAACGATTTCATGAACGTTATTATATTGTCGAATTCCTACTGACAACATTATAACTGTATGGGAGCTTAACTTTATAAGGAAATGTATTTTGACACTGGTATCTTATTAAAGTATTCTGATCCTACCACTGCTGGTGGCTCTTATTTCCTGTGGATTTATCATGGGCTATGCCAATGTAAAGTGAAGTATTAAGTCGTTCATATAAATTGAACATTAGCACAGACCTTTATGAGACTACTGAAGTGAGCTGATAAGACTGGTGAAGGAAAGACTGTGTTAAATACTTGGTAGTTGCCTAAGTCTGAAAATTCATATTGTATCTTCCATATTTCTGCAAGTATTTTTCTATCTATCTATCTATGTGCCTCGGGGCCATTTTTTGTATCCTATGGGGAACCCAAGGAAAGAAGTCATGGTCTCTGCTTTCAGAAAATTACATGAAGTCGTTTGAGAGCCACACTGTTCTGTATATTCACATAGTGCACTTTGGGATGGAGGTCCCGAAGGGAAAGGGGCAGCCTGGGCATTAGGACTTCAATTTGGAGGCGGCTGGGCTGGAGTAGGGTCTTCCCAGGTAGACTGTGATTGGGAAGAGCAGAGATCCCCTCGGCCAGAGACAGAGCACAGTGAAAGCCCAGAACTGGACATGAGCATGATATGTTCCCCAATTCAAATTTCACTTTTCCAGATCATGACCTGCTTGTGAGCAGACCTTTGTCTCCATGGAGAGATGGGGGCAAGGGGAGAGACCGTGCAGCAGCCTGCGCTCTCACTGTCTACCCTAGAACCAGCCATTCCAGCAGCATGTACTTTGCCTAAGCATTTGGTCCATATAGTATGGTCTCACATGTTTGTTAGCTTGTTAGCTCACTGGATCCTAGGTCTAAGCAATGCCATGGGCACCCATTCTACAGCTGAAACTGAGGATCTTATGACTTAAGCAAGTCACAGCTTGTTGATGGGAGAAATGAAACTGAAACCCCTTCCTGGCCAGTGCGTCTCTCCTCTTACACCTTAGACTGATGGCTGGGAGGCTGATTTTATGACAGGACCCTGTTCTCATTTCTAAATAGAAAATTCATGTCTTTATTACTTTAGCCTTTAGACCTCCTTCTGGTTCTTTTGCTTACTCTTCTCTTCCAAATCTTGGGGCCTGGACCTTCAGATTGGAGTTTCTGGGCTCTGCCAGGTTCCTACCCACCTTTGCCTGCCATCTTGGACTTCCTGAAAACATCACCTGTTCTTTTCTGAAGCTTTTCTGTGACTGACACATCTCAGCCCATCCTTCAGGAGCAGAGTTGCCTCTAAGCACTGGCTAATTCAGGATCCAGGCCTGGAAAGGTGCTATCCATCCCAGCCCCCTAACAACTGCAGGGTCCCATGGGGTCCACAGTGCTGTCCTTGGGCCATGATTATACCCTCCTGCTCCTGGGGGTGCTGGGCAGCTCAAAGCTCCTCTTGCTTCCAAGTCCAGCGAGCAAGCCAGAGCAAGCCAGGAACACAACGAAGCCATTGTTCCTGATGGGTCAGAGGAGCTCAGCCTCCAAGCACAAGACACAAGACCCACACAAGCCATCACTGCTTCATGTTTTGCCTCAAGCAATCCAGTGAAGACTGACTTAAATGCTCCCGATTTTGTATTTTCAAAATGTAGGTGACTCAGGAGTAGGTACATGCCTGTGTGACCAGATGTGCAAGGACCAAGGTAGGGGCCCGAGCAGAATCAGCAATCGTTCAGCCATTGGGGGTCCTCCTGATGCTAGATATATTCCCCTCTAGGCAAGCAAACCCTGGTGGGCTGTGACAACATCTCAGCACTTGTCTTGGTTGGCTGGCTTATGGATGAGGAATCTCTCTGGGAGAGGGACTCTGACCCAAGGCTGGAACCTCAGAAGGCCCTACCTAGTAGAGAAGGGCCAACCCTGCCCCTTCTGATCATGCAGGGCAAAACTGATCCCATTCCGCAGCATGGGCTTTGATGCCCATGTTCAGATGGGGGTGGAGAGTGAATGAACTGTTTTTTTTCTGGAGATCACGGAAATGCAGATTCATTTCTTTTACAACATGCAAGATTCAACCACTTAACATCCTTCCTCTCCTGGATCCCGCACAAAAGAGACTGCTTTTTTGTGAAAAAGAAACTTTTACCAGGAGGCCTGCAGAAGAACAGTCAGGTTAACCCGGCTCTTCCTTCCCTGAGGTAGTGGCCCTGGGTAAGACAGCACAGGATGTTATCTCAGATGCTGAGAGGGGCTGAGAAACAATGTCGCCCAACCCCATCACTTCTTTTTTTCAACCTCCTCATTTTAGAGATGAGGAAACTGATGCCCAGGAAAACAAAGCGACTTGCCTACAGTCACACAGGGAGTTAGTGGCAGGGTGGGGGCCAGAGCCCAGGCCAGCATCATGGGAACTGGGGCTGAACTCACGTAAGTGAAAGGGCTGTGTTCTCTGCCCCAGAGGTCACCGCTCACTGTCTCAGCCAGCACTGGGCCTCCCACATGGCCCTTCCCAAATCTTCCTTCCAGCCTCCTGCTCCTCACTTCCCTCCGGCACTCTCAGTTCTTCCAAAAATGATCCTGTCACCCCCATTTCTTCCAAACATTCCTCTGAGCTCAGCGACCCCTGTGGGAACTGCTTGGCCTCTCTGTGACCTCAAATGAAGTCTAAATCAATTCTTTCACTACTAGACTGAACTTTTCTTGGTCCCCCAGGACCCAGGAGAAAAGGATTTTGAAGTACTTCCCCAGCCCCACCTAATACACAGTGTTTAAAAATGATACTTCTTCGGCAATCATGATCCTTCCTTCTAGAAGCTTCCCAGCTAGTAGGGGAACCAAACAAAGCCCGCCTGGATGACTGAGACCCTGTCTGAGATGGTGTGGGATGATGGAGGCCCATGGCCCAGTTTTCCCAGCCAGTCCAAGCATTAGATCACGTGCTTCCGCGTCCCCGCGGGTGCAGCTGTACTTGGGCCAAGGGTCCCATCGCGGGTTCAGAAAGCATGATAACTATTGATGCAAATGAGCCCTTGGTTGTTTTAGGGTGGACTTCAACTCCTGCAAATGTCCAGAGGAGGCCAGCAGAGATCAGCCTGGGTCTTAGGAGTGAAGAATCTCCCACCAGAGCTGGGATGGAAGAGGATTAGACAGGCAGCGGGAAAAGAGGTCATTCCAGGAGAAGTGGACCAGGGAGACAAAGGCCTGAGGCCAGAATGAGCAATACATGCAAGAGGCCCTGGGGGGCAGGCAGGACGGGAGCTGGGAAGGAGGGGGCGGCCGGGCAGCCTGGCAACTCACAACACAGACCTAGAGTCAGACGGACCTAGGTTCAAATCCCAGCCCTGCTGCTTCCTGCTGTGTAACCTCAAGGAAGCCCCTTAAACATCTGATAGCCTAAGTCTGCTGTTCTGTAGAATGGTGGTGACAGCAGTCCCTACCTCATAGGGTTTAAAGCTGGAGATACAAATTTGGGTATGTGCAGTAGGTAAATTGTACTTAACTCCATGAGCTGGGATGAAATATGCCTCTGAGATAGAAGTGCAAAGAACAGAGGTCGGGAGACAGAACCTAGGCCACTGGTAGAAGCCAGACTGAGCAGGAGCACCCAAGGAGCAGAAAGAAATCCAGGGGTATAGTATCTCAAAAGCCAAGTGATAAGGGTGCTGCGGGAAGTAGGGCATAGTGAACTGCATTACACACACACTAGACTGAAAGGTAAGGGAAGGGGAAAAAAATTGACTCGGATTTGCCAACATGGAGCTCACCATCAACCTTAACAAGAGCAGGTTTGGTGGGGAGCTAAGGACAGCAGATTGGAGTAGACTGAGGAATGAGCTGGCTGGAGTGGGGAAACAGAGACCGTAGCAATATACAACTCGTTTGGGAAGGTTCCCTGTGCAGGAAAGCAGGGAAATGGAGTGGAGCAAGAGGATGACATGGGTCAGGGGAGTGTGTGGGAGTGTATATGTGTGTGTGTGTGTATGTGTGTGTGTGTGTGGTTTCATATTTAATCGACTTTTATCTTAGAATAGTTTTAGGTTTACAGAAAGGCTGTGAGACCATTATAAGAGTTCCCTGCACTCAGTTTCCTCTATTATTTTATTTTATTTTTAGAATAGAGACGGGGTTTCCCTATGTTGCCCAGGCTGGTCTCAAACTCGTGGGCTCAAGTGATCCTCCTGCCTCGGCCTCCCAAAGCGGTAGGAATATAGACGTGAGCCACCGTGCCTGGCCTCCTCTATTGTTAACATTACTATGGTACATAAGTCACAATTAATGAACCAGTATTGGTACCTTATTATCTAAAGCCTGTACTTTATTCCAGTTTTTAGTGTTACTTAATATCTTTCTTTTTCTGTTCTAAGGTCCTATTCAGGATACCACATTACATTTACTTGTCACGTCTCCTTAGGCTTCTCTTAGGTTTTCCCCACTTTTGACGGCCTTGACAATTCTGAGGAGTGCTAGTTAAGTATTTTGTAGAACATCCTTCCATTTGGATTTGTCTGGTGTTTTTCTGGTTGGACAGAGGTTGTGGGTTTTGGAAAGGAAGACCAAAGAGGTACAGTGCCATTATCACCTCCTCACATCACAGCAAGGGTACATTCCGCCGTCATGACTCGTTGCCTTGATCACCTGGCTGAGGTGTTTTGTCAGGTCTCTCCACTGTAAAGTTACTGGTTTTGGGGAGCCAGGAGGGACATCATTTTTGAAGATGAGCTACATTAGGAAACGTATATACGGTGATGGCAGAAAGTTGATGAAGACAGGAAAGGGGGGGATAATTGCAGAAGTAAAATGATTGAAAAGGTGGGATGGGCACGGATGGAATCCACTGCACCATCGAGGGGCTGGCTTCAGACAGAAGCATGGACAGTTCATCGTTTTAAAAGGGGGAAGGCAGAGAAGAGAGTAAAGCCTTAGTCCGTCAGGTGGAATTGGTGGTGGGAGGATAATAAGCAATCTCTAGTCTGATCGCTATTTCCCCAGTGATATATGAGGCTGTCAGAGGTTTGAAGAGATACAAGTATGAAATAGTCACTAGAAGGTCAGACTGATCGATGATCAGTATCAGAAGCTCAGGTGAGATTTATGGTCATGAACTGGCCCATGGCACAATTGTGTTTTCTTCTAGCCACACTGTTCTACTCTAATGGAGACTGAATGGGTGGGTAGTTGAGTTTACCAGGTTGTGGTTCAGCCAGGACGGTATGTTTAAGGGAGTGAGGAAAGTTTCCAGTAGGATGACTATTACGATGGATCACTAAGTTGTGTGAGAAGGAAAGAAAAAATGAATAGGTTCATGATCAATGAAAAAAATGGCAGGCTCAGTGAATTGGAGGTCTTAGTGAGGTCACAGTGGTCAGTGTGATATGTTAGAGAAAGGAACCATGTGGATGGGGCACAGTTGTCAGAGGAGAGGAAACTTACAGTTGAGATCTCACATACATAGGACCCAGCAATGACCACTTCTAGGTATTTTAAAGAAGTCAAGATTTTAAGTCCACACAAAATCTGCACACAAATGTTCATCCTCACCAAGAACTGAAAACAACCCAAATGTCCTTCGACAGGGGTAGATTTTTAAAAAACTGTAATATATCTACACAATGGACTACTACTCAGCAATAAAAGTTAACATGCTTGATTCAAACAACAGCATGGATGAATCTCAAAGGTATTATTCTTTTGAACAAAAGAGGCCAGTACCAAAAGGGCACATTCTATATAATTCCATTTATATGGCATTCTAGAAAAGGCAAAAATACAGGAACAGAGAACAGCTCATTGCTTGCCAGAAGGCAGGGGTGAGGAGAGATGAGGGCGTTCTCTGGAGTATTGGAACTGTTGCTTGTACTGTCTGTGGTGGTGGCTGTGAGAATCCACGCGTGTCTAAGAAACCATAGACCTGTACATCAGAAAAAGAATTTTACATATGTAAACTTAAGACATTTTTTAAATAAAAGCAAATTTTCAGATCTCAGAGGTGGCTGAAATCAAAGAAGGCAAGGGTCTGATGAAGTTGGGGAGCCAGGATGTTGTCAGAGTGGTCCAGGTGGGTGTCAGCGTCCGTGAAAGTAAAGGTGGATGGAGAGAGGAGCTGGGGACTGAAGTCACTGGGGGAAGAAAAAAAGAGTCTGAGGACTGAGAGGGAGAAATGAGTAACCCCTCTACGTCCAGGCCCTGCCTGACACCTGCCTGTAGGCGACAGAAACCAGCCTCAACCTGAGTGGCTGCAAGGAGCAGGGAGCTTGAGGACAGCCAGGCTTCAGTGAAAGAAGGTAAAGGCCCCTTCAGAGGAGGGGAGGCTCTAGGAGACAGAGTTCTCGATAATGCAGTGGAAGGGTCTGGAGGTGAGGAGGGGTGAAGGGAAGCGGATGTGCAGAACTCTCCCAGGACAAGGGCCACGTGGTGACTGATGACCTGGAAGGCTTGGTCTGCAGTGGTGACCGAGGAAGACAATTAGGAGGGACAGCATGTTGCCAAGAGGTCTCTCAGAGGTTCGAGCAAGACCGCCAGCGGGGGCAGGGTGCTGACCTCTTCTGTAGCTGGAAGGGAGATCCAGCATGCTCCCCAGGCATGGGCAGAGCTTTCTGGCCCTCCTCTTGTCCTGCAGCACCTAGGGACCAACATACATGCACACTCACAGAACGCAAAGTGGGTTTGTGTTTGTTTGTTGATTTCCAACAGCAGGTATCAGGGTGGCCAGGGGACAGCTCCCTCCATCTCTGTCCTGATCTTGGCTTTAAACTATGTGGGTGGGCCCAGCACTTGTAGGAACAAAAAAAGAAAACAGCTGCAGTTAGAGAAGACCCATTTGGCCTAAAACAAAGAACTTTTTCCCCATCCTCATTAGCCTGGTTGAGGCGAGGGCAGCTGAGCGTGAACATTGACATCATTTTGGGGGCCTCACTAAAGGCTAAGGCAGTGCTCTAACTAAGACTCAAGTCTGGATGAGAAAGCTGACTCAGACCGGGGTGGGTTGGCCTGCACGGGTTTGGGAGATCCTGGGTACGTGTGTCCACTCCTGCTTAAAATGTGGAGCACCAGCTGTGCTGGCCAGCGTGGGCTCTGCCGCGATGGTCATCATTCCCACCCCCCTACATGCTGTGGACCAACTCTGAGCTCTGCTGGGCTGTGCTCGGGGCATGGGACTGGTCATGGGTCGCTCACTTTCTGACTGAAGAAAATTGGAAAATTCGTGGGAAACTGCCCTCTAAGCCACTCCGAGCCCAGAATCCCTTTCAGGACATCTCCCTGGCCACTCACACCCTCATGGGAGAACTTCTGAAAAAGAGTAGAGGACCCAGTCTCTGCTCAAGTTTCCAGGAGCCAGCTGTGGGTGGCATCTGTAGCTCTCCGGGGGTGGCGGGGGGGGGGGGGGGAGGGGCAGGGGATAAGACTGATTGATCTTTAACTTCCTGGGTCCAATAATGACTCACATGGGTGAAGGATGAAATTCCAGGCATCACAGCAGGCTAGCAAAAGGCATATTCTAAGCAGGAGGAGGTGGACGGGGTCTTCTGGGTATTCCTCAAGTCACTCCAGGTAGACCCATCCCCTCTCATAAATCTGCACTTTTTATTTCTACAAGCAGAGGTGGGGGTGGACTTGTAGCAGTACTCACAGTCAGAAAGTAGAGACAGTCACAGTGACTTTATTATTTATTAGGCTGAGCTTGACCAGAGTATCTCATTCATTCATCACAATAGTCCTGTGAGCTCATAGGATCATAATTATTGCCATTTGGAGATGAAGAAACCGAGACAGAGAGAAATACAGTCACTTTGCCAAGGAAGTGCCTTTGATATTGAGTATGGGAATTTCTGAAAAATAACTTATTAATAAATGAGTACTAGCCTATAAAGTAATCGTAGAAATAATGTGACCCTAAAAATGCATTAATAGAAGAACAATATGGAGAAAAAAGGAATGGGTAATCCCACAATACTATGGGCTAGGAAGCCACCCCGATAATATTATATCCCTCTCTCGGCACCAGGTTTTAATAAACAGGAATGAATTCAAAGAAGGATGACTAAAATGGTGAGGAGACTCTCAACTATGTTACAAACACTGACTAGAAAAGCTGAGGAAGTTTGTACTGGAGAAAATAAGGTTTGGGGGAGCTCAAAAGCCCACCTGCAAATATCTGGAAAAGCAGAAGGTGTAGAACTTTTTTGGGTGGCTCCACAGGATAGAATCAGGCCTACAGGTGCAGGAAAACAGAGTCCAGCTGAACGCAAATACACTCGGAAACAAACTTCACCCTTTCCCTGATGTTTCAGTGTTTACTTGCTCAGAATAACAGAGAAATCCCTTTACTCTGATCACCAGAGAAAGCTATTTAGAACATGATGGGCTAAGGATAACAGGAAAAGGTAAAGAAAAACTATGATTGCAAAACTTCGCTCACATCTCTGTGTAGATAAAGCTTGGTTGTGAAAGATAGACGGCCCATATGCAACCCAGGATGACCAGAGGGGAACTGGCACTGCCCCTTAACTGTGAGCCGAAAAAATGGTGCAAATTATGGTGAATTTAAATTTTAAAATGTGTTTCTTCCTTAATAGAGATTTAGACTGCATGGCCTTCATGGACTACTGTTTCTCTTTGAGAGGTACTGTGGCATTACATCTGAAGTTAGGAAGAAAGCAAAAAACCCCACAAGTCAGAATTCCCCTCGAGAACCCCTAAGGAAGGTGTGACCACGCTGAAAACCAACACCCCACTTCTCCAGCGCAGTCAGCTTTTCCTCCGGTGTCAGAACAATTGTGGTTTCTTTGGATGAGCACCAGATGAAATAATTGGCTCATATCTAGAGATCACCTTGTAAAGAAAACACATCTTTAAACACAACTATACTCAGCACAGCAAGATGCTCACATCTCCAGAGGGATGGGGTGACTGAGATTCCCTAAAGAAACACAGGATCCACAACTCCTTTCTCATCCTTTCTCAGGGGCATATGGTCATTTCCTGGAATGATCTATTAGCATACTTACCCGTATTCAGAGGTAGATCCAGATTTTGAAGGGCTTGTTAATGGTATGTGCCTTTGCTGGGCATGGTGGCACACACCTATAGTCCCAGCTACTTGGCAGGCTGGGGCAGGAGGATCACTTGAGCCCAGGAGTTCAAATCCAGCGTGGGAAACACAGAAAGACCCCATCTCCATTAAAAAAAAAAATAGTATGTACCCTTGACATGATATAATAAAAATGATATTTTACCTCTATGATTCTTCCCCCTAAAAACCTTTAGGGAATCTCAGTCTAATCATGAGAAAGAGAATCAGACAAATCCCAACTGAGGAACATTCTACAAAAAAACCTCATTAGAACTCCTCAAAACTGTCAAGGTCATCGAAAACAAGTGCTGGGCATGTGGCTCATGCCTGTAATCCCAGCACTTTGTGGGGCCAAGGTGGGAGGATCACTTGAGCCCAGGAGTTCAAGACTAGCCTGGGCAACATGGCAAGACCCTGTCTCTACAAAAATAATTTAAAAATTAGCCAGGCATGATGGCACATGTCTGTAATCCCAGCTACTCAGGAAGCTGAGGTGGGAGAATGGCTTGAACCTAGGAAGTTGAGGCTGCAGTGAGCTGTGTTTATGCCATTGCACTTCAGCCTGGGTAATAGAACAAGAGCTGGTCTTAAAAAACAAGTAAATTTGAGCAACTGTCTCAGTCAAGAGCAGCCTAAAGAGACAATTAAATGAAATGTGCTCTGTTTTTTTTTTTTTTTTTTGAGAGAGAGTCTCACTCTGTCGCCCAGGCTGGAGTGCAGTGGCACGATCTCGGCTCACTGCAAGCTCCACCTCTTGGGTTCAACCATTCTCCTGCCTCGGCCTCCCGAGTAGCTGGGACTACAGGTGCCCAGCACCACGCTCAGCGAATTTTTTGTATTTTTAGTAGAGACGGGGTTCCACCGTGTTAGCCAGGATGGTGGAATGTGCTTTCTTAAACAGGATCCTATAATAAAGAAAAGAACATTAGGTAAAAACTAAGGAAATGTGAGTAAAATACGGGCTTTAGTTAATAATGATGTATCAATATTGGTTCATTAATTATAGGGAATGTACTATACTAAGATGTTAATCATAGAGAAAAACTGGGTGTGAGGCATATGGTAATTCTTTGTATGATTTTTGCAATTTTTCTGTAAATCTAAAACTATACTTAAATAAATGTTTTTTCAAACTATGCCAGATGAGAGCAAGGAAAACACAGGAGGGAATACAAAGCTAAGAAAAGGTAGATAAATGAGTAAATCTAAGTGAATATTGACTGTTAATAATTGTAGGGTTTAAAATAAATGTGGAATGAACGTATGTGAAAACAATGGCACAAAAGGTGAGAAGAAGTACATGGAGTTAAGTGGCTTTCAGTCTTTGCCTTGTCTAGAAAGTGGTCAATGTGGACGGGTGCGATGGCTCACGCCTGTAATCCCAGCACTTTGGGAGGCCGAGGCAGGCGGATCATGAGGTCAGGAGATCAAGACCATCCTGGACAACATGGTGAAAACCCGTCTTTACTAAAATACAAAAAATTAGCCAGGTGTGGTGTCACGCGCCTGTAATCTCAGCTACTCAGAAGGCCAAGGCAGGAGAATCCCTTGAACCAGGGAGTCAGAGATTGCAGTGAGCCAAGATCGCACCACTGCACTCCAGCCTGGCAACAGAGCAAGACTCCATCTCCAAAAAAAAAAAAAAGAAAAAGAAAGAAAGTGGTCAATGTAATTATTTATATTAGATGCTAATAAATCAAGGATGCATGTTGTAATTACTAGAGCGATCATTAGAACTGTAAAATAATGTAACAATGACAAGCTAATAGAGCGGGGAAATGAAATCTCAAAAAAAAAAAAAAAAAAAAAAAAACGTGATTATTCCAGAAAAAGGCAAGAAAGGAGAGAAAAAGAAACACAGGGAGGTTGGATAAGTACAAACCAAGTAAGATGCTAGCTTTCAATCTAAATATATCAGTCATTGACCAGGCGCTGTAGTTCGTGCCTCTAATCCCAGCACTTTGGGAGTCTGAGGCAAGAGGACTGCTTGAGCCCAAGAGTTTGAGACCAGTCTGGGCAACAAGGGAAACCCTATCTCTACAAAAAATTAAAAAATTAGCTGGGCATGGTGGTGCATGCCTGTAGCCCCAGCTACTCGGGAGACTGAAGTGGGAGGATAGCTTGAGACCCAGAGGTTGAGGCTGCAGTGAGCCATGATCATGCCACTGCACTCCAGCCTGGGTGACAGAGAACCGTGTCTCAAAAAAAACAAATATATCAGTAATTAAATAATATGAGTGGGGTTAAATATTAATAGTTCCATTAAATGACAAATATTACCAGACCAGGTTAAAAGATATATAAAGACTGCTTACAGGAAATATGCCTTATAAATAAGGATACAGACAGGAGACAGTGAAAAGACAAAAAGAAACCATGCAAACACAACTCCCTCCAAAAAAGCTGGTGTAGCATACTAATATCAAATAGGTAGACTTTGAGGAAGAAGCATTAACCAAAATAAAGAGTGACTTTTCATAATAATAAAAGGGTCAATACAATAGGGAGGTTTCATAATTCTGTATTTGTATGTACCTAATAAGCCTCAGGAATTAATACTACCACAAGGAAAACTAGAAAATCTATAATCATAACAGGAGATTTTAACACATCTCGCTCAGTAACTGATAGAACAAGCAGAAAAAAAAGTAAATGAGGATCAAGAAAATGAAAAGACAAGCAATAAAAGGGAGAAAATAGTTACAAATCATATATCTGCTAAGGGACTAATATCCAGAATGGATAAAGGACACTTACACCTCAACAACTGAAAGGAAAATAACTCTATTTAAGATTCCTCCAAATATTCCTCCAAAGAAGATATACAGATGGCCAATTAAATGTATCAAAAAGACACTCAATGTCATTACAGACATGCAAATTAAAACCACAATAAGATACCCCTTCACACATCACTATGCTGACTAAAATTTAAAAGATGGGCAATAAAAAGTGTTGCTAAAGATGTGGAGAAATAGAAACACTCATACATTGCTAGTAGAAATGTAAAATGGCATGCAAAGTCCTTTGGAGAACGGTCTGGCAGTTCCTCAAAGAGTTAAACAGAATTGCCATATGACCTGCAATTTCACTCCTAGATATATACTCAAGAGAACTGAAAACATATGTTCACATAAAAACTTATATACAAATATTTACAGCAGCACTATTCATAATAGCCCAAAAGTAGAAACAACCTAAACATCCATCAGCTGATAAATGAATAAACAAGATGAGGTGTAGACATACAATGGAATATTATTCAGCCATATAAAGTCATGGGAGTACTAATACATGCAACAATATGAATGAATCTCAAAACCATTATGATAAATGAAAGGTGCCAGACACAAAGGCCACATATTACATGATTCTACTCATGTGAAATGTCCAGAATTAGTAAATTCAAGGAGTAAATTAGTAAATTACTCCAATGTCCAGAATTACTCAATTTAATTAGTAAATTAGTGATTGCCAAGGGCTGAAGGGATAAATAAGGAGGGTTTCTCTTTGACGTGATGCAAATGTTCTAGAATTAGTAGTAATGGTTGCACAATTTTATTAAAATACTAATTGTACGCTTTCAAAGGGTGTATATGGCATGTGAATTACGTCTCTATTTTAAAATAAAGATATGAGGGACTGAAGTATACAATTTAAAAACAAGACCTAATTGACATATTCTGTGCCCAAATACAGAATAAACATTCTTTTAGATGCATATAGGGGAATTTACGAAAATTGGCCATGTGCTAGACTATAGTGCTAGTGCCAAGGAAGCCATAACACATTTCAAAGGTTTAAAATGACTCACCATATATTCCTTGACCACAATGAAATTAAACTAGAAATAAATGACCAAACATAGGTTTAAGAATCACCGAGTGTTGAATTTAAGCAATACACTTCTAAATAACCATGAATCAAAAAATACTACTTTGGAAATTAGGACATATTTTGAGTATTAATATAAATGGTGTACCAAAGCTTCTGGGATTCAGTTAAAGCCATGCTTAAAGGAAAATTTATAGCCTTAAATGGATGTATTAGAAAAGAAGAAAGGATGAAAACCAATGCTGTAAGTACTTACATCAAGCAGCTAGAAAGCAAACAGTAATTGAACATCACAGAAAAATAGAAATAAATGAGGAAAACTTAATAATTTATTAATAGAAAACAAGTACAAAATAGAGAAAAATCAACAAAGCCAAAGTTAGTTCTTTGAAAAAACTGATAAAATTGATAAACACCTACCAAGATTCATCAGGAAGAGACAGAATGGGCACAAATTACTAATATCAGGAATTAAAATTAAAGATTATAGAAGAATATTTGAAACAATTTTATGCCATTAAAAACTAGGTGAAATACACTAACTCCTTGAAAAAAATCAAACTGATCAAGACTGACACTAGAAAATAGAGAAAATATGAATAGTTCTACATTTACTTTGAAAAGTGAGTCCTTAAATAAAACATTCTAAGAAAACTTCAGTCCCAGATGGCATAACCACTAAATTCTCCCAAATGTGTGAGGAATATCATTCTGTCTCCAATACATTTAGAGAATAGAAAAAGAGGGAACACTTGGAACTCATTAGTGAGGCCAATATATCCTTGACATCAAAGCTTGGCAGACATACAACAATTTAAAAAAATTGCAGGCCAATCTCTCTCACAAGCCTCAATTCAAATATCTTCAAGAAACTATTATCAAATCAAATCCGGTGGTACATGAAAAGGACAATGCATTCCAAGTAATCTGGGTTTATTACAGAGATACATGTTTAGTTTAATAAAGAACAATTGGATCAATATAATTTATCATATTAACAGAATAAAGAAAAAACCTATCTCAATAGATGTAGAAAATACATTTGATAAAATTTGAAATGCATTATTTTATTAAAATAAATTCTTAGCACATAAGCACAGAGAATAACTTCCTGACTCTTATAAAGAATATTTATTTTAAAGCTTGTATAAAACATCATACTTAATGGTGAAATCTAAAAGCTTTCCCCTGAAAGAAACAAGACAAGGATGTCAACTATCATCACTTCTATTCAACATTAAATGAGATAGAAAAAAACAAAGTCAGTTTCTCCTATTCCCTACTTTCACAGTCACTCAACACAAAACTTTTGACACACCAACCAACCAATTTTCCAGCAGACACCAATTGGATGTCCTATAATTCAACACAATTCCGACACTACCTACCTGGAGATAGTATCAGATCCTACAGGTTGAGGGCTCAGTCCCACAGTATTGTCCCCGACTTCAGATGCTAGTCACAAGTAATAAGCTCTACCTATACTTCTGATGGACTGGAAATAAATCGGGGATTCCTGTAAACCCCTCGTTGGGCTCAATAATTTTCTGCAGCATCTCGCGGGACTCAGGGAAACACTTTACTTATGTTTACCCATTTATGATAAAGGATACTACAAAGGATATAGATGAACAACCAAATGAAGGACATACATAGGGCAAGGTATGGGAGAAGGAACGCAGAGCTTCCATGCCCTCTTCAGCAGTGCCACCCTCCAGAACCTCAGTGTGTTCAGCTATTCAGAAGCTCCCTGAATCCAGTCCTTTTGGGTTTTTATGAAGTATCCATATTACTTAGGCATGATTAAATCATTGGCCATTGGTGGTCAACTGAACCTTCAGCCCCAGAGGTTGGGGGGATTGGGCTGAAAGTCCTAACCCTCTAATCATGTCTTGGTCTTTCTGGCAACCAGTCCCCACCCTGAAGTTATCGAAGGGCTCTCCACCACCTGTCATCTTCTGAGCATACAGAAGACACTCGTCATCACTCTGGAGATGTCAAAGGTTTAGGAACTGTCAGGAAAAGGGGATGAAGACTAAATATATATTTCACAATATTACAAATATTGTACTAAAAAACCTAACCAATATAATAAAACAAAAAAAAGGTATGAAGATTAGAAAGCGAAAAAAATCCTATTATTATTTACAGTCTACATGACTGTATATACAGAAAATGCAACAGGATTTTCAGATAAATTATTATGGTTCATTGGTGAATTTAACAAGATTGTTGAATTCAAAGATAATATACAAAAATCAATTATCTCCAGCAACAAATAAATGAAAAGGTATATTTTAAAATGATTGCACATAAAATAAAAATGCGCATTTTTATTGTACTAATTCAATTAAAAATAAGAAAAAATCTGAAAGACATACAAGAATGTTAAATACAGAACTTTAGAAAATATGGAGAAAAATAAAATACCAAAATAAATCCCATGTTCACGGATTGGAAAAGTCAGTATGTCTAAGATGTCAGTTCTCCTCAAATTTGGCTATATATTAAGAACATTCCCAATCAGAATAGTAGTAGTTTATATGTATATGTATGTTCATAGTCAAAAATTTATTCTAAAATTTATGTGGGAATGCTAACAGCCAAAAGTATCCAAAACAATGTTGAAAAAGAACAAAGTTGGATAATAATGCTACTGGATATCAAAACTTATTTTATTGGCTGGGCCTGGTGGTGTGACCCTGTTGTCCCAGCTACTCTGTAGGCTGACGTGAGAGAACTGCTTGAGTCCAGGAGTTCAAGACTGTAGCGCACTATGGTACCTGTGAACAGCCCACTGCACTCCGGCCTGGGCAACATAGTGAGACCCAGTCTCTTCATTAATTAATAACAATAAATTTCAAAACATTATTTTAAAATGACAATAATTTTGACAGTGTGGTATTGTGTATGGATCGGTGAATAGATCAAATAGAAAAGAAAAAAACTATCATTGTTATCATTATTAAAAAACTATCACTAGCCCAGAAATTAACCTACTCATATGTGGACACACTGCATGACAAAGGTAACACCGCAAAGCAAAGAGGAAAGGTCAGTCTTTTCAATAAATGCACTAAGTCAATAAGATATTCATATGGGAAAAAATTATTCTTGGCTCCTACCTCACACTAAATATAAAATTTCCAGGTCAATTAGAGATCAAAATGAGAAAAATAAATTAGACTTCTAGAAGATAACATAAGAGAAAGCCTTCATGACCTCAGTAGGCAAGACTTATTGAATATGAAGAGATGATCCACAGAATGGGAGATAATATTTGAAATATTTACACCTAACAAAGGACTCATATCCAGGATATAGAAAGAACTTCTCAAATTAGTCCCAACAACAACAACAAAAAAGACAAGTGACCCAGTAGAAAAATGAACACAAGACTTAAATAGCTACTTCACAAAGTTTTTATGGCCGATAAAAGTAGTGCTTAAACTCTGGAGTCATTAGGAGAATGAAAATTAAAACCACAATCAGAAACCACTTACATACCCACTAGAATGGCTAAAGTTGAAAAAACATTGTCGTAAGTACCAAGTCCCAGAGAGGCCATGAAGCAACTGGAGCTCTCAGATATTACTGGTGGAGGTGAAAATTGGCACAACCACTGGGGGAAGCTGAACGTACGCATACTCTCTTACCCGGTTATTCTACTCCTGTGTATACCCAAGAGAAACGAGTGCATTTGACCTGCAAAACACAGGTTTAAGAACATACCTAGCAACATTATTTCCAATGGCTCCAGACTAAAAAGAACCCAACTGTCCATCACTAGAAAAGTGGACAAAAATCATGATCTACTCATAAAATGGAATATGCTATAGCAATGAACATGAACAAACTACTGCTACATGTAAGAACATGGATGAATTTCATATATGCTGTGTCAGAAACCAGAAACGATAGATTACAAATTGTGTAAATTTCATGTAACGGTACAGGCAAAACTAACCTAGACCATTAAAAGTCAAATATTAGTCATCTTTGGGCAAAAGGGTGGGTTGTGACAAAGACGGACAGAAGGAGGGCTTCTAGGATGCTGTAAATAGTCTAGTTCTAACCTAGAAGATTATATAGATACGTTTCACTTTGGGAAAATTCATCTAGCCAAATACTTACAATTTCTGCGGTTTTCTGTGTGAATTTTATACCTCTATAAAATTTTATCAATAGAAAAAAACTTTGATAAAATATTATTGATGAGTATGTAGTGAGACAGGCACCCTATATGTGTTAGAAGTATAAACTGTAAATATCTCTGAAAGGCAAATTGGTCATATCTACACAAATTGAAACGCTATATATATCCTTTCAACCAACAATTCTACCTAGGATATTTACAGTTATACTTCCACATATGCAGAAAGATACAAATAAAAGGATTTCCATCCTTTCATGGCCACATCATTTTTAAGCCTAAACATCTAAAGGCTTGTCTGAATAAATCACGGTGCATTTAAACAAGAAAATACCAGTGTTTAAAACAAACAAATGAATGTCAACCAAATCTGGCTCAAGTCCATGAAGTCACATTCTAGGTTTACATATGTTAGGACATCTCTGAAAGGGCACTTAAGGAGCTAGCAGGAGTGGTGGTCTCTCTGGCATGCACTAAGGGATGGAGCCTCAGGGTAGAAGGAGGATGATCCCCTGTACCCTTTGCAATTTGCACCATGTCAGAATATAAACTTGTTAATCAAAACAGAAACATAGCCCTAGCCTTACAGTGGAGTCCAGACGTGACAGCATATAAGATGCCAGAGGGCAGGGCTTCAGAGGCCATAGGGTCCAACTTTTCATCACAAAGGTGAAAAGACTGAGGTACCCATGATCTGCATTCCTTCAGAATGGAAAAACACATTACCTGGGAGGTAAACACACCCAGGCCCCACCACCCTCCCATCTAAGTGCAGATGAAGCTATCAGATAGCAGCTAAGGCCCCAGGAGATGTGCGCAGCAAAAGCAGGTTTTCTGGGAAGTCGGGGGTAGGGCTGCAGGTGACAGCAGTGGGGATAGGAGGCAACCACATAAGGTCCCGGTGGCACCCTGGGCAGACTGGAGGTGGGAGAAACAAGAGGCAACTACTGATAAAGTTCTCCTGCTTCAAAGTAGGCTCGGGATACAAGAGCTGGTTTCAAATCCAGTCGCTTCTCTTAAATGTCTACATCCATTCATTCACTCAATCAATTATTCATCCATCAATTTTGTGCACGAGTGATACATACTAGGATGTGGGCTGGGCGTGAAGAATATAATCAAAAACAGTCCTTGCAGAGCTCAGGAGTTACTACTATAGCACATACTGGCCCAGTGCAGATAAACTGTGGTGGTCTATTGAGATGACTATTGACAATCCCCTCTCTTCTTTTTAATGTTCTTTTGTAATTTAATGAAATGTGAATATAGCATGAAAGTGTACTTTCATCCTTTGTGCTCAACTGAAATATACCTTTTTAATCTTTTCTCAAAATTTATTGTGGTATAATTGAAATTCAATGAACTGCACACACTTAAAGTGTATGAATTAATCACTTTTGACATACATATACAGCTATAAAAGCATTACCACAATTAAGATAGAGAACATTTCCATCACCCCAGAATGTTTCCTCATGTCCTTGTGTAATTACTCCCTCCTTCCATCCTTATCCCCAGGCAACCGCTCTCCTCTAGAAACCCTTTTTGGAAATAAGGAAGACTTCTGACTGCTATCAGGCCAATCCCTGGAGGGCAGAGGTGAGGAAGGTAAAGAAGTATCAGGAAATGGGGATAAGTATGGAGATATCATAGGCCCAAGGCCTAAGGAGAACTGAAGGGCAAATAGCTTTAGCAACATATAGGCATTTAACCCTTGCAGCCAACGTAAGAGAAAGGTTCATTATCCTCCTTTTCATGAATGAGGAGACAGCCTCACAGAGGTTAAGGAGCTGGGTCAAGGTCACACAGGTAGCACGTGGCAAAACTGGAGTCCAAAGCTCACATTGCCCAGCTAAGTGCTTTCCCTCCGGGACTTGCTGAGGTCCCCACCTGCACCCCAGGGGTAGCCTGCCCAATGTGCACTGAGCCTAGCTGTGTCCAGTGGGATTCCCAGCACCTCTCCCCTCATCAAGAACACGGACTTCCCACCCACCCTCATACCCCAGCCCCATCTGATGCTGAGACCAAGGAGCCCCAGCCACGCAGGGAGACAGGCGCCTCCCCAGGGAACTCCCCAAGTTGCAACACTCCGGCACAGGACCCATGTTGGAACAGTTTAATGCCACCTAAAACCAAAACAACAGCAGGCACATGCATCCAACATTTACCTCCTGAAAAATTACCAAGTAATATGCAAATACTTTCTTCTTCCCCACACCTGCCTCATCATCACATGAAGATCAAGCAGGGGTTGGGTAAGTCAGGGTCAGGGCAGGGTTGAGGAAGAGGAAAGGGAGAGACCAGGTGGGGGTGACATGGCTTACAGAGATCCCTGGGAGATACTACTTAAAAAAGAAGTTTAAGTTACCAGTGGTTTTGCATCTGGGCAAAGTCATTTTGACACAACCACACCAAAATGGCTACATGTAAGCGGCTGAAATATTCCAGAGCCCTCTCTGAGCCTCAGCTTCCATAAGCAGTGTCGGGTAGAGGCTGCAAGAAGCATCTGGGAACGAAACATGTCACAGGCTTCAATTCCTCCAGAAGCTGAGAGACAGAGGCGGGGGACACATCCACTCGGTGGAACAGAAAACTGAAACGAAGAGACACGTCCTAAATTTTCAGTGACTGGCGTTAGAGTTACCAGACTTTCTGGGGTGGACACTTGATGGGTAAAATGATTCCTGACTCAGTTTCCTTCTCTGCGTAGTGGACACGATACCCCAGCTCCTAGGCTTTCAGGACTCGGTGGAACCAGGTGTGCCATTTGCCAGGCCTAGCACCAGCACAAGACCTTCAGCAGTAGCTCCCTCCTGCCCCACTGCCACTCCTGCCCACACCCCTGATATCCGGGCCATCAGACTGAGAGGTGCTCTCTGGATGCTGTGGGAAGTTAGCAGCAGCCTCACAATGCCCCTCCTGGGTCCATCTCCTTTATCCTGTGTATGGATTGGTTACAGTCATGGGGACAGGGTGGCCACTTGTTCTGCATTTGGATTCCTTGTTACTCTTTTCATCATTTGAATTGGGAAGCAAGGGGCTGTGGTTACAGAAGGACATCCCAACAGGATGCACTGTTGGTGTGTCTCCTGCCCTTACCCCCAACACCTTTCTGCACTCTCCCTTCCTCCCCCAGCTGGGCAAGAGCATTAAGGTGTGATCTGACTCACTAAGCTGCCTTCTCCCAAACAAAAGAGAGCCAGAGCTTTTCCCCAGCCCACTGGCAACGGTATGGCTCCTCTACCATCAACAAACCTAATCAAGAACTGACCATCAGGAGTTCGAGACCAGCTTGGCCAACCTGGTGAAACCTTGTCTCTACTAAAAACACAAAAAATTAGCTAGGTGTGGTGGCAGACACCTGTAATCCCAGCTACTCTGCAGGCTGAGGCAGGAGAATCGCTTGAACCCGGGAGGTGGAAGTTGCAGTGAGCCGAGATCGCGTCACTATACTCCAGCCTGGGCAACAAGCACAAAGCTCTGTCAGGAAGGAAGGAAGGGAGGGAGGGAAAAGAATTGACCATATACACATGAGCCTTGTGCAAGCGAGGAGGCTTCCAGCAAAGGAAGAGAGTGAGGGTGGGTGAGGCTTCAGGAAGGAGGCAAGTCTTAGGTAAGTCTTGGAAATGGAGGGCCAAAGGTTGATGGAAGCAAGAAGGCATTCTGACAAGTCCTACAGATGACATTTCATTCACCAGCTCTTTTGGTGTAACAAACGTCTATTGGGCACCTACCAGGTGCCAAGCACTGTGGGCCATGGGGATGTGAGAATGAACAGAACACGGTCCTTGCCCTCCAGAGGTTCGCCGGAAAAAGCACTGTGACTAACACATGTTGTGGCAAAGCAACAGTAGTCACCAGCACCAAAGGGGAGGCACCAAACAGTGCCTGGGGAGGCCAGGTGGGCATCAGTGGGAGGGCAGTGCCTACGAGGGGCTTGAGACATAGCGTAGCAGTCAGGCGCAGGTTCTAGCACTGGCTGCATGGGTTTGCACCCAGGCTCTGCCAGTTACTAATTCTATGAGCTTGGTCAACTTACCAACCTCTCTGTGCCTCAGTTTCCTCATTTATAAATGGTACCCACTTCAAGAGGTTGTTGAAAAGATTATATGAATACATGTAAATCACAGTTAGTACAGTGTCTGGCTACTGGGTCTGTAAATGTATTTAAGATTGTCTTTCATGCAATTTACCTAACAAATGTGCACATGTACCCTACACCTAAAAGTCAAAAGAATTTAAATTTAAATTTAAAAAAGATTATTGTCTTGATGGCAAAGCAGGCATCTAGCAGGTAAAGAAGGATACAGGAAAGGTGTAAAGCAGAAAGCAGGAACAGCACGAACAAAGGCAAGGAGACGGAAGCGTGGGCCGTGGTTTGGCATGGCTGCTACAGGGGAGTGTGTGGTGAGAATTAAGCCAGAAGGGTGAGCAAAGCCCAGGTCTCGCCAGGCTGCGCACACCTTGGAGGTTGTGGACTTGATTCTGGAGTTGATAGCGAGCTCCTCCGCCTTTTTGTAATGATCGGATTGGGCCGTTGTATTAGGATTGTATCAGATTTGGGGACTGCATCATGCAGCTGGCTCAGGAGCTAGGAACTCACTACTACAGAAAAGAGAGAAAGAGGCCCTAAACTAACACAGGGCCGCAGGAATGCAGAGGCAGCAAGGACTGCGGCCTAGAGATGACTAGATATGGGCACGGGCAGGACACAGGGTGGCCTGGGTGAACCACTGAGCCACAAACCAGGACCGGGGAGACTGCAGCATGAGCAGGTTTGGGGCTGGAGAAGAGAGACAATAAAATAATAGGTGCTAGGCCAAGATCTAGGAACTTTATATGAATTATTTCATTTAAATCCCACATGGGGGGACCTTTGAGAAGGGCACAGCTATTATCCATATCTATAGATGAGAAAACTGAAGCGTAGTGTGATTGAAAACCCTGTAAGAATCAGAGCTGTGATGTGGTTTTCAGAGCCTGCATCCTCATTTCTGGGCCCCACGCTGACTTGGAGACACCTGAGGGCAGAGGCTGGGCATCTGGGGCTGGGCAGAGGCTGGGCATCTGGGGCTAGGCAGAGAGGCCTGGGCTGGAAGCTCTCTGTCGAGCCACAGGAGAGATAAGACTGAGATTGGCAGGGAGTGTGAGAGAGTGAGGAAGAAGGCAAGGCCGGACCACGAAGAAAGGGGCTGTCACAGAGGGTGATGGGTAGGCAGAAGTCCAGCCAGCCAGGAACCCATCCCAACCCCGGGATCCAGCAGGAGCCTTCCTCAGCCCTCTCCCCAGCCCACAGGGAAGGAGTCCAGCCCTAAAACTTGGCCTTTTGCCTACCTGCCCTGCCCACAGAGCACACACAGGCGGCCTGGCCCTCCTCCCGCGCCTAGAGCTGGTTGCACAACCACCTGAGCTGGTGAGGCAAGGATAGCGTTCCCTTCCTCCCCAAGAGGAGTCCAGAGGCAAGGGTTAAAAGGATTAGGCTCAGCTTTGGGAAACAAAACCAACTCTAAGTGGAAAAACACCAGCCCTCGCTGGGCTATTGTGAGGCGCAGTCATGGTTCCCAGTCCATATGTGGACAGGGCCTAGGATCTGTTGACAAAAGTGACTCAGGCGTTTACCTCAGGCCCAACGCCCGCTGGCCCAGGTCCCGTCTGGGTGTGTCATTGGCTCAAGTGAGGTCCCATGAATACACACACACACACACACACACACACACACACACACACACACACTCTGGAGCCAACTCTCTGAGTTACCCAATCCCAGCCAATTCACCTGAAGCACCTGGCATTTCTTTCATCACCCAACAGGTCATTGTGCTGAGCTGTCAGTGCAGAGGAGGCTTAGCTGGCTCCATCATTCACATCACAAGCTTCATAAATTCCTGAGGAGAGTGCCAAAGGCCGAGATTGCTGCAGCACTTTCACTGGGGGAAGAGGAGAGGCTAAGCAGGCAGGTGGTCAGGGAGAGCCAACAGAGGGAGAAATTCCAGCCTCCGCTTACTCCCCCTCTGTCACTTGGTTCCACCACATGTAGCGGCAGTGTCTGGCCCCAGTGTGCTGAGAGAAAAAAGAGAAAACACACACAGAGAAGTGGGGATCACAGAACATGGAATGTGTGTCCTCAAGGGCCCTTCCAGACCTTTAATTAGTGTGGCTCTCTCATTTACAGATGAAGAAACCATTTGTCAGACATTCAGCGGGTGAAGGACAAACAAGAGACAGAATCCAGGGCCTTCAACGTCCTCTCAGTGCTCTTGCCCCTACATCACACAGACTCCAGACAAGCAGGACTGGAAGAGGCTAAGATGACCACGAGCCTGACCCCACACCTGCTACTGGAGAGACCCACAGCCTCCTCATCTGGGCTCTTCTGGCCACATGGCACAGCCTGGTGGGGTAGGTTTTACTCATTGTGGCATCTCTGGTACCTGGGGCACAGTAGGTTCTCAGAAAATGTTGCATGAGTTAATCTAATGGAATACCAGTTTATCCCATATGGAAGTATGCTAGCCGCTTTTTTGGAAGCCACGAGAAATTTAAAGCAGACTTTAAAAAAAAAAATCATGTATCACTTCGCTTCAGCCTGACAAGATTTTTTCTGGCTGGACAAGAATTCTTGACAAACCTGCATTTAGGCAGGTAAGTTCCCCTTGTGGCATACCTGAATTGCTCTCTCTCTCTCCCGCAAGCAGGTGCCCAGGAAGCAGGAGATGGAGGTAGGTGAGACAAGGCTTTCCCAGCTAGCCGTGGTGGTGGGAACACCATGATCAGCTTCCCCACGACATACCCAGCAAACAGGAATCTTAATGAAACTACCAGAGCTGCCCGAGGCACATGCCCTGCTCCTCTCATCTTTGGCACAGCTGAGCATGTGTTGGCCAATAGCCTATGCTGTACCCAGAACGGGTGCCCAGGATCAAGTGGAACCTTCCTGGTCAGCTGGGAAGACAAATGCTGAGAACGTTTCTTTACCAAACATTCCTGAGTACCTCTTCAGGGCCAGCCCTGATCCAGGCCCTGAGGATACAGATGTGAAGGTATATAGGCCTGCTTCTGCTCTCATGGGGCTCAGAACCCTTCTTACTGTTCCAGAAACACAAGGGCAGCTGTGTTGATGTAGCCACGCTGGCCCCATTAGATGAAGTTGGACAGAGGGATGGATGAATGAATGCACGTGGTGAAGAGGGGAGGTTCAGGGCCTTGCTGAAAAAGATGAATATTAAAAAGCAAGTTAAGAGATAACAATGCTTGAGAATCATCAGAGCAAACACTCGCTGAGCCTTTCCAGTGTGCCAGGCCCTGTGTGGAGTCCTTATATGTCTTTATTCACTTAATCCCTTACCTATGCTGAGGCCATTAACTGTTATCATCCCCATAAGAAAACTGAGCCCAGAGAGGTTGCTAAACTCACAGAAGTCACACAGCTGGGAAGTGGCAAGTGAGAACTGGAACCAGGCACCAGGGCCCTGGTGCTCAAATGACCAGCTGGCATGCTTCATAGCTCCCTTCAGAGGCTTCTAGCCGTGTTAAAGCTTTGAACTGAATGAATCAGGTGGGATCATACATGAGTTGACAAAAGGGTGGTAACACCAAGGGACCTCAGAGGGTGACGCTGCTTTGGCATTTCTTAGCAAATTTACCATGATCAGAGTCTGGCCTTAACTGACCAGGAAGAGGACTCCGTCATTCATGCAGAGATGAAAATACTTATTAGTAATCAACTGATGCTGATCCAATGCAGAAGAGAGCTATAAAATCCCATCTAAATGCATTCATTTACATTGGGTGAGGTATATGAGTAATAGTGACCAGAATGCTCACTGCTGTCAGGGGTCACCAACCCAGGAATGGGGCATGGCCACTGTGAGACAGGAGTGAAATCAGCACACAGGAAGCAGAGAGCACAGGAAAAACAGGTCTCTTGCTGAGGCAGTCTGCCCCAAAGGTATAGCACACCTCTCTGGTCATGGCCCACTAGACCTTTTGCTGGGCAGTGGGGAACCATCTAAGAACCAGACCAACCTAGGCCCTGCCTCACTGAGTGTATGGTCCTAAGAGAGAAGCCAGACACTAAACATGTCATTACGGGCGGGTGACAGTTACCCAAAGACACACTGAGGATGCTCTTGCAAAAGAAAACTGTATGACCCACATTCCCCAGAATCGAGTCTCCTCTTGCCTGGGTAGACCTGGGTAGACCTACAGGGAGCTCACCATCAGATTTGTTCCTCTGATCCCCACTTTCTTATATCCCATGATATAAGACAGATGACACACTCCTGGCTCTTAATGGACCTAAATGACCTCTCCTGTCTCAACCTGGGACATCCAAGTGAGCTCAGTTCTTTCCCTGTTTTTGTTCCAGGAGGACAAATTCATTATTTTGGGCCAATTCCAGCTCTGCTGAACCTGCGTCTGCTACTGGAGAGACCCCAGAGCACACTTCCCAACCTCCTTCTCAGGGCTCTCAGGCTGCACAGCTCTGCCTATGTCCTTGTTCCCCTCATTGCCAAGTTTCAGGGGAAACTGTCAGCCCCACATATCACCAGCTGCCAGTGTCTATCACAGAGAACTGCAAAGACACAGAGTGATCCAGCTTGTTGGAACCAGAGGGATGCTGGGAAATGATGTTGCTATACTGTGTAGACAGATGATTACACATGAGCACCCTGGACAACCCAGGAATGTCCTGGAAGCACCTGCTTCACACCCAGCCCTGGTAGACCAAGAAATCACACATTTGGGCAGCTAATTTCTCTAAGTTATTTTCTCTGCCAAGCACAGAAATGAACAGACCAAAAAGGGCAGGAACAAACAGAGCCAAGAGTTTATATGCTCCTGATTTAAGACACAAAAATAAGAGAAATAGTCCCACTGTGCAAATAACAAATAGACCAACCCTTACTCCCCAGCCAAATATTGGTATTTCCTTTAAATTTTTGACTAAAATATCTATGCTTGGGGTAGTGACAGACTTGTGGCTATTTGGCCAAAAGCTGTTCTAGGTCATAGGCAGCCATTAAAATTATGATTTTCAAACAAAAGTTACAGATTTAGATTGACTTTTGAGCCCAAAGTTATTTTGACGTTTCATAAAATAAATCATCAGATAAGCACATCACATTATGTTGACAACAGTGCCCAAAATGGTTTTACTATTTTTAGTATTTATATTTATCATTTTATTTTTATTGATTTATAATTGTATAATTTATAATTAAATAATATCTATATTTGGGATTTTTAAACAGCCAGTATAAATAGACAAGAATGGAACAGTTACAACCATGTATATGGCAGGCAATATGTAAGGCATCTTTTTTCCTGGAATGTGTGATTTTTCCCCTGAACGGTGATTAAATTCATCTCCCAAGAAGCTTTTGGTTTGAATCCAGGTAGACCAAGCAAAAAAAGAAGACAATACAGCATAGGACCCACAGTTTGAAACTTGTCAGCTAAACAATTCAGATCGTCTCTTTCTTCAGTCATGGTCACTGTGTGCTCAGTCAGCTCAGCCTGTAACTGATTCCTGTCCTGAATCAAATGCCAAGGACCCTGTTCTTAATACTCCTGCCCTGACTTCCCCCAAAGGTGTGACAATGGCAGTGTGAAGTAGGAAAAAGCTGTGCCTGGAGCCTGCCTGCACCTCTTGTAAAAAAACTGAACTGAGAAACGCCAGCTTGCAATTCAATGCACAAAAATTGACATCCATTTTAGAAGCAATGCTCAGTCAGCTAACTTGTTGGTATTTGAGGGGGTGGACAGCTGCCTTTTCCAAAAAGAACAACGCTGCATGGGACAGGATCCTACCTGTAGAGGTAATAAGGAAAAGGAGGCTGGGTGTAGTGACTCACACCTGTAATCCCAGCACTTTGGGGGGCCATGGCCAGAGGATCGCCTTGAGCTCAGGAGTTTGAGACCACCCTGGGCAACATACTGGGATCCTGTCTCTACTAAAAATAATTTTTTAAAAAACAGCCAGATATGGTGGTGTGCACCTGTAGTCCCAGCTACTCAGGAGGATGAGGTGGGAGGATTGCTTGAACCCAGGAGGTAGAAGCTACAGTGAGTTATGTTTGCACCACTGCACTCCAGCCTAGGTGACAGTAAAAACCTGTATCAAAAAGGAAAAATTAAAAAAAAAAAAAAAAAAAAAAAAAAAAAAAAGCAGAGTGACAGGATTCCAACATTCTGAGTAGCTCTTAAATGGCTTGGGGATAAGACATCTTCTCAAAGTGAAACTGTATTTACTAGCAAGAAAATAGGGACCAATTAAATTGGTCCAAGTACTGCATAATTTGGAGCAGTTGACCTTGATTTGTAAAACATGTTAATTGTTATCTGAGCTTTTAGGAGCTTAGCCCTAAAATCATACCTGAGGTAAGTGAACCCTAGAAACTATTGAATGACCACACATAGAGAGGTAGTAGAGCAGAGTGGTTAGGCCAGCCTCCAGAACAGTCAGTCAGGATTTGAATCGCAGCTCTATTCTCTACTAATTGTGCCACCCTGGGCACATCATCTACCTCTCTTTTTCTTTGTAAAATGAGCATAATAATGGTACCTACCACATAGCTGGTTTATGGATAGAAGAGAGATTCAAAGATCTGCAGAGGATCCCTGTGGGTTTTCAGCTGGGAACAATCAATGCATTCATGTGAGGAAGTTACCTGATGCTGAGGAAAGGACCACTCAA
The DNA here is from genome assembly GCF_000001405.40 of Homo sapiens. Lineage (NCBI taxonomy): Eukaryota > Metazoa > Chordata > Mammalia > Primates > Hominidae > Homo > Homo sapiens. Next base: position 46,414,332 of record NC_000002.12, read on the forward strand.
AAAGAAAAAGCAAATCACTGGAGCTCACTCAGCACCAGGAGCAGTTTATATTTCCAGCAGCCAGAATAGAAAACCTCATAATCCGTGATGTACCAGGTGAAGGACTCAGATATTGCCTCAGTAGTATAGAGAAATGTAACCCTAGACTAAAGATTATGATGGTCCCACCTAACTTAAAAGAAAGACTCAATAGTATCATACTTTTTCCAAAAAACTTAATTGCATCCCAGAACCAAATTTCAGAATATTTGGAGGAATACACAAATATCTAGAATCTGAAAAGGTAGAATGTATAATATTTGGCATTCAATTAAAAAAAAAAAAAAAACAGAGGCCAGGCCCTGTGGATCACTCCTACAAAACCCAGCACTTCAGGAGGTCAAGGCAGGAGAACTGCTTAAGCCTAGGCATTCGAGACCATGATGGGCAACACAGTGAGACCTCATCTCTACAAGAATAATTTTTTTTTTAATTAGCCAGGCACATTGGTCCATGCCTGCAGTTCCAGCTACTGGGGAGGTGGAGGGGAGGATTGTTTGAGCCCAGAAGGTCAAGGCTGCACTGAGCCAAGATCAAACCACTGCACTCCAGCCTGGGGAACAGCCCTGTCTCTGAACAAAACAAAAACAAGCAAACAAAAATGAAAGGAAACAGGAAATATGAAAGGAAACAGGAAAGGAAATAAAATAGTCATGAAGGGAAACAGGAAACATAAGGGAAAAAATTCAATCAATAGGAACATATGAAAATGGCACAAAAGATAAGATTAGCAGAAAAAGTCATCAAAATAATTAGTATAACTATATTCTATATGTCCAAGTAGGTAGAGGAAAATGCTAAATGATGAGTTAATGGGTGCAGCACGCCAACATGGCACATGTATATATATGCAACAAACCTGCACGTTGTGCACATGTACCCTAAAACTTAAAGTATAATAATAATAAAATAAAATAAAGTGAAAAAAAATCCCAAATCAAACCCTAAAAATAAAAACCTCTACATTTAAAACAAAATAAACACTGGATAGAATAAATAGACAGACACTACCAAGGAAAAGACTTGTGAGCTTGAAGACACAACAACAGAAAGTATCCAAAATGAAACATAAAGAAAAGACGCGGTGAGGACAGAACATCAGTGAACTAAGTGAACAAATTACATGTAATTAAAGGCAAGGGGAGAACAAAAATATTATTTAAGGAAATAATGGCCAAAACTTTCCAAAAATGATCCAAACTGTAAGTCCACAAAAAATCTCCACAAACCCCAAGCAAAAGAAACACCAAGGACATTACACTTCAGAATATCATAATTAAATTACTTAAAACCAACAATAAAAAGAAAATCTTAAAATCAGGCAGAGATAAAAGATATGCTATAACAGAATAACAAAGATAAGAATTACATCAGAATTTTCATTGGAAACAATGCCGGCTAGCAATTAATGGAGTAAAATCTTTAAAATTCTGGGGGCGGTGGGGGAGGAAGAAGCCTGTCAATCTAGCAATCCAGACCTAATGAAAATGTGTTTCAAAAACAAAGACAAAATAAAAACCTTAGAAATTCAAAAGCTGAAATTATTCTTCATCATCAGATCCATATTACAAAAACATATATTAAAGGAAATGTTTTTAGATGGAAGGAAAATATCAGATACATAAACAGAGAGCATTGGAAAGGATTAATAGTGAGAAAATATAAAATAATGTATTATGTTTAGAGTCTTGAAAACAAAATTGACTATTTAAAGCAAAAATAATAGCCAATAACTTATAATGGATATAAAACTAACATATATGACAAGAATAGCACAAAGGCCAGAAGAAGGGAAATACAAGTAAACTGTTGTAAGTTTTTAATTTAATACTATATATAAAGCAATAAAGTATTAATTGTAGACTCTAAGTTAATATGTACAATATAAAGCCTAAAACAACCGCTAAATAAAACAAATGGATAGAACTATAATCTAACAAAGAAAGTAAAACAGAATTAAAAATAGGCAATAAATCCAACAGAAGGCAAAAGAAAAGGAAAAGGGGAACAAAGAGCAAATGAAATGAAAACAAATGACAAGATGGCAGATTCAATCAAATCATATCATTAATATTAAATGTAAATGGTCTAAATACCTCCAGGTAAATGACAGAGAATGTCAGATTGGATTAAAAAAAAGCAAGGCCTAACTATCTTGCCTATCAGAAATTCTCTTTAAAAAGACAAAAACAGGTTAAAAGTAAAAGAACAGACATAACACTAACCAGAGCACACAGAGTAAAAGAACACATTTAACACTAACCAGAGCAAACCAGGAATAAACAGGGGCATAGGAAAGGTTAAATTCATCAAGAAGACACAGTCCTTAAATGTATATGGGCCTATGTGACATTATGAGATACAGATACAGGTGGCTTTTGTTCATGGCTCCTGGCTCATAACTGACATAGCCCTTCTTACAGTAAAAAGAATTTCTCTCTCTGATCTTCTCTTGCCCAAGGCAAAACTCTGAGTGTAGAACATAAAAGCCTCATTTCAGAAAGAAACCTGCCCCATATTTTGAAGGAAGGAATGCTGCACAGAGAGGCCAAGAAGAATCTGAACAGACAGGCTTCGCTGTATTTAGATCAAACACTTTTAGTCCACTCACTTTTGTACATGGTCATCAATCACGCCTATCCAATGAAATCTCCATAAAACGTCCAAAGGTTCATTCAGGGAGCTTCCAGACAGCTGAACATATGGAGTTTCCTGAGAGCTGGCATACCCAGGGAGGGCATGCAAGGTCCATGCCTCTTCCTATACCTTGCCCTGTGCATCTCTTCATCTGTATCCTTTGTAATATCCTTTATAATAAACTGGTAAACATGTTTCCCTGAGTTTCTGAGTCACTTAAGCAAATTAATCAAGCCCAAAGTGGGGGTCACGGAACTTGAAACCCAGCTTAAAGCTAGTTAGTCATAAGTTCCAGAGGCCATGACCTATGACTGGTGACTAAAGGGAGGGACAGTTTTGTGGAATGAGACCTCAACAAGGGGATCTGACACTATCTCTAAGTAAATAATGTCAGAATTGAATTACAGGATACCCAGTTGGCACCCACTACAGAACTGATTGCTTATTTGTTGGTGGGGAGAAATCCCAACACATTTTGGGGTCACAGAAGTCTTGTGTTGATATGACAGCAAAGGAAAAATGGTTTGAATTTTTCCTAACAGCCTAATAACAGAGTTTCAAAATACATAAAGCAAAAACTTATGAAATCACAAGAAGACCGTGAAATTTAGAAAATCCTCAAATATTCTGAGACACGAATTGCAGAAGAAATTTAAGAAGAGCAAATTAGAAAGTAATTTTTAACTGGAGGGAAATGAAAACACAACATATCAAAATTGTGAGACACAGTGAAAGCAATCCTTTAGGAATTCACAGTACTGACATCCTTTTATTAGAAAACAGAAAATGTCTCAATTCAGTGGTCTCAGCATCCATATTAAAGATTAGAAAAAGAACCCAGATGAACATATATGTAAAAATTCTCAACAAAGTATCAGCAAACTGCAATAGCACATTAAAAAGATCATTCACCGTGATCAACTGGGATTCATTCCTGGGATGCAAGGATGATTCAACATATGCAAGTCAATAAATGTGACACACCATATTAATGAAATGAAGGACAAAACCCATATAATCATCTCAATGGATGCAAAAAAATCATTTGACAAACTTCATCCTTTATTATAAAAACTCTCAACAAACTAGCTATAGAATGTACAAGTAATGTACCACAACATAATAAGGACCTTATATAACAAGCACACAGCTAACATCATACTCAACAGTGAAAAGTTGACAGCTTTTTCTCTATAATCAGGAACAAGAGAAAAATGTTCACCCTCACCACTTCTATTCAATATAGTAATAAAAGTCCTAACCAAAGCAATCAGGCAAGAAAAAGAAATAAAGGCATCCAAAAAGGAAAGGAAGAAGTGAAATTGCCGTATTGTTGATGACATGATCTCATATAAAGAAAACCCTAAGGATTTCACAAAAAAAAAAACTGTTAGAACTGATCAACAAATTCAGTAAAATTGCATGATACAAAATCAACATATGGGCATAAAAAGCCCAGGATGGGAGGAGCCAAGATGGCCGAATAGGAACAGCTCAGGTCTACAGCTCCCAGCTTGACCGACGCAGAAGACGGGTGATTTCTGCATTTCCATCTGAGGTACCGGGTTCATCTCACTAGGGGGTGCCAGACAGTGGGTGCAGGTCAGTGGGTGCAGCGCACTGTACGCGAGCCGAAGCAGGGCAAGGCATTGCCTCACGTGGGAAGCGCAAGGGGTCAGGGAGTTCCCTTTCCTAGTCAAAGAAAGGGGTGACAGACGGCACCTGGAAAATCGGGTCACTCCCACCAGAATACTGCACTTTTCCAACGGGCTTAAAAAACGCTGCACCAGGAGATTATATCCCGCACATGGCTCAGAGGGTCCTACGCCCACGGAGTCTCTCTGATTGCTAGCACAGCAATCTGAGACCAAACTGCAAGGCGGCAGCGAGGCTAGGCGAGGGGCGCCCGCCATTGCCCAGGCTTGCTTAGGTAAACAAAGCAGCCAGGTGGTTGCAGCTAGCCAAGATCGCGCCACTGGATTCCAGCCTGGGTGACAGAGTGAGACCCTGTCTCCAAGAAAAAGAAAAGGGAAAGCTCCATGACACTGGTCTGAGCAATGACTTCTTGGATAAGAACCCAAAAGCACAGGTAACAAAAGCAAAAGTACAAAAATGAGACTGCATCAAACATAAAAGCATCTATACAACAAAGGAAATAACTAGCACAGTCAAGAGACGACCCACAAATTGGGAGAAAACATATGCAAACCAAACAGTTGATAAGGAACTAACATCTAAAATATATAAAGGAACACAAACAACTCAACAGCAAGAAACAAATAACTCAGTTACAAAATGAACATAGAACCTAAATAGACATTTCTCAAAAGAGGACAAATGACCAACAGATATATGAAAAAATGTTCAATATCTTTAATCCTCAGGGAAATGTAAATTAAAAACACGATGAGCTCACACTTGTTAGAATGGCCATTATCAAAAAGATGAAAGACAAGTGTTGATGAGGACATAAGAAAAAAAAAAAGGAACCCTGGCCCGCTTTAGCGGGAATGTAAATTAGTACACCTATTTTGGAAAACAATATGAAGTTTCTTCAAAAAACTAAAAATAGAACTTTCCTATGATCTAGAAATCCCACTTCTGTATACCCAAAGTAATTAAAATCAGTAAGTCAAAGAGATATCTGCACTCCTATGTTCATTTCAGCAGTATTCACAGTAGCCAAGATATGTAATCAACCCAAGTATCTATGCAATGGATGAAGGGATGAACAAAATGTATATATAAATGATGGAATGCTATACAGCCTTAAAAAAAAAGGAAATTCTGTCATTTGGGACAACATGAGTAAACCTGGAAAGCATTATGACAAGTGAAGTAAGCCACGTCCAGAAAGACAAATACTGCAAGATCTCATTTATATGTGAAACCTAAAAATGTCAAACTTATAGAACCAGAGAGTACAATGGTAGTTACCAAAGGCACGAAATGGGGGGTGGGAGTTGAGGGGGGAAGGACAAGAGAGATGTTGGCCCAAAGGTAGAATGTTTTGGTTAGAGAGGAGACATAAATTTTAGTGGTCTATTGTACAGCACTGTGACCATAGTTAATAATAACATATATTTCAAAATTGCTAAAAGAGTAGATTTTAACATTGTCATAAAAAAATAGGTAAGGTGATGAATATGTTAATTAGCTTGATTTAATCTCTCTACAATGTATTTATATTTCTAAACATCACACTAAATCCCATAAATATATATAATTTATCAATTAAAATTTTTAAAAATTAGAAAAAGATGAGAAAATTAAACCAAAGTTAGTAAAATAATAGAAATAAGATATAAGCAGAAATCAACAAAATAAGAAAAAGGCACAGTGGCTCATGCCTATAATCCCAGAACTTTGAGAGGCCAAGGCAGGAGGGTTGCTTGAGCCCAGGAGTCTGAAACCAGCCTAGGCAACTAGTGAGAACTCACCTCTACAACAAGTCCAAAAATTAGTTGGGTGTGGTGGTGCATGCCTGTAGTCCCAGCTACTTGGTAGACTGAGGAGGGACGATCACTTGAGCCCAGGGGATTGAGACTACAGTGAGCTGTAATTGCACTACTGCACTGCAACCTGGACAACAGAGCAAGACCTTATCTTAAAAAAAAAAAGAAAGAAAAAAGAAAACAACAGAGAAAAATAAATAAAACGAAATCTGATTCTTAGATAAGATCAATACAATTAATAAATCTTTGGCCAGACTAATCAAGAATAAAAGAGAGAAGAATGAATTACCAATATCAGGAATGAGAGAGGTGACATTATTACATATTCTAGATATCAAGAAGATAATTAGTGAATACTATAAATAATTTTATGCCAGTAAGTTCAAAAACTTAGGTAAGATGGACAAGTTCCTTGAGAGACTCAAAATACCAGACCTCATTCAAGAAGAAAAAAATAACCTGAATAGTTGTATATCTTTTTAGAAAAACTCTAGTCTCCAATGGCTTCACTGATGAATTCTAGCAAACATTTAAGAAATAAACATCAGTTCTACATATACTCTTCCAAAAACTGAAGAGAAGGAAAATCTTCCCAATTCATTATTGCAATCTAGCATTCTCCTAATATCAAGAACAGGTAAAGTTATCCGAGTAAAAATAAATAAATAAATAAATAAATAAATAAATAAATAAATAAATCCAAAAAACAAAAAACAATATTCCTCATAAACATAGGTGCAAAAATCCTTTTTAAAAACTTTCATCAAATTGAATCTAATATTATATGTAACGGATAATAGATAATGACAAAGTGGTGTTTATCCCAAGAATGCAAGGTTGGTTACACACTTGAAAGTTAGTTATTTAATTCATTTTAATACATTAAAAAGGAAAATCCATACAATCATATCGAGACACAGAAAAAGCTTTTTATAAAATTAACCACCCACTTCTGATTTTCAAAAAACTCTCAGCAGACAGATAGAAGAAGAGAACTTCCTTAAACTGATAAACAGCATCTATAACAAATCTACAGTTACATCTTACTTAATGGCAAAAGACTGAATGCTTTTCCCAAGATTATGAATAATGCAAAGATGACTGTTCTTACCACTTCTAGTCAACGTGATACTGGGAGGTTTTAGCCACAGTAATAATGCAACAAAAAGAAATAAAAGGCATCCAAATGGGAAACTAAGAAGTAAACTGTCTTTACAAATGACATGAATATCATTCTAGAAAATCCTACAGAATCTACAAAAAAGCAAGTAGTACTAATAAGTAAATTTAGCAAGATTGTAGGATATAAAGTCACTATACAAAATAACTTCTACTTTAATATACTAGCCATAAACAATTATAAAGTTTAAAAAATATTGTACTTGGCTGGGCACAGTGGCTCATGCCTGTAATCCCACTACTTTGGGAGGCTGAGATGGTTGCATCAATTGAGCCCAGGAGTTCGAGACCAGCCTACGCAGCATAATGATAACCCATCTCTAAAAAAAATGTAAAAATTAGCTGGGCATGGTGGTACACATCTGTGGTCCCAGATACTCAGGAGGCTGAGATGGGAGGACCACTTGAACCCAGGAAGTTAAGGCTTCAGTTGGCCATGAGGTGCCACTGCACTCCAGCCTGGGTGACAGGGTAAGACCCTGTTTGCTTGTTTCTTTCTTTCTTTCCTTTCTCTCTCTCTCTACATATATATACACATATATATATGTGTGTGTGTGTGTGTACATATACATAGTATCAAAATATAAAATAGGAAGACATTTGGCAAAAGACATTCAGACCTATACACTGAAGACTAAACAACATGCTGACAAAATAATAATAAAACTTAAATAATCTGTTCATAAATCAGAAGGCTCAATATTGGTTAGATGCCAATTCTCCAAAACTGATCTATAGATTCAATGCAATCCCAATTAAAATTCCTGCTTGCTTTCTTGTAGAAATTGGTAAAGTGATTCTAAAATTCGAATAACACAAATTACCTTGAAAACTAGAAACAAAGTTGGAGCACTTATACAAACCAATTTCAAGACATTATTAAGCTACAATAAAGACATTGTAAAAAAAATAATAATATAGTGTAAGAATAGAAAAACAGATCAATCAAATAAAATAGAGTCCATAAATGGACATATACAGCTATGGTCAATTGATTTTTGACAAAAATGCAAAAGTAATTCAGTGACAAAAAGGGATTGTCTTTTCAACAAATGGTGCTGGAACAATTGGATATCCATATGCAGAAAATGTGAATCTCCATCCATACCTTGCACCACACCCACACACAATTTATTAAGGAACATATGGTAACTTCCATCACTTAGGATCTGGTTCTCAGCCCCGTCACAACACAATTCATAATCTAAATAATCCCATGAACAATGGCATTCAAACCCCCAGGGAATCTCTTCTACCCATCAGGCCAGAAAGATTTATGGGTTTTGCCACTGCCAAAACATCAGAAATGGACACTTCCTTAGAATGTGGAAAGGATTTAAGTGACAAAGCACTTAGGTAAAAGACAAGAGAAATTAACTTTCCAAATCCTAAGTCTCAGCATGAATTCAATAGATTCTTACATGAAAAAAAAAAAATTACCTCCCAGCAGTGTTTGGTATTCATTTCCTTGCTCCTTTTATGTTCCAATTAATGGCTCCAGAAGTACTCACAAATTACTGCCAATTTCACAATACTTGCTCATGATGGCTGAGGAGCATTTTGCAATATTAAACCATTCATATTACTCTTAAATTTGTATATATGTGGGTCTAGATGTAATATGCATGAAATGTAATTCTGATTCTTCATCTTGGCAACTAGATGGACACTGGATGCTAGAATCATCCAGGGGGTTTTGTCATGTTGTCCAGGCTGGTCTCAAACTCTTGGGCTAGGCCTTAGCCTCCCAAAGTGCTGGGATTATTGGCATGAGCCACTACACCCAGCATGTTTCAGATTTAAATTATTTTTACTTAGAATTTTGATAGTTCAATTATAGCTTGTATTTTACCTTTTATTTCAGTAAGTAATTTTGCACAGTTTAGAAAAACTACAATTTTTGCCGGGCATGCTGGCTTACGCCTGTAATCCCAGCACTTTGGGAGGCCGAGGCGGGCGTATTACGAGGTCAGGAGATCGAGACCATACTGGCTAACACGGTGAAACCCCATCTCTCCTAAAAATACAAAAAATTAGCCGGGCGTGGCGGCGGGCGCCTGTAGTCCCAGCTACTCCGGAGGCAGAGTCAGGAGAATGGCGTGAACCCAGGAGGCGGAGCTTGCAGTGAGCCAAGATCGCGCCACTGCACTCCAGCCTGGGCGACAGAGCGAGACGCCATCTCAAAATAAATAAATAAATAAATAAATAAATAAATAAATAAATAAATAAATAAATAAATAAATAGAAAAAATACAATTTTTGAAACACTCATGAAAGATAATTTTTAATTTTTTATATTAGCTAGAATCTTTAATGAAGATATATTCAAATTTCAGATACCTGAGCACATTAAAAACTTTTTTAAAATGCTTTAGCTGTTTGAGGTGTAAAAATAAAGATATACTAGAGATAAAAAATGGCAAGGTAGAACTCAGGAAAAAAAAAATTAGAGAAAAAAGTAACAGAAAAATATCCCAAGTGGTGATCTGTTAAGTTTTTAATACTGGAAACAATGAAAGTAAAAAGACCTCTGTCAAACATGACCCGAAATAGAATGTGAGAAAAATACATAATAAAAAATTAGCATAATTTTTTATCAAAATAAAAACAAGCAAGAAAATTATTTTTGTCAAATCTGCAATGCGAACAAGTCAGATGAAGCTCTTACGACTTCATACTAAAGTGACAATGAAAACAATTGATCTAATGCACAACTCAGGATTAAAAACTTACACTCTGGCCTTTCTATTACAAAAAGAAAATCATGTTTTAGAATTGGTATATTTCATGTAAAAGAAAGAAACCTCCATGGCTTTACTCTGCTTATTGGACAATGATTGTAGGAAACAGCAGTCACGTGTTTCTCACAGCAAGAGAATGTATCTCAAACACAGTCTGACATGAACTAATGTTTACAACTTCCCATTGGATGAACATGCAAGAATATTTAACACTTCATTCTACACCAAAACTATTTCAAATGGAGAAATGTAGACGAAGAATTTTGTAACTATTGCTATGTTTTATAATCAATATTCAAAATTAGCATTGACCATGAAAATAAAATACCTGTGACTGGAGAGACCTAGGTTCTTGGTTAATAGAAAACATTACTTGCACACAAAAGACACGCATGCAACTATTATACTAAAAGTTAAAAAAAAAAAGGCTGAATTAACAGCAAACCTGTGATAGTAATCAAGGTAAGTGAACACTGAAAACCCTGTCTCTATCAAAAACACAAAAATTAGCTGGGTGTGGTGGCAGGCCCCTGTAATCCCAGCTATTCAGGAGGCTGAGGCAGGAGAATCGCTTGAACCCAGGAGGTGGAGGGTGCAGTGAACCGAGACTGCGCCACTGCACTGCAGCCTGGGCAGCAAAGGGAGACTTCATCTCAAAAACAAAAACAAAAAAAAACAAACTTGTTTTGATCCTCTGAAAAGAATAAAATTATGTCTCATTATTTTAGCCAAGCAAGTTGAAGTTCTTCAGGGTACTAATTACGTAATATTTAAAAAAAAATAAAGACAAGGTATAGGTTTGGAGGAAATCATTTTGAAATGGTGCTAGAGTGGCAAGATATAGAAGTGAAACTTTTTTTTAGAAACTTTGGTTACCATGTAAGATGGAGAAATAAATGAGATAACGATTAAGTTAATAGGTAATAAAGTAATGAAATCATACATAAAATAAATGCATAAAATAAAAGTGAAAATTACTTCATTCAACTAGATTATAACAGGAACAAAAGTTACATTAACAATATCCTTAATTTGTACTGATGAACTACTAGAAGAGGGAAACCAGGAATTGATGAATTCTTCACCTGCTGTAAAAAGTACAAGTTTTGTCTTAAGCAAAAAACTACAGAAACTACTTTCAATGAAGGAATTGTTTTAAAAGACTGTCTAGAGTAAGCCTTTAATAAAGGTACTAATATGGTTGGTAAATTAAAAAACATTAATGAGCCAGAATTGTGGTCAAATATTTAAAAGCATTATTTGTGCTATACAGGACCACAGTTTGAATTTGTTCCTAGGAGAAGCAGGCTCATGTCAAAAGTGAGTGATATTCAAAAAATGTTCATATATAATTTATAGACTATATATGGAGTGTCTTGGTGAAACACATACAAAATTTGATCTCACAGATACCCTGAGATACATAATGGAAACACTGACTAAATGTTCTTAGAATAAGTAGATTTGATCGGACAAGATATGAAATGCACTAGATGAGCTAAGCAAAACAACAGACAATCCTCAAATAAAGTGCATTGTGGTCTGTGGTCTTTGATATTAAGAATTGATTCTTGGCTAGGCACAGTGGCTCACGCCTGTAATCCCAGCACTTTGGGAGGCCAAGGTGGGCAGATCACCTGAGGTCAGGAGTTCGAGACCAGCCTGGCCAACATGGTGAAACTGTCTCTCTAATAAAAATACAAACATTAGCCAGGCGTGGTAGCAGGTGCCTATAATCCCAGCTACTCGGGAGACTGAAGCAGGGTAATCACTTGAGCCGGGGAGGCGGAGGTTATGGTGAGCCGAGCCCATGCCACAGCACTCCAGCCTGGGCAACAAAGCGAGACTCTGTATTAAAAAAAGAAAAAAAGAAAAAAAGAATTGATTCTTAATACTAAAAATGATCTTTTTAATTTGCAAATCCAGTTTGGTATGAACTTTTGCTTACTATAATATTTTAAAACTCACCAAAAAATCCAAGCAGGTCTGTATTTGACTACTGTATTTTTTTTAAAGGATTACAAACTTAAAAAACAACTTTAGAAGAAATAATTTTTCAAAGTCCAAAAGAAAACACATGAGAAATATGCAATACAGTGACATTCCAATAAGATATGAGAAAATTAGAAAAAGAAAACAAAAACATTTGTATGAATATGAAGGAAAGGATTCACATACAAATAAGCCCCCGAATAATTTGTATAGTCTATTTTTTGACAATTATAGATCAAGGTACTGTCTTGATTGAAGGAGCTTTGAAAAAATTGTGGAATAAATTCTGCCTTCAGTTTTTATAATATCTAAGCATTGAAAAGTGTGAAAAAAGAACTTACTGTAGGGATCTAGATATTGCTTTAAATTGATGGTGATAAGCATTTTTTGATGAAGTCAAAATATTTTGTTGTATTTCAGCAGTAATAATTTGTCATGCAACCACATTACAATGTTTGTATTTACATGTAAAATTTTTGTTTCATTTCCTAATCAAAGTAATGCTTTAAGTATTTTATTGACAATTTCAGCAGCTACTGCCTCTGCAGAAAGAAGTTTTTCCAATTAAAATTAATTTTTAAAATAACCACAAAGACTAAGGAAAGGATGTCTAATTTGACATTACAGTCAATCAACAAAAATTTTGTGAAAAATTCAATTAAAATAATTTTTAATTTTATTTAAAATATAGACAAATAAAATTTTCACTGAAACATTATCATTCCATAAACAGAATAGACAGATATTCCCAATAAAAATAAAATTCAGTTATCTCCGATGTTTCATCAGCTTTAGCCATATATAAAACCACAGCTTTTAAATATCTTTCAATTTTGTAGTTATATAGCTTTGTCATGGTAGGATAAAGTCAACAGTTTCTTAATTTATGGCTTTAAATATATTTATATATTTAATATATAATTTATATAATATATAATATATATTATATAAATATAATATAAATATATATTATATATAATATATATAATATATAATATATATAATATATTATATATATTTATATTATATAAATATAATATAAATACATATATTATATATAATATATTTATATTATATATAATATAAATATATGTATTATATATAAATATATAATATATATAATATAAATATATATTTTTATATATATATTTATTTATATATATATTTTTTGAGACAAGTCTTGCTCTGTCACCCAGGCTGGAGTGCAGTGGCACCATCTCAGCTCACTGCAAGCTCCACCTCCCGGGTTAATGCCATTCTCCTGCCTCAGCCTCCCCAGTAGCTGGGACTACAGGCGCCCACCACCACACCCAGCTAATTTTTTTTTTTTTTGGTATTTTTAGTAGAGACAGGGTTTCACCGTGTTAGCCAGGATGGTCTCGATCTCCTGACCTCGTGATCCACCCGCCTCGGCCTCCCAAAGTGCTGGGATTACAGGCATAAGCCACCGCACCTGGCTGAATATATATTTTTTTATATATAGTATGATATATATGTACTCCATCAATACTCTTGCCCTAGACTCCACATATTTTAGGGCAAGCCTTTATACTAGAGAAGATAAATACAGTCAAAAGACAGTTGTTTAAAAAGACTAATAAAATTGATAAATCTTGATGAGAGTGTTCAAATAAAAAAGAAAGCTCAAATATCCATATTATGAATAAAAACAGGGGCATCACTATAGACCCAACAGACATTGATATCTCATGATATGTCATAATTATATCTCATAAGAGATATTCCGAATAACTTAAAACAAATAAATTTTAAAATTTGGATGAAATAGACAAATTTCTTGAAAAATAAAATTCACCAAAACTGCCAAAAGAAATAGCAAATCTAAACAGTATTATAATTTTAAAAAATTTAATATATAAACCTTCCCACAAAGAAATTCTTGGCCCAGATGCTTATAAGTAAACTTTACCCAAGATTTCATGAAGATATTTTGTCAGTCTTCCATAAACTTAGGTTTAATTAAGGTATTTTGTCAGTCTTACATAAACTTTCCATAAAACCAAAAGAGACGGCAAGCTTCAAAACTGATTTTATAAGACTGGTATTATCTTGATATCAAAACCTGACTAGTATATTTTAAGGAAGTAAAATTACAGACCAATCTTACTCAAGAACATAAATGAGAATTTCCTATACAAAGGAACGAATGAATGTGTACATTAATGAATGCATGGGTTTATTTCCTGGTTTTTCATAGACCTACAACAGAAATCCACTCAGCCTGACAAAGTAAGGATTTTAATACCAGTCTTGGCACATACCCTCAAGAACCCCTGGATGCTAAAATGGCTCAAAGAGCTAACAAAGTCTGGACAAACCAACATGCCTGGTTTAATTAGTCTGTAGGAAGTCCAGATATCGGTATTTCTTAAAAGCCTTCCAGAGTTCCGACAGAGATCACGGTGAGACTCTGAGCTCCGCGGCTAGCTCCCCTGGGGCCCTCCAAACCCTGGGCCAACGGGTGAGTTGGGGGAGCCCCAGGACAGACTGGGGCCTCCGCCCTGCAGATATCCCAGAGCCCTTGCTATGGCTCCCACCGGCCACACCCAGGCCTTGAAGGAGCATCGACCATATTCCTCAACCCACCTCGGTGACCTGATGGTGGCGGCAGCCTCTCCCAGCCGACCCCGCCGACCGCTGGATCTCCAGAGGACACCCCTGCCAAGCCACCCGGATGCAGAGCCTTTGAGTGGCAGCTGCCGTGGCCGGCCGGAAGCATGGCGGCGGCAGGGAGGCCCCTAGGGTGTGGCAGGGCGGGTCTACGGAGGCCTCTTTAGGCCACAGAGCAACGTAAAGCCTAGGCCTGCAGAGACTGCTCAGTCACAGTTGAAGGAGACCTACTGAGTCCTGAGGACAACCAACAAAGGCCTTAACGGCACAGAAGGTGAGCAAAGTCCTGGAGGAGGGTGAGCAGAAGGATCAGTGGCCATCGCGGGTTGGTGTTAGTTCTACCAGACCTCTATGTCGCAAGAGAAATGGTAGGATGACAGGCCACAGTTGGCCCGCTGGACATGCCCACCACCCTTTGGGAAGGTTTACTGGCCGTTTATAGAAAACCTGTGTGTATATAACATGAAAAAGTTGCTCTCAACTTCCCTCCAACCTTTTAAAAGAAAACATTTTCCACATCTAGGCTTTCTAGATGAGAAGAGGTTGCCGACGTATGACAGAGTTAGAAAATCACACATCTTGTAAATTCTCATTTGTTTAAAAAGAAATCATAGGCCGGGCGCGGTGGCTCATGCCTGTAATCCCAGCACTTTGGGAGGGCGAGGCGGGCGGATCACGAGGTCAGATCGAAACCAGCCTGACCAACGTGGTGAAACCCCGTCTCTACTAAAAATACAAAAATTAGCCGGGAGTGGTAGCGGGCATCTGTAATCCCACCTACTCGGGAGGCTGAGGCAGGAGAATCGCTTGAACCCAGGAGACAGAGGTAGAGGGTGCAAGTGAGCGGAGATTGCACCATTGCACTCCAGCCTGGGTGACAGAGCAAGAATCCGTCTCAAAAAAAAAATTATAAAAAATAAATGTCTTCTGGAGGTGACTTTGAAGTGGTTAGACCACCTCTGGAAGCGAAGCTTCCACGTTTGTTCAGTGAGTTAAAGGACATAGAAAACCTGAGAAGGAAGTTCTAGGCCAGTCTGGTCATATCTGAAGAGATTTTCATGTTCTAATCTAACCTTTGTTTTGTGTACATTTTATTAATGCTCACCACTGTACATAGAGTTGACTAACGTAAAACAATCCCTTCATAAATGTCCTTTTGTTTGTTTATAGGAAGTCCTGTCTTCTGGGATTGAGTTTGGTAATCCACCCCTTGGAGCTAAACACAGTAGTATCCTTAGTCGTTGGGATGGTGGGAGAGGGAGAAGAGGAAGGATGAAGGAAAGGGCTCTTTGCTAGTATCTCCATATCTAGAAGATGGTTTAAACTCATACCCATAGCTCTATATGAGCATTTTCAGTAAAGTGCCTGTGTTTGTTGTGGACAAGTTTTATTATTTTGCAACATCTGAGCTTTATGAAAGTCCTGGAGTGACAATGTATGATAAAAAGTAGAGCTAGTGAATTAGGCAATTTATTAATATTTTTTGTTATAACTGATAGAAAAGATGCATCTTGAACATGGAATTGTTAAGCCACGTCTGAGCAGTGTATGTCAGGACTTGTTCATTAGGTTGGCAGCAGAAGGGCAGAATGAAGTATAAAGGGAGAGATGTATGCAAATGTGTCTATGTTTACATTTTGATACTAGTCATTGATATATGTGCAACTCTTTTGGCTGTACTATAGGAATACAGTAAGTAATTTGAAGGAAACATACCTTCTTGCTAATATTTTAATGGTATAGATATGAGAAATTATCTTAGAAACATTATACATAGTGTATTCTGCTGCTTTATGTTTCATTTTAAATTGAGCATTAAGAAAACGCAGTATTTTAATCAGAACTCTGCTAATGCTTTTATGTAGAGGCATGTTGTCATTTGGGTCTTCTATGAAATTTTTGTCCTAAGAAAGGGAGGATTACATTTTTTCTAACAGATGAAGTTGCTGTAATGTGTTGCTGAGTATCAGAATACTCACATAGCTTTAAGATTTTGAATTGGTAAATATTCATGATGTGTGAAAAGGCATGATACATAACATATGATCTCAAGTCCATCAAGTTGGATGTTGTATCTACACAAACAGGACTTAGAAGGACATGTGAAACTAAATTGCTTGTGATTGTGGATGGCTTTGTTCTTTGCTTCTAGTGGTTTTCAGTTTCCTGTAATGCACACATTAGCTTTTAAAAAGTGAAGGTTATTTTTTAAAACCTGTAAAAAAAAAAAATTCCAGGTGACGCTACATCATAAGGTTGAGAGCCACTGGGGTAAGTTGCTGACTCTGGTATGTAGTTAGTATTTATTCTAAGTGCAATGGGAAGGCATTATAGGGGTCAAGGAGAGGCATGACATGATCTAATTTACTGTTTAAGGCTGAGGCTTTGTGGAGAGTGGACTATGGAGGGTGACAGCAGAAGCAAGGTACTGGTTAGGAGCTGACTGGGGAGAGTAAAGGGAATCAGGATATATGTCAGGCATAGGGCTGTCCAGTCATGCTGACAACAGAGGTCCTGGGAGTGAAGGACAGAGAAGAATCCCTAGAATCTGGGAATCTTTAACAGTACCAGGCATGGAGCTCCTGTAATTTCATGTGTCAGACAGTAATCTCTGCTACCCCTTCCTCTGGCAACCCCCACAGCCTCCAGCAGGGCAGGCACCTGGTAGAGGCATATACAGATGGCTAGAATGAAACAAACTCTCTGGCGCAATAAACCTCCAGGCTCTGTGGAAGCCCACGTCTCCTGTGTGACTCTGATAAATACCTTCCCCTCTCCGGCCTTTGTAAAACAGAAATTATATTTTCCACTGCCTGCCTTACAGACAGAGGTATTTTGAATATCCAGGACAGCAGTGCATAATGACAGTTAATAACAGTTTTTTTTTAAGCACAACCACCTTGCAAGGTAGAGATCGTTCAAACACTCTTACAAACATCAGAGCTGAGAGATAAAGTAACTACCTGAGGCCAACGTGCTATCAGTGCTTATGTGGCTTTTTGATCCAGGCCAGTTTGACTTCAAATTCTAGATTCCTTTCACCACATGATGCTGAAATTACAACATATTAGATGATGCACTGGCAAGATGGCAGGGAAACTATTACATTCTTTCATTGTTCCTCACACTAAGATGGGTGGGATTCTTTTGAAAAGCAAATTAGTAATGAGTGTCAAAATCCACAAAAGTGTTTCTACCCCTTGACCATATTGAATTTATTCTCAAGAGAACAATTTTGAATTATAAAAAGGTGTATACCTAGAACTTTTAGTTCTGCATCATTTGTAACAGCAATAAATTCGAAGTAACTTAAATAGGGGACTTGTTAAAAAAAAAAAACTATGGTGTCAAATCAAAGGAGTACTATACAGTAATGGTTCTCCGTGAAGGATGATTTTGCCCCCCAAGAGACATTCAACAATGTCTGAAGACATTTTTGGTTGTCCCAACCTGGGGGGAGGGTGAGTTCTATTGGCACTTGATGAGGAGTGACCAAGGATACTGCAGTGTATAGGACAGCCTCCCAAAATGTCAATAATGCTGAGGTTGAAAAAACCCTATTATACAGAAATTAAATATGATGAATGGAGATTTTATGATTTAATAGAGAAAAAGTAGAGTTCCAAATTTGGGGCACACCATGATTACAACCATGGAAGACCTTATCTTGCATATGAAGAAACAGCAGATGAAAACACAGGAAACTGCAAAAAAATACATTGATGGAAGTAGAGATAAATCTTATTCTTTGAAAAGTTTTATTTAATGATGTTATTTTTTACACTAAGCAAAATTTGGTAAAAAAATTGAAATACAACTTGCTATAGATATCCGTTGTCATTGTTGTTATCCAGATCAAACACTGTACACAGCACATTTTTGTGCTCAATTGATTCTCTGGAAGGAAAGAAGGAATTTTGTTTGTTTTGCAAAAGTTATGTGAACATATCCAAATCAAAAGTGGTATTTTTAGAAAGCCATGCAACTGTCATATCCATTAAGTTGATCAAGACTCCTCCTGATGCAAGGAACACAAATCAAACTGGAACTAGCTGAGACAAGAAAAGACATATTGGTTCATGTGACTGGGGGAAAATGTCTGGCATCAAGTCATGTGGACCCGAGAGCGGAAACAGTGCTATCTGCTGCTTGGTATGCTCTATGCCTTTGCTGTCTTTCACTCTCAGACTACCCACTACATTCATTCTCCGAGTGTGGCCCTCATCCTCTATTGCATACTGCTTTCTCACTGGGAACAGAGGCGACACAAATGTTTTGATGGAGCACATGCTCCAGTAAATTCCTGGGAAAGGATACATGGGAGGTAAAATTCCGAGACCTTGCATTTCTAGAATTTGTCAGCCTCCCAAAGTGCTGGAATTAAAGGTGTGAGCCACTGCCCAGAAGTTTATGATATAACTCTCTTCATCTCATAGTTAATAAATAATCTGCTAAGACCTACTGAGGACGTTTTTTCTTAGGATCACAGTGGAAAACTGTAAGAACGGTACTGGGAGGGAGCACTGTCTTGAGAAGAGAAATGCTGGTGGGACCTGGGCATTTGCAGTCAGCAAGAAAAGCTGAAAGAAATACAAACATTCATTCAAAAGCTGCCTAAATTATCTAAGTTTCCATTTCCTCATTATAAAATAGGGCTCAAATGGGACTAGAATAGAGGTAAAATGTGTCATAAAATTTCTGTACCTGGAACTGAACATTCATTGCCTCATGTAATGCACCAAGCAGAGCCAGGCACCTAGAAGTCATCTGTAGTAAATGTTTCCATTGTCCCAACTCTTGGCTCCCTTTCTTGAGAGATGATTGCAAGACACTCATGGCCATGTGACTTGAGTACCTTCCTGTAATTAGGGTATGCTTCCCTGCCCATGTCAAGCTCAGCCACTAGACTCAATGGAGCCAATACGATGTGAATGGAAATGACAGAGAAAAGCATGAGGGACAATGCAAGTTTTTTCCAGTTCTCTTACACTTTCCCTTGGTCATCACTTGTCTTGAATCTGGGCTTCTCCTTCAGCTGGGTCCCAGATGAGAAGACATGGAGCAGGGCCCCAGCTAATCTAGCGTATTCGTGAAACAGAAACAAATCTATGTTTTGTGAGCCACTGAAGTATGAGGGTTACTTGTCAGCACGCAAAGCTGATTAATACTGAGTCCCACATACAGCTAATAAGGAAAAGCAGGAGGAATAGGAAGATGACAGTGTAGAACAACAGGAGGAGGGGGCAAGAAAGATGGAAAGGTGGAAGATGATGGAGAAGAGGAAGAGAAGGAGACTTTTAGTAACTCTTGTTGCTTAGAATCATGTTAATGTCTGTGAGAAATAAAAGACTAAGGTTAGGATATATATGCTCCCGTTTAGAAGATTAAAATCTAGTTGGAGAGGAACCACAGACAAATAAAATGTCCTAGTCACAGGGACAGCAGAATTTAAGGGCTAAGCATGCTCCAGACCAAAGGCTGCAGAAATTCTAGCTGTAGAGGGTAACTGTTGGAGGAGTAGAGAGAACTGAAAGGATTTGAACTGAGCGTTGAAGGACGTGTATACCACTTGAATGTTCAAAAAGAGGGGAGGTCACTATATGCTGAGCAAAGAGCACAGAGTGCGGGGGAGTGGGGGAAGCCAAGGGTAGAGGCCACAGCCAAAGAAGACCTTCTTGGCTTGAGGAAGCCATGACTTCTCCTGTAAGTCATCCCAAGAACCTCTACCTCTTCATCAGGAATGTGTCAAGACCGAGGGCCCACCTGTCTTTTTGGTGGATGAAATGAAGTTAATCAATTGGAGACCTGCACATGTGAGCCGAGCCAGAGATGCATGAGACTGCCATGCAAGGGGAGAGGGGTGCTCAGAGCAGCTGCTGGTTCCCCCAGAGGTACAGCTAACTGGGCTGTGGAGTCTTGACAGAGGGTGTGTTTGGCTTTCTGACCCCAATCACCCACAAAGTCTGACTGGATTTCTGGAGAGTTAGCGCAGACTTTCCATTTCTGGAACACCTCCGTAATTTCCTAAAAAAAACAAACTTCGTGGTTTGAGCATATTGCATGTGACCAGTAAGGGTTAGAAGAGGGTTTTGCAGAGCTGAGATGCAAACAGATGCTGATCTTTGTTCTCTCAGGCAAATACTCCCCTCTTTGCTCTCTCCTCTGGAATTTCCCACATACTGTGCTGACCTTCACCAAGGGATAGTAGGCTCTTAAAAATTCTGACTTGCCCTAACTTGTTCATGAAGGAATTCATGGCAGCTGCAGATCTCCATGCAGTTCAATTATAGTTTTGTTTCAATGAGAAAGTTGGGCCAAAGGAAAAATAAAGTGGGCAAAAGAGATAAACAAGGAGTAAGACACAATACTAAAGAGAGAGAGGACCACAAATTTTACAGTGTGCTTCCTGTGGCAAATCCACAGAGGGTAATATTGATTACAAGTTTTCTGGTTTCTAAAAGATAACAACAGATGCCAGGTGAAGCCCAAGTTGTCCTGGTACTGAAACCAGGGAGAATTTTCCCCCACCCCAATGTAGTAGGTTGGAATGACTTCCACCTTCCATAAAGACCCACAATGAATACAATAGCAGGTTTCAGTTCCTCAATGTAGACTAACAACACACATCAAAGTTCCATTAATCAAATGAATTATTTGAAAGACCTAGGCAATTCAGTCCAGTCTGCAACCATCTGATGGTACCTCTTGACCCAAGAATAGCATGTAGAATATGGAAAAAGAAATGAATGGTTTATCCTTCAAGCAATCTTCTATGAACATTATTTCTTTAAAAAAATGAGCTTCTGATAAGAATAGAGCTGCAGAGTTTGAAGTTACACTATCAGGCAAAAACTTGAGATTCACACAATGTATTGCTCTTGTCAAAGGAAGACTGGATATGCTTTGGCCATAAGCCAAGTGGAGGGTGGGGGCTAACGTCCTCTTTAGTCAGTTTAAGGAGTCTAATCAGGATTGGAGCCAGCATGAAAATTCACTGAACCTCCACCAAAAAAGTGGGCCAACAAGAGCAGCGATGATTCCCACAGGAACTAGTTCTGCATCTATTCAAACCTGTGGCAAATTTCCAAACATTGTATGTCATAGAGATAACCCTCTAGCATGTTAGCCTAGAAAATGTTCAAAGCAGCTATTACCAATTGCCCACTAAGACCACAAAACATTTAATAAAGCATCTAGGACATTCGAATCCTAATACCAGTTCACAGCTAAAAAATATTGCGTGGCCTAACCAAAATGAGCTACACATGATTAACTTCATAAAATGAGAGTGCTATTGTTAGAAGGAAGGGGGGAGACTGTGCCAATGTTTTTTAAAGGTTTGGATATCACTATGAATTGTTATCATTGAAAATAGTTACCCGTCCCCACAAAGTCTTCTAATGATGTGAAAAGAAAGTTCTAAGGAATTCTCATTTGTTTTTTCCCTTCTTGCCCCACTGTCTACAGCTCACTCAGCTCACCCATTAAACCCTGCGGGTCTGTTTCACTTTTTCCTTCCCACACAAACATTACAGTAACAGTCTGGCCTTCCCAAACCACCACTGGAAACTTCAACTGAACTGATCATATATCAGTCAACTCTAGGAGACCAGCTCTGATTCCAAGAAACTGTGACATTGCCTCCATTGGAAGTTACAACCTTCACCTGCCAACCTGGACTCATCCCATAGGCAAGTGAAGGAACGTTTCTCCTCATATTCATCTCTAGCAACAAATTTGGGACATAATTCAAATTAGCCTTAAGTTCCTTAAGTGGGAAGGATTAGTCTTATAAATTAGTTTATAAATTCCCCCATGACATGTAATAGAGTACTGCATACACTATAGGAGCTTAACAATAATTGCTACCATTTGTCAAACACTTTCTTAATTCCAGGAGCTGTACTTGAAGCTCTACATAATTATTTCATGCATACATTTTGTCATTCATTCTAACTCTCCTAGAAAGGTATTATCCCCATTTTTAAGATGGAGAAATGGAGGCTTTGGCAAATGCATAGACTCATCTAAGACAATACAGCTAGTAAGTAGCAGAGTAAACTTTGATCCC
Source organism: Homo sapiens (assembly GCF_000001405.40). Taxonomy (NCBI): domain Eukaryota; kingdom Metazoa; phylum Chordata; class Mammalia; order Primates; family Hominidae; genus Homo; species Homo sapiens. Next base: position 46,437,077 of record NC_000002.12, read on the forward strand.
AAGACTGACCAGTGCCAAAGCCTAAATTCTTCCTACTCTATAGGCTGTCTCCCTATAAACATTTCATTCCTCCAGTGACCACTGTATCAATGATGGAAATCCTAGGTGGGCCAAGTTTGGCTCAATATATCACATAAACTACCTAACAAAGTCCAGCAACAGTATGGATCTTGAAGTAGTGAGTATCATCACAGAAACGTCTTTCTGTCTGAGATATTGTAGAGAGGACCACTACCCTGATTGAAAAACTGGACTAGATGATCTCAATATCTAAAATGAAAAAGCAAAGACTGGAGTCATATTCTGATCAACAAGGCCAAAGTTAAATTCCAGGTTCCTTTCATTTCAGAAAATGCACATTAAGTGCCTCATATATGAGATACTGTATTTCGGAAGACAGAGACAAAAGAAGAGACACAGTTACCAGTATGGGAGAATTATTATTATTTAAGCTAGATATTGAAGAGAAATAAGATTTTAGAAAATTGGGGTAGAAAAAAATTGAAAGTTATACCTAGTAGCAGATGAAGGGAATAGGGGTATTCAAACACAGGAAAGTGAGAAACTATAGAAAAAGTTTAGAGAAATAAAGGTACTTCACAGAATGTAGTGGAAGGGAAGCACTGAAAGGTACATTGAAACCAGGCTATGGAGGGCTTTGAATGACTAAAAAATCTGGATTTTATTTGATTGCATTTGGAAACCATTGATACTTTAGAACAAGAGAGTGATTTGTTCATGGCTGTGGCTTAAGTAGATCAATCTGAATCCTCAATAAAATATTAACAAATAGAATCCAACAATGTATAAAAAGAATTATACACCATAACCAAGTAGAATTTATCCCAGGTATGCAAGACTGGTTCAACATTTGAAAAACCAATGTAATCCAAGGCATCAATAAGCGAAAGAAAAAAAGTCATATGATGATATCAATTGATAAAAAAAAAGCAGTTGACAAAATCCAACACCCATTTATGATAAAACTCTCAGCAAATTAGAAATAGAGGGAAACATCAACTTCATTAAGAACATCTGCAAAGAACCTGCAGCTAATATCATATTTAATAGTGAGAAACTGGATGTTTTCTCCTAAGATCAGGAATAAGGCAAGGATGTTCAATCTCATCACTGTTTTTCAACATCATACTGGAAGTCCTAGCTACTGCAATAAGATAAGGAAATAAAGGGTATACAAACAGGAAGGGAAGACATGAAACCACTTTATTCACAGATGGAATGTAAATAGATCAATATGGCACCAAGTATAGGACAGAGTGTGTGGAACTAATTATTCCTTAAGCTCATGCTCGAGTAGAGACCTGCCAGAGCCCACATTAAAAAAAATGAAAAACAAACCAACAAGTAAACAAAGCCAAACTCCCAACTTAAATAGCAACCTTGAGCTGAGTTGATGTGGATGCTGAGGCACCTGGGTAGAATGTACAGAATTGTGCTAGATGTCAGCTATCTATCTGTTGTGCTTAGGCCAATTTGATTGCACTCTCCCCACTCCTCAGCCACCCCAAACATTGATTTCTCTTCTGGGTATACGAGGGACATGACACGATAGCTGAAGTTGTGTACTAGTAAGCTGCTTTGTAATGGCAATGTATTGATTTTATCTTCTTCCTTATCTTCTGGAAGGCTCAGCCCAAGCAACTAAGATAACACTAGAAACAAAAATGGCCATAATACAATCTGACATTTCCATATTTCCTTGATGGTTTCCAAGTGAATATGCCCTTCTATAGCCTTCAAACTAAAGCAGAAAGTTTCAGAGCAATTCAATCGATGAGAATGTAGTTGAGTGACAATAATATGTAAAACCCAATAGAGAGTAAAAGGAAGTTTAGACAAGTGTAGTGTGGTGAAAGAGAAAAAGCAGAAGATTTATAGTCAGTTGAACCAACCTGAGTTTTGAGTCTTGCATCATTACCTTCAGTTGTGTGACAAGCAAGTTTCTTTATCTCTGAGCTCTCAGCTTTCTTACTTTTGCAACGAGAATGATAATACTAACCTGAATGCTGTGAGGATGAAATGAGAAAATGCACATGAACTTGGTTGGCTGCAAATGGCTAAAGAGATGTTCAGTTTGTTTATCCAATTGGTTAAGGCCAGTTGGCAAAGTCTACACATGAGAGCATTAAATATCCAAAGTAGATGAAGAGTACAGGAAGTATAAAGAGCAGAGGAAGAAGTCTGCGGGCTGGAATGAACAACAAAGGCATCCCAAAAGATGTGAGACTCCAGCCAAATCTTAAAGGATTCAGAGTAGAATTCAGAAAGAGGAGGCAGGGAAGAAAGAGAGTCACTGTCATAAAGGAGGCACTCAAAAATAGTTATGGAATGAGTGGGTGAATGAAAACATACAGAAACAAAAGAACAAATTAGAATATCTAAGAAATAGTCTACAAGCAGTATGTAGACCAGAGTCTAAAATTAAAGATAGTCCTTGATGCTGCAGAAATTTTGTTTAAATGCGTTTTCTATGAGTGCCCATATGAACACTAAGGTATTTTCTAAGGATGGGCATTTCTGTTCCAGTAATCTTAGATCACAGGTCTGTAGAAATCACACTGTGGCTGGTCTGACCCCCGTACTGTACTGTGCTATCTCTCTGACCTATCTGTGACCTGCACATTTTGGTGAATACATTTCCTGTAGCCCCAGTGGGACAAGATAGCTCTTGCACCTGCTGACATATTTAGACACGTATTATCTTAACAGCCAGTGTTCTTTCTTGATAACCACCATATCACCTAGATTGTTAAAGTCAGCTTCCTTCACAAACCACAGTGTAAAAGATTCTCATGGGGAAAAAAAAAAGGTGCCAAGGTATCTTATGACTTTGGTGCTTGTATTTTCAAAAGAAAGCTTTCAGGTAAGAATAGTAAAAGGGACTTAGGAGTAGGGGTCTCAGGGGAAATGCAGAGGGAGAGACTGAGAGCAGGCAGAAGAGGGGAGCAGCAGAAATTGATGGAAACAACCATACAGATTTGGACTCTGACTTAGGACCTGTCATTAAATCTTTCTGTGATCTTGGGCAGGTTGTGACATCAGAAAGTTGATAGACGTGATCGCTAAGAATCTTGCCGAATATTCTAGGACTACAAGTAAAAGAGACCCTATTTTCTGTGCTGGGAAAAGGCAAGTCAAGCCCAACTCTTCTTTTCTGGAGCTCTATTATCCTCCTTCCACCCCACCCCAATAACCCAGAGAAGTAACTGGCCCCATCATTCAGAAGGCAATGGATAAAGTTGGGTTGAATCAGTAGGTCTATTTTTTTTTCCAGTTATTTTCACTCTCCCAAGCTTAAGTGGAATTTCTCATCAAGTTCTAACCCCAGAAACATCATTATGAGTAGCACACTTTAAGCCAGACATTGACAAACCAGACTTTGTCCAGAGAAGACTAGCCAGAATGGCAAGGGTTTGAGAATTTTGTCTAATGAAAAATAAGTTAGAAAATAAGATGTTCAGGCTGGACAGGAACAGGCTTGGGAGAAGCCCAGCCTCAGCCATAAGCAGCTGAAGGATGGATAGAGAAAAATCAGTATGTTTGGTGTTACTCCACAGGCAGAAGGAGAGCCACCAGAGGAAGCTCCAGAACGGCAGATAACATTGCCACTAGAAAAACTTGCCCGCAATTAGAGCAACCAATGTAGCTCCTGGGGGCAGTGACCTCCCTGTCTCAGGAAAGGTTCTAGCTCAACAGGCTCTATGCCCATCTGCCAAGAGACCTCAGAAAGTATACAGTCAGCAGGATAAGGGGTCGAAGTATCCTTTCCAAGGCTAAGATTCTAGGATTCCACCTCAGAGTGGACTGTGAAGCTTGGCAAATGTTGGTCACTTTACTTTCTAGCTGTTTTGTTTGTTGCAACTTGCCTAAGTTGTTGTAAACCGAATCCCGTGATGTATGACTGTATGTTACTGCTTTTCCATGGGTCTTCAAGGGAGCAGGGACACCAAAACCTTTGGTTTAAAGTCCCCCTGGTTTCTGTCTTCTCTCCCAAGCAGAAGTCCCACCAGTGTGATCAGGAATAAAACACTTCAGGTGCAACGTGATCATTATTCAAAGGTTCTGTGAAGCCAATTACCCCCTTTGCAAAGTGAAAAGTGCAACTTTGGATTTTTCTGATCAGAGTAATATAGAGAGGAGCCCACCCTTTTCTTACTATACAGAGAAGAGTAAAACACAGTCACCTTTACACAGCATCTGAGTGGACCTAACACAGGGCAGTGAAAGTGATGCAGAACAAACTTCAAAGCCTCCAGGAGCACACGTGACCTCAGGTGAGACATCCAGGAGGTGGGGAACAACTGACAGTGGCCCCTGTTTTGATGGTTTCAAGTTTCTCTGCCCACTTTCTGAGTCCCTTAAATCCTGGCTTTCCTTCCTTAAATTGTTCCCTAATTTGCACCCAAAACATTTCTCTTCAAGAAATCATTAAATTTAACATGAAAATACTGTTTCTAATAGGAAATGAACAGAAACAACCTAGCTCTCCAAAGAGGAGTATTTCATTCAACTCCGAACTGCTCACACATTATGCAACTGTGAACAAGGCTCATTTAAAAATCCATGAAGCTTCTAATGTTTTCACCACAAAATATATTAAGTATTGAGGTGCTGGATATGTTGACTAGTTTGATTTAATTATTCCACATTATATGCATAAATAGTAACATCACCTTGTTCCCCATAAAATTATACAATTATAAATTGTCAATTTGCAATTAAAACAATAAAATCCAGCCAGACGTTGTGGCTCACATTTCTAATCCTAGCATTTTGGGAGGCCGAGGTGGGAGGATTGCTTGAGCCCAGACATTTGAGACCAGCCTGGCAACACAGCGAGACTCCATCTCTACAAAAAAAAAAAAAAAATTAGCCAGGCCTGGTGGCATGCACCTGTAGTCCTAGCTACTCGAGAGGCTGAGGTAGGAGAAGCACATGAGCTTAGGAGGTCAAGGCTACAGTGAGCTGAGATTGCGCCACTACACTCCAGCCTGGGTGACAGAGCAAGACTCTGTCTCAAATAAATAAGTAGATAATCAATCAATCCATGAAGCCACTATATAAAAATGCCAAGGTGAAAATGGAAAGGCAACTATGCATATTGTAGGGTCATGACCCCATGAGATATGCGTGCATGTGTACAAATACATAAAAGGAAAAAATTTTAAAGACCAATAGTTAAAACCATATTAGGGGAAACTTATTTGAAGGTCACCCTCTTCCCTTTCTCCCCATAGACATCTATTCTAAATTTCCATTAAATTCTTAAAATTGTTTGCATAGCAAGTAATCATTTAAACAAATATTTGATTATTTCAGCATTATTTTTTTTTTTTTTTTTTGCCAGCATTACCTTTTAGAGGCTGGTTTCCTTCCCCCAGAACACGCTCATGTGTAAACTGGGGATGGTTTGGCTCATCTGATTTTTATTTGAAGTTGCCATAGCCTGTTCACTCTGAAGGTTATATGCATGGGAGAAACTTCATAACAAAATGGCAGTCAGCCTACTGCTTCATTTTCTTAGCCAAGAAAGGATCTAAACCCTTCACACAACAGGAAGGGGCATGCCAGCCCAGGTACTTAAACCAATATTAGCATTCACCAAAAAGTACTGGGGCACCGTAGCCCCCTTTCATAGTGCTGTGAGCTTAGGCTTCCTTTGGGATATAGCTAGTGCTCTGTTTCTTACTCAGACCTTCACATCCGGCAGACCCTGTACCCCAGTTCTGCCCCTGGAATGGGATTCCCAATTGCCTTGTGCCCAGCTGAGTTCCAGCTAGAGAGTCAAGTTCCCTAGACCCCATCCCTGTCTTCTGGTGTCCACGATTCTGACAAGCAGGCACATGGCCATAGGCGGCCTTCAACACAGCACCCCCTCCCCCAGTGTTCCTAAGTTATTGTCACCCTAATTTACCCCACAATCTGACCGTTGGAGGGATCCCTAACACCTTTAAGGAAACCTAAAGAACTTTTACCAGTGACCTCAATATTGTAGATCAAGGCCAGGGCATACCTCCCTTTCTCCCGTCTCCCTGGAGAAAACAGTGCCTAGAAATACACGTGCAGGGGCCCCAGGCTGTGCACATCCCCCACAGGGCCCGATACCACCTGTTTGGTGTTCCCAAAAGCTTTTTCCAGATGGAGCCACGCAGGCGTTTCTAGTCCCTTAAATCCTAAACCTTAAACACTAACTTTAATTCAACTGGGTTTATACATCATATCAATTTTACTGGAGTTGTTGAACATTTCATTACATGGAAAAAACCACCCTGTGTTGGCCTAATAGACTATCCAGACTAATACTGGCCCTCTGATACCTGTCCCAGCTCTACTCAGCTTAAGATTGGTCCTTCCCCAAACTCCCGCCAACACTGGTTCTGCCTCTGCACATGTCTGCTTCCTGTGGGTCACACTCTGAGCGACAGCCCTAAGTCTCTGATTTGTCTCTAATTAGCCCTGCTGTCTCCCCTTTACTAAACTGAAAGCTCCTTCTAGGGGGGCCTGGGTCAAGGACCAGAGAAACTGGCACTGGATAGGGGCACATAGCAGGTGCTCACTAGGGACTTGCGGAATGAAACTGGAACAGAGACATTACCAAACACCCTGAAAGCCCTGAATAGTCTAATAGGAATGTCATCCCTGACCTCATATGTAACACCCAATTCAAGTAATTTGTCATATAGTGTCTCCCAGTTATTAGCTTCTGCAATGTGGCTGGTAGGCATAGTCCCCTTTGCCAGATCATCTATGCATATCTGAAGTATAGTACAAGTCCCCTAACCACAGAGGAATGTTGAAAGTTGAAAATATTATGTAGCACATGTTGGCTCTGCCTCTGCCCTCCCTGCCTTCTGGGTACCTACAGCTCCTGGGCACCTACTGCCAGTTGAGCCCACATAATCCTGGAGGCACACACTTCCTGAAGGCCACTCTCATGTCTCCCCAGCTCACCCCAGTGTCTCCAGGTCTCCTGCTGCTTTAACAGCCAATGTCCCCTTGAGTCTCCTTTTGGGCCTCTTCCTCCAACCATGGCCATGTTTTCCTGTTTACATAATTATGAGCAAAAGAGGTAAGAACTCATCCCAGCCTCCCTCCACATTCCAACCAATGACCATGTAAAACTGAGGAGACCCTTAAGTTGATTTTCCCCTAATTAAAATGGGACAGACTAAGATGTCCTAAATTCAAGTTGTTCAGGATTCTGGGGGAAACTGCCCCATGCGCATTACACTAGAGGCTCATCCCTGAGCTCTGAACCCCTTCCTGGGTGCCGAAGTGGGAATGGAGACCCAGGGAAGTGTGGGGCCTCCAAGTCACTGAGGTGACTCTGGCTCCACCCTTGTCATGTGCCTTGAAGGGCCCCCCACAACGTGGGCACTCACAGCAGCGCACACTCATCTTTGCAAATATCTGGGAAGCATGTATTTTTAAACAAAGGAAATCCAGAGAGTAAGGCTTGAATATCTCCAGATGGACACTCATTCCTTGGAAACCTCCTCTCTGCAGCTCAGCTTGAAAAGTCAGACTTTTCCCCTCAACAACTTAGCATTCATGAAAAGAAATTTTGTTCAGAAACTTGAAAGCTATTTCAATTGCAGAAAAATATGTCCAAAGTTTTCTGCATGTGAATACACATACATGAAGGTACACACTCATTTTAAAAACTGGGGGAAAAGGCAGCCCAAAGAAAATCTGCATATTGTTAAAAATGTAAATCAAGGCCATCATGATGGCTCATGACTGTAATTCCAGCACTTTGGAAGGCCAAGGTGGAAGGATTGCTCGAGGCCAGAAGTTCAAGGTCAGCCTGGGCAACACAGCAAGACTCTATCCCTACAAAAAAAGACAAAACTTCACCAGGCATGGTGGCATGTGCCAGTAGTCCCAGTTATGTGGGAGGATCGCTTGTGCCCAGGAGTTCCTGGCTACAGTGAGTTATGATTGTGCCATTGCACTCAAGCCTGGGTGACAGAGCAAGACCTTATCTATTAAAGAAAAAATGTAATTCCAATTTCTTCAGGCACATGTAAATTCAGTCTACTTAATATTCAGTAGTATGTATCTTTCAACAAGTTTGTCCATTATTCTAAATTGCCAAATTTACTGACGTAAATTTGTTCATAATATCCCTTATTATCCCCTTAATAGTGATATCACCTCTCTCATACCTGATTCTGGTTATGTTTTAAGTTTGGCAAGAGGTTTATCATCTTTCTTGACCTTCTCTCATAACCAGCTTTTGATTTTTTCTATTTATTGGTTCTATGTATTTTTTTTCCACAGATTTTCACTCTTATCTTTATAATTTCCATTCTTCTCACATTTTTGGATTTTATTTGCTCTTTTTATTCTGCTTTTTTAAGGTGAAAGCTGAAGTCATGACTGGAGATCTTTTCTAATATTGGTATCTTTCATGCTATAAATTTCCCCCTAAGTACAGCTTTAGCTGCAAAGCACTGTGAAATCCTATATTATCATTTTCTGTTTTAAGTACTTTCTAATATGTTTTTTCTTTGACCTATGTATTATTTAAAAGTGTATTACACAGTTTCCAAATATTTGAAGATTTTCCAGATCTCTTTATGGATTTTTAACTTAATTCCATTGTGGTCAGAGAACATACTTTGTAGGACTTGAATCCACCTAAATATATTGAGACTTGTTTTATGGCCTGGAATGTGTTCTGTCTTCATAAATTTTCTACATGAACTTGACAAAAATGTGCATTCAGCTGTTGTTGGGTGGAATGACCTAAAAAGTATCAGTTTGGTCAAGTTGGTTTATACTGTTGTCCAAGTCTTCTATATTCTTACTGGTTTTCTATTTGTTTGGATTTTTCTATTCCTCCTTGAAGTGCTATCAATTTTTGTCTCATATATTTTGAAGTGCTGTTATTAGACACATAGATGTTTAGGAATGTTGTCTTCTTGAAGAATTCACCCCACTACTATGAAATGACTCTATCTCCAGTAATATTCATTATTCTGAAATCTGTGTTTGACAATATTGGTACTAACGTTGGTATAATTTTTCATCCCTTTAAATCCATTCATATCTTTATATTTAAAATATTTATATCAGTCTTTAAATATGCAGATTAAATCTTCGTGGTTAAAATGGGTTTCTTGTGGGCAGTATGCAGTTAGTTGGGTTTTGCATTTTTATCCAATGTGACAATATCTGTCTTTTTATTTGGGAGCTTACACCATTTCCACTTACTGTGATTATTGATATGATCGAGTTTAAAGCTATGATTGTGATATTTGTTTTCTATTCATCCTATCTGTTTTCTTTTTCTGTCTTCTTTTGGATTGAGTATTTATGTTATCTCCTTTTATGGCTTATTAGCTAGACTCCATAGTGGTTAGAGTTTATAGTATGTATGAAATAAAAAGAAATATGTACATATTAGTGTCTGACCCTGGTTTCTGATGTGGGAACTCCTAAAACCCTTGTAATGTCCTAAGCAATAGCAGTGCTAGGAGCATCTTTTGTTCTAATATTTGCTCTTTGACCCAGGTTCCTGACACAGAAATCCTAAATCCCTTGGAATTTCCTGGGCAATAGGGGTATCTTTTGTTCTAATGAGGTGACCCTTGGTGGGCTCCTGGATGGGGGTTGGTCACCAGAAAGCCCACACCAAGATTAGAAACCTGGAACTTTCAGCCCCATCCCCCATCCTCAGGGAGGGGAGAAGAGTTGAAGATTGAGTGAATAATTAATCATGCCTATGTGATGAAGCCTCCATATAAAGTACAGGTTTTGGAGAGTTCTGGAATAGTGAACATATCCACTTGCTGGAAGAGTGGCACACCCCACCCCAACAGAGACGGAAACTCCTTCACTTGGGACCCTTCCAGATCTTGCCTTATGTATCTCTTCATCTGGCTGTTCTTCTGTATCTGTTGCAATGCCCTTTGTATACATTTGTAAATGTGTTTTCCTGAGTTCTGTGAGTCATCCCAGCAAATGATAAAACCTGAGGAGGGGATCATGGGAATATCCCTTCTGTCTGTAGCCAAGCCAGACAGAAGTTGTGAGTAACTTGGGACCCACTACTTGTGATGGGCATCTGAAGTCAGAGGCAGCATTGTGGGATTGAGCCCTTAACCTGTGGAATCTGTGCTAACTCTAGGTAGATACTGTCATAATTTAATTGAATTATAAGACAGCCAGTTGGTGTCCAAGGGGAATTGGAGAAATGCCTGGTGTGGCACGTGATTAAAATGGGTTTCTTGTGGGCAGAAACCCATACACATGCACATCTGGTGTCAGAAGTGTTATGACTATACAGAAGGAAACATGTTTTTACTATGCAGTATGCTTCTTCACTTTCAAGGGTTATTATACTACTTCACATACAGTAAAAGAACCCTACAACAGCATATTTATATTTCTTCTCTCCTGTCCTTTGTGCTATTGACATACATTTCACTTCTGCGGATGTTATAAAACACACTATACTTTATTTTTGCTTTAAAAGTCTACTGCCTTTTAAAGAAATCTAAATAAGAAAGAAAAAGTCTATACATTTACCCACGTAGTTACTATTTCTGCCACTCTTTATTCCTTTCTGTAGATCCAGGATTACTCTGGTATCATTTACTTCCTGCTTGAAGAATTTCCTTTAACATTTCTTACAGTGCAGGTATGTTGTGATGATTTTTTTCATCTTTTTGAGGTCTGATAATATCTTTATTTTGCAAGTGTTTTTGAAGAATATTGTTACTGGGTAAAGAGTTCTAGGTCAGCATTTTTTTTCATTACTTTAAAGATATTGCTCCACTGTCTTCTCATTTACGTTGTTTTCAATGAGCATTCTGTTATTATCTTGACCTTTTTTTCCCTGGTTGCCCAGTTGATTTTCTCTTTATCAGGAGTGTTAAGTAATGTTATGATAATGCACCTTGGTTAGTTTTGTGTTTGTTGTACTTGGGTTCATTGGGTTTCGGTGGATTTATAGTTTTTATCAAATTTGGAAACTTTTTAGTTATAATGTCTTTTATTTTTTATGTTCCTCCCTCTCTCCTCTCCTTTGGGATACCAAAAGCATGTATAATTGATCACTTGAAGTTGTCTCAAGTTCACTGGTGCTCTGTTCATTTTTTCTGTTTCTTTCTTTTTTAAGAGACAGGGTCTCACCACGTTGCCCAGGCTGGAATGTAGTGGTTATTCACAGGTGCGGTCCCACTACTCATCAGTATAGGAGTTTTGACCTTCCCCATTTCCAACCTGGGCCACCTCACCCCTTCTTAGGCAAACTAATGGTCCCCCATCTTCTGGGAGGTTACCGTATCAATGCCATTCTTAGTGCAGACACCGAGTCGGCATAATACAGCCCAGAACTGCTGGGCTCAAGTGATCCTCCTACCTCAGCCTCCCTAGTAGCTAGGACTACAGGTACTATGCCCGGCTCTCTGTTTCATTTTAAATTGTTGCTATTACTGTGCCTCAGAAGTTCATTAATCTTTTCTGGTTCAATTTATAACTTGCCAATATTTCCATCTAGTTTTTTTTTTTGTTTCAGACATTATAGTTTTTACTTCTATCAGTTCAACTTAGGTCTTCCATTTCTCTACTTATTATGCTCAATCTTTCCTCTAGCCTTTTGAATATGTAGGATATAGTTACAATAATTGTTTTAACCTTTGTCTTCTAATCTTATTATCTCTGTCATTTCTTGGTTGGTTTCAATTGACTGACCTTTCTCCTCATTTGGGTTGTGTTTTTGTTTCTTTACATGCCTTGGAATTTTGGTTGGATGCCAGACATTGTGAATTTTATCTTGTTGAGTGCTGAATATTTTTATATTTCTATAAGTATTCTTAAGCTTTTTTTTCTTCTTTTTTTGAATACCATTATTTGGAAACCCTGATTCTTCTAGATCTTGCTTTTATACACAAGAGCAGCATTTACTCTAGGGTTCATTTTCCCCATTAGCAAGGAAAGACCCTTCTCAGTCTACCCAATACTTTGCATGTTTTGAGGACTTCCAGGCTGGTATTGGAAATGAGCACTTTGCTCACCTCTGTGTGATCTTGGGCCATGGTTCCCTCTTGTCCTTTCAGGTGCCCCAGGTAGTAGTTTCTCACGTGCATGCACTGAGCAGTACTCAACAGAACACTTGAGGATGACCCTCTGTTAATATTTAGAGTTCTTTCTGTATAGCTGTCTCCTTTTCCTTTCTCCATTCTGCAAAGACTAGCCATCTTAGCTTCCCCAGATTCCTAGCTCCACCTGCTTCACTCAGGCAGACTTTTGGGCAGTTCCTGAGTTCCCCCTTCCTAATCCACAGCCTGAAATTTCTCTCCAGACAGTAAAGTATGGAAACTGTAGGACTCATCTTGCTTTTTTTGTCTTTTAGGGATTACTGTCCTTTGTTGCCTCATACCCAAAGTCTTGAGAGCCATTGTTTCATACACTTTGTCTGGTTTTTTGTGTGTGTGTTGTTGTTGTTGTTGTTTCAGGTAAGAGGATCAATCAATTCAGTCCCTGTTATTTCATATTGAGCAGAAGTGGAAGTCAGGACTGTTGATGTCATTTTAACATCTGTGACAATGGTAGCCATACCAGAGTGAAAAATATAGAGGAGAAATAAAACAAGATTTTATTTGCTCCTTAATCAGATGATAAAATTGATTTGTAAGGGTATAAAGAGCCAGGAGCAAAATACATGTAAATATTAATACCTTAAAAAGTCAAAGAAATAGAAATTTTAACTGAAAGAGTAGCAGAGTTTGTTGTAATATTGGTGAGGTAATAGACAGTTATCAAAAATTAGGCAATGTGTAACCTGATACTGAATATAGAAGAATGGGCTTACAGTGCCCATTTGGAGGTCAGAGACCTGAGCCTGCTGCAGTGTCATGGGCAAGACTCAAGCTTTGTGCCCTGGCCAGGATCTTCTCTGGTTAATAAATTCAGAACATATTTGTCAAAAGCCCCAAGTCACTCAAGTTGAGTTGAAACAGTTGTTTTCTTATTGAATAAGTCCCTTTCTAATCCTAAGAGATTTACATTTAAGTATAGGAATGATTAAATAAATCTATCTAAAAGTAACATGTTAAATTTTAAGAATACATATAAATTTAATATTTGAACCCATATCATGTTTAAGAGAATTTTCAAATTACAGTATCAAACAAATTAGACTTATGATTCTAATCTAGGATTCCTATTACTTTTAGTCTTATAATTTTAAATTAAAAATTACAATAGGCTTTAAGTTTACAAAGAATACTGAAAGTTGGCCAAGTGCAGTGTCTCAAACCTTTAATCCCAGCACTTTGGGAGTCCGAGGCAAGAGGATTGCTTGAGCCCAGCAGTTCAAGACCAGCTTGGCAACATCACAAAACCACGTCTCTAAAAAAACATTTTTTAAAAAAATTAGCTGAGCATGGTCCCGGCTACTCAGGAGGCTGAGGTGGGAAGACCACTTGAGCCCAGGAGGTTGAAGCTACAATGAACTGTGATCGCACCACTATACTCCAGCCTGGGTGGCAGGGCAAGACCCTTTTTCAAAACGAAAGAAGAAGAACAACAAAAGAATACTGAAAGTTACTATATATGTATATGTGTATATATATATATATATACACACACACACACACACATATACACACACATATATATACACACATACATATATACACAAATATGTTTCATATATTTTTGAAAATTATGAAGTAGTTTAGAAGATAATGTTGATTAATTACATAGTTGGAACCCTTTAAAAAAATAAAAACAGAATACATGGAATTTCAAAGGCAGTTTGGACATTTTAGGGGCCCCTTTAACACGATTCTAAATATTTGCTAGATCAAAAAATAGAGTGAAATCTGCAGGTTAAACTTAAAAGCTTAAGCCAGATGCAGTGGTGTGCACCTGTAGTCCAGCTCCCTGCCCCTCTAGCTACTTGGGAGGCTGAGGTGGGAGGATTGCCTGAGCACAGGAGTTGGAGGCCAGCATGGGCAACATAGTGAAACCCCCATCTCTAAAAATATATATTAATAAATAATTTTTAAAGGATGTGTAATTTTTGAAAAGCTTAAGGGAAAATCAGTTTTCAATTTAAAACATTCACATAAAATTTAAAATAAAAGTAGAACCTGAATAGTCTTTTATATGTCAGTGCTCCCCTGCTTTCCTCAGAATACCAAAAACTGCTTATTGACAGAAAGAGTCCCAGGCCTCTAAGCACAATGTGGAAACGATTGCTCTAAGCTGTGGTCAGTCACCGAAAGGTAACTCTGAACCAGGCACTGTCGTTTACAGATTTGCTGACTGAATTGTCACAATAGCTATCTGCTGCAGGGATTATTTTTAGTCCTAGTTTTACCAGTGAAGCAACTAAGGCTCCCAGCCAGGACATGGCAGAGCTGGAGTTTACGAAGTCCATGCTCTTAGTCACTATGACACGTGCAGTGTAATCCCTCTGCATTTCGTTTTTTTCACTTTGTTTTCAAAGAGTATTACAGCAACAACGTAGAGGATGGATTGATGAGAAGATAGAGCCAGGAGGCCAGGTGGGAACGGCGGCCCTGTCCATGTGATGTAAGAAGGGCATGGCCTATGACTATTGCTGGAGTTGGAGAAAGAGGACAGGCCTGAGAAGAAAGTTGGGAGAGGGCTATTTGGGAGGTGGCCATTAGACTAGCTGAGACAGAACGGTGACTCTAGGTTACTCCAGGGAGTTGGGTGGGGGCCCAGCAGAGGACAGTGGGGGCTTAGGTGGAGAGAAGGGGAAAGTTTAGGAGGGCGGTGGGGGTTGAATCTGAGTGCCTGCAGGAGCAGTCAGGGAGCAGCTAGACATGGGAGTCTGAAGGTTAGGACAAAGATAGGTTTTCAAAAACTGGAGAGGCAAAATATGTATTGGCACTCATAGCACTATGAAAAGAATGCTGTTAATCCAATTCAAGCCATAACTAGTTTTTGGCTAAAGGTAAGATTTGGTTTTGGATTTGTTTGTTAATTTTTACATATCTAAGTCTCTAAGGGCTAACATGGAATCAATGTGTGAACTAAAGCTGCCTTTTACAACCACTCCAAAGAGAAAACACCAGAAGCAACTACTGTGTATACAACTATATCCAAAAAGCAGCAAGGCCTCATTACTCAGGGGACAGAAACAGAGCATTCCCCAGACCAACTGTGGGCAATGCCTATGCTATGTGCAAGAGGAGACTGAAGAGAGACCTAGTACCTGCCTTCAAGGGGCTACCAACATCCCTTTTTTCCTGGCATTCAGGTATCTGCCATCCACAAACAGGCTAAGTAGGTCAGTCCAATCTGTACTAATGAGTTCTGAAATATCTTCCATAATTTAGGATCTGGTCTTGCCTTGAAGTTGCCAGGTTCTAGAAACTTTGTTATTTCTACTTTTGTTCACTTGGATCATCAAAGGGATAGAACACATAATCATTTTTTCCATTGTATTAGCAGGACACATCCCAGTTGCTGAGAAGTAGTAATTGAGTTTATCAAATACAATTACCTCCACTCAGCCCACCTCCTCCTCAGTTTGCCTTTCTCAATCAGGGAGAACTAACTCTACCTCTCACAAAGGACCCTTGCATATTTGAATGGCTTCCCAGGAGTCTTTGAGTGGCATATAATTACACTTAATTTAATTTTTTTGTCATTAGTCCCAGAGGCTTTGATCCAAGGTCTCTGTTATTCTGATATAAGGAAAATAAAGCTCCACCTAAAATTAAATATTTGCCTTTGCATTTGGTTTGCTGTTCATTGTACAAGTAATCTTCTGTTAGAATCTTTGGTTTCCAGCGGCCATTTCTGGGCTTGGCATCTTCTCCAGTTTCTTGTGTTTCCCCATCAGTTGTCAGGTCACCAGAAGCCTGAGCAAACTCAGGTTTTGTGAAAACTTCTAGATCAAGGTCTCAGGAGGTGACAAAGAAGGGACTCTTAGATCTCTCTTGTTTTCCATGTGAGGCCAGAAATCCTCAGACCTTGAGCATTGGGAATGGGATGCTTCTGTTGAAGATGCAAATTGATAGAGAAAAAATAAAGCTCTTGCCCATTTGGTTTCAGGCAATGTACCCAAAGTAAATCACAATCTGGCCCACCCTCCATTTGTAAACCAATGTTTATAAGTATTTACAGCGTGAGAGCATAGTGTACCTGTCCTGAAGGACCTAACGGTATTATGCAAGAAAGAAACTTGTAAAAAAAAAAGTCAGTAGTAGTAGGAGTTCAAATAGAATACAGGCTGTCAGAGATGCAAAAAAATACACAGAGGGACTTCAGAAAGAGAAACAAACTTACCAGGCCATTTCTCTTCAGCTTTTGGACAAAACCCCTCTTTCCTTGGTGGCAAAGCCAAGCATCACATTGTCCACAACTCCTCATTGTTACTTTTCTTTAGGGACTGCCTAGACTTTCCACACTTAGATTGAGGGGTTTATTATCCAGACCAACTGACTTCCTTTTCACCCTAATTCCTGGCACCATCTTGGGAGAATTGTTTACCATGTAAATGATACTGAACATCCTAGTCTTCAGGTTCTTAACATTCTCAACTCCAGTGACTCCCCTCTTTCTATACTGGGCTGCCCATCCTCCTGGTCATACCTTCTATCTCAACACCAACAAGAACTACCTCATCATTCAAGTCTTCATCTCAATTGCACACCAGATCAGAACCTCTCATCCCTCCAGCTCTCACTCAGATCCTCCCACTACAATTACTCTCTGCCCTCACACAACTTGACCTCTGAGCTCCTGACTCTACCTGGCTCTCCATATCTACCTGCACCTCCTGACTTCACTTCCGCATCCAGCCAAGACCCTACCAGGTTCCACTTCAATTGCTCTATTGTCAACCACCTCGGCACAGTCATCTTCTTGTCTTTCTATCACATCTACCCCCAGTAAACTCCGAATCCTGGAATGATCTAAATATCCTCCCTCTAGACAAGGGCTACTTTTTGAGCTGCTGGAGAAAATCTCACCACGGGGAAGAATGATGTCCCACAAAATTTATGGCATCAGCTGTACCATCAACATTCCTGGCTGCTCCTCAATGGTCTCCTCAAGGACTCTCCTAAACATGTATGTTTTTCCTCAAGTTCCCAACCCAATTTCCCTTTTCTCTCTTAGTTGTCCCTAATTCTTACTTTACAGAAACGTAAATAAAAATCTCCCAACTCCCTGCCCCTCCGTCACCACCCCCTAGAAATCTTAACTCTGTATGTCCTTCACCGTACCCCTCCTCAGAGGAAAGGACATCTGGATGTTCAGATGTATCTGTTGTCACTGACTCCTCAGGGACCTGGCTCCCTCAGGAACAAGTTCTCTTCAATGACTGTCAACCTCTGGATTCCCACTGGATTCTTCACTTCTTCCTGTAAACAAGCTCATGGCTCTTCTTTCTTTAAAAATTCTGGTCAGGCACAGTAGCCCAACGTCTGTAATGCCAGCACTTTGGGAGGCCAAGATGGGAGGATCACTTGAGCCCAGGATTTTGAGACCAGCCTGAGCAACATGATGAAACCTCATCTCTACAAAAAAATGCAAATATTAGCCAGGTGTGGTGGTGCATGCCTGTAGTCCCAGCTACTCAGGAGGCTGAGGTGGGAGGATCGCCTGAGCCCAGGAGGTTAAGGCTGCAGTGACCTATTAAATGTAACACTACACTCCAGCCTGGGTAACAGAATGAGACCCTGCCTAAAAAAAAAAAAAAAAAAAAAGTCTCCTTCAACCCGTCCCTCTTTTCGCGCTGTCACCATAGAGCACACCTTTCTTTCACAGCCAAGCTCATGGGACATGTGGTCTACAGTTTCAGCCTCCACTTTCTCACCTACATTTTCTTCCCAAGGTGAGCACCACCAATGCAGCTTCCACCCCTCTCAGCTACCAAAAGTGCCTAGTCCACATCTACATTTAGATGTCTAATGGATGGCTCAAACTCAACATGGCCAAATCTAAACTTCTGATCTTTGAACCCAAACCTTTTTCACCCATAGTCTTCACCACTTCCGTTGAGGGCAAAGCCATCCTTCTAGTTGCTCATGCTAGGAAATACAAAGTAATATTTTTCTTCTTTTTTTTTTTTTTTTTTTTTTTGCCCTCCACATCCCAATCTGTCAGGAATTCTTATGGTTCTACCTTCAAAGTATAGCCAAAATTGGACCACTTCTACATGCTCAGCACACAGAATTATTGAAATCAAATTTGGCCACCTCCCTGCCACCACCTTGACCCAAGCTGCCTGGATTCCTACAACAGCAGGTCTCCCTGTGTGACCCCACCCTCCCTACAGCCTATTATCAACACAGTAGCCACAGCATAATTTAGACCATGTCATTCCTTGACTCAAAACTCTCCATAGGCCCCCAAAAGCCAAATTCCTTCCATAGCCTACTAGGCCTTGGGAGATTTGCCTCTACTTTGCCCTTACTTCCCTGAGTTGATCTCCTGCTACTCTCCCTCACTCACTCCACCCTAGCTGGCTTCCTCGGTAGAGTTTTTAGAACATGCCAGGTGTAGCTTACCTTAAGGCCTTTTTAATGGCTATGCTGTTTCTCTAAAATGCTTTTTCCAGATGTTTACATGGTCAACCCCTCACCACTTTCAAGTATTTGCTCAAATGTAACTTCATGACCACCATATTTAAAATTAAAACCCCTGCCCAACATTCCGGATTTCCTTTGAGTATGTTCTACATTTTTTAATCTATAGCTCTTACCTATAGATATAGTATAAATGTGCATCTATCATGTTATAAGTGTACTTGTTTGTTGCATTCATTCTTTGTTAGCTATCTTCCCCCTCTAGAATGGAATTATTCACTTGGATAGCCTAAGCTCCAAGAACTGTGCCTGGCATATAGTAGATATAGATATATATATATATGGCACTCATATATGTACATACTATGCATAGTATATCTAAAATATATATAGTATGTATATAGTATATATATTATATATACGTATAGTAGGCACTCTATATATAAAGTAGGCACTCATATATACATTCTCTCTCTCTCTCTCTCTCTCTCTCTCTCTCTCTATATATATATATATATATATATATATGGAAAATAAATCGAATTGCCAAGGTCCCCAGTGACCTGCTGAACCCAAAAGAAACTTTTCAGTCCTCACCTTACTGGACATCCCTGCAATTCTGACACTGCTAACCACTGCATCTTCCTTGAACCTCTCTCCTCCTTTAATTTTCTTTCTCTGTCTCAGGCCACTCTTCCCTTGTCTCTTTTGTAGGTCTCTTTAAGTATTGAGTACCATCAGCTTTATCTTAAATCCTCCCTTGTTCTTCACATTCTTAAAAAAAAAAAAAAAAAAAAAATCACCCATACCCAAGGTATCACATTGCCACCTGAACACTGAACAACTCTAAAATAGATGCCTCCACACAGACCTCTCTCAAGTGTTAGACCTAGCTAACCAGCTGATAACCAGAGAGTTGAAAATTTAACATAGCCAAGCCAGCTCCTCATCCAGAGCTTGCTTTTTCAGTGAGCACCGTTCATCCAGTTGGCCAAGCCAGAAACCCAGGAGTGGTCCTTGGCCATTTCCTCTCTCTGACCCTCCACATCTGATTGATCACCAATCCCCTGATCACTGCCACCTCCTGATCACCTCTTATCTCAACTGCCATCACAGCCTCCTCCAGTCTCTCTGCTTCTGATCTCACCCCTGAAGGCCATCCTACAGTGTTTCAACTGCCTTGCCTCTCAGTCATCTACAGGGAAAATCTAAACTCCCCTTGGGCAGGCATGCCAGGCCCTCCCCACAGGCCTTCTAGGTCAGCGTCATCTCCAGCCACTGCCCTTCCTCCTCCAAGAGTCCTGGACCACATGCCCTCTCTCCTGAGGGTGCCTCCATACCCTTGTGGGTGCTTCTCCCTCTGATGGTCAAGTTCCTTCAGTGCCCATCTGTCTCTACATATCTCACCCTTCGAAGCTCAGATGCCACGACCTCTAAAGCCTCGTCCAACTTTTTCAAGTCACCCGAAGCATCCCACCTAGGCGCCCACCACATTTTGTACATACCTCCACCATGGCAACGACCATGTGGTCTTCTAATTTTAATAAACCTTCCCTATTGGCTTCCCATGTTGGCTGTGGTGGTCAATTATAATAAGGAAAAGGGCTCCATAAGCTGTAAAACCCCAAATAGACGTTTGTCACTGAGGGAAGCAAGAACCAATAGGGAGACATACAAAGAAACAATTATAATGATTATTATTATTATAATCGAGAAGGCAGAGAATCAAAGCTTAGCACACAGAATTATTGAAATCAAGAACACACTGCCAAATTTCCAATCGCAGGGTCAGGGAGGCATTACACCCCTGCTGATGTGCCATGACACCTATGAAGCTAACAGCTGGACATGGAGTCACCACTGCAGCAATGTTCATACCTCAGAGCCCTGCTTGCCACCAGCAAGAGCCAGCACAGCATGAAGATGGCCTCTGCTCCACGTCCTCCTCCTAGAGATCTCATTGGTGCATCTGATGGTGGTAACTTTTAAATCCAGAATACTAGGAGCAAGGGAATCTAGGAAATACCATTTTCAATTTTCTAGCCTCCCAGGTACAAGAAGACACAAGAGCTTGGAATGGATGCCAAGTGTGGGTCCACAGCAGCCCCATGCAGCACAAAGATGGAAATACCCTGTGACATACATCTTACCTTGGCAACATACCCCTAGCGGAAGACAAAAGTTTTGTGTGTTGCATGTTGTTTGTTTTAGAACAAAGAGCTGAGAGGCATTTCAGTTCCTGGGGAAAAGATAAAGATTTTCCTAATATGAATTGCTAACAAATTTCTTATGGAGGTGCGGAGAACCTTCCGTAGTGGACATTGTGCAATGCTCAACAAAACACACATTGTTTATCTTCATCATAATTTTCATAGCAGACACAGAAGGAGAATTCACATACTGGTTCTTAAAGTGACTTTTAAAAAGGCAACAGCATAATATGGACCTGGAATCAGGGACCTCACTTGTCCCCATATCTGCCATTAGATTGACTCATGGGTTGGCCATGTTAAAACTGCACTGCTTAGAGTCTGTGGGTTCCATGAAGGAGCGTGGGGGTCGGGCAGGTGAGAAAAGGGCATGCTGAGCCATCCTCTAGGCCCCTTCTACCAAAACAGCCAGAGCTGTATCTGTTTTATCTGAAGTCCACAGAAATTTTCCTTTTAAAAAAAGGGCTTCATTTCTTTTTAAAATATTTGAAAATTATTTGACCATCTCTCTTTTTTATTTATGATCCCATGACAGCATATGGAGACTATTGCTCTGGTCGGCCTGGTAGGCCAGTGTGAAACCTGGTAGGAGCCACAGAACAGTGTGAGGTTTTACATTGGCCTACAAGATCAGACTTCTGTTCAGCTGATCCAGACTGATCTAAAAGCTTATGAGTGGTTCAAGATAGCCAGTTCCATGGCTGCCTTGTCCAGACAGCAAATTCTGTGCTTTTTTTCTCCACCATTGCCCACAAAACCCAGCTCCAGTCTGGGACCATGGCACAAAACCAATCAGAATGCCAGGATACAAAAGAAGCTTGGAGATCCTGTAGCCCAGTATTTTCATTTCACAGGTGAGAAAACTGAAATCTGGAGGGAGGAGGGGACTCAGTCAGCAGCAGAGCTGGGTCCTCTCCCCCACCCCCAACTCTTCTGTAGGCTCTTATACCTATCTTCTCTTGCCAGTTCCATATTTAATCAACATCTTGCCTGCACCTAAAACTCCCTTAGAATTAAAATGCACACCTTATAATGCCAGCAGTGTTCTCCTGAGGGGTGCTGAGCACTGACAAGAGATTGGTGATTCCAAGAAAACTGCAGCAAATAAATATCTCCATCAATCATAGGAGCAGCTGTCTGAAAGGCCCGAACTGAAGGGAAGAAACGCCTCTTGCTGCCTTTTGTTCTTCCCAGAAAATTTCCTACCATCTTTGTTGTCTCCCTCGCCTCCTTCTTGAGCAGAATTTCTGGTCTCTACTCCCCAAATGAAGCCTGCCAAATGGGGCTAAGTTCTCGACCTACCCTCAAAACAGCTGAGTCTGGGCTTTGCAGGGAGAAGAACAGCAGCCCCTAGTGAAGCAAAATCCAGCCAAAGACACGGCACATTCTGGCCAGGGATCTTTCTACATAGGCCAGGGTCAGAGCTCAGCAGAGAGCCAGGCCAGCTGGCCCATTTATGAAACTGATTGATAGCTAGAGGCTGAGTCGGGATGCAGGCTCAGGGTGAAGACCGCCTTCTGAGAGCACAAGGAGACCAGAATGGTGAGGAGCATTTGTCGGAGGAGTCTTACCTGACTGTGGGCCCCACTGTCCTTCCCACCTGTCACTGCTTATGTGTGGTCAAATGAACACAGTCATCCCACGTAGAGTACTTTTGAAGCTAAACTTTCTGCCCAGACCTGGCTTTCTTCTGTGGTCTTCCCTGGTTCTCCATGGTACCACCACTCCCCTAGCCTCTGAGGCCTGAACTCAGGCAAGCCCTGTTGATTCTTCTACAGGAGGGTTTTACATCTGTCCCCTGGGCACCTTCTCAGTCTCACACATCTTCCTCTCTGGCCCAGAACTTACAATCATTTCCTAAACGGGCCTGTCCAGCCTGTCATACGCAAAAGCCACAGTAATCTTCCTGACACGACTTTGCATGTGATCTTTTCTCATAAATTTGCAATGTTCCACAAAACAATGAGCTGGGACTTCAAGGCCCTCTATAATTGGATCTTTTACCAAGTTTCCAGGCTCATGTCCCCATTACGAGTGCACTTATGCATGTGTGTACACACTCACAGCTTTTGATTAAGCCAGAATGACGTACCCACTGTCCCTTAGAAATGTTCTGTGGATTCCTGTCATTGTGCTGTTGTTCCCACCATTTCTTTACCTGGCACAGTCTCCCCCATAATGTGACATGTCTAAATCCCTCCTGTCCTTTCCACCCTCCTCCCCCTCCTTCCACCTTCCAGGCCCACAGAGAGTCCTGTCCACCTTGAATGCACACCCCATTTGTCATCTGCACCACATATATGATTATGGCCTCCAGATGACTGGTAAGTTAGACGGGGCATGTGTTACTATCCCCGTTTTACAGAAGCAGAAACCGTGCCTCGGGAGCTGAAAGATCTGTCTCCCCATGGTGGCACAGCAATGGGTAGCTTCAGCAGAACTCGCCCTGGTGTCCAGCCCAGCCCAGTCATTTCTCATTCTCTCTGCAGTGCCAGAGGCAGAAGAGCCAGGGCACTGAAGAGGAGGAGGTGGCAGCAGCAGGGGGAGGGAACAACAGGCCATCATTGAGGACGTCACTCACTCACGGTCCAAAGACCCTGAGGAAAAGCAGTGAGTAGTGGCTGGCTCCCCAGTCAGCCAGAAAAAATAGGACAAGCTCAGCTTGAGGAAGGATCCAGCCCAGCTCCCACCACGTGGTCAGCCAGACTTGAGGCGGAGGAGTGGGCTGCTCCTATAAGCAACCCCACGGCCATGTGGTAGAAACTGGAGGGGCAGTGTTTCTGGTTTCCTGGAAGGTCAGACTGAGGCAACTGCCATCGTTGTATATTTCTGTTATCACGTTGACTCGGGGGAGTCCAACGCCATTTGTCAGATGGTGCAGGAAAACACAGTAACCAGGCCTTCAAAACAGGGCGCCTTTGTCCACGGCTGACACCCTGGCTGGGAGCCCAGCTCAGCTTCAGGGGAAGATTTAGGTCAGAAGAAAAATGGGAGGGGTGGGCGCGGCTGCAGCCTTAGAATCTGTTTCAGCACAAGATCGAGGCGTTTCACCTCTTCCCATGGCCACACCTATGCCCCCCAGGACAGGGGGTGGGAAAGCCTGGCCTTACCTTAGTCATTACAACTGGCTTTGGGGGGAAAGTATTGGTGGGCCCCGCAAGAGAGCTATCTGGCAAATTCCTATATTCTGGAAAGTCCCCAGGCCATTTTTTCAAGCTGTCACTTCTTTCCAGTCGGCTCAAGTCAGAAAGTCTTTACTGACCTCTGGGGTGAGCACAGACCTGTGCACACAGTGATGTGGCTCCTTTGGAAACTTCCATAAACCTGGGGAATGGGGAGAAGGATCCCTCAGAGCCACAGAACCAGGAGCAATTTCCAAAGCAAAGGAGGCTTGCCAGGCAAGGCGGAGGTTGTCCTGGATCATTTGGAGTGTGATGGCTTCCTATTGACTTCCTTCTGCGTGGCGTTTCAAGGGACACTACTCAAAGGGGGTTTATGAAGAGCAGCCCCTTCACAACTTGCTGTTACAACTTCTCTTCAAACATCCTTTCCAAAAGACTCCTTTTCACTGGGGTCAGCCAGAGAAGCTGCCTCCAAGCCCACTTCTTACTCTCAATGTGCATTTACAAGGTGGCAAAGAGGTTCCCGCATTTTGTGAAAAATATCAGTGACCTGCTCTGACCTGGCTCTGGCTGCTGACCGCCACCTTCCTGCTGGCCTCGCCTGCCATCTTGTGGACAAAAGCAGTACTGCTGCCAGAGAGACGATCTTGGGCCCAGGTTTCTAAAGCAAACTTGAAAATCAACCAGGGGAGGGCCATGAAGAAAATTACTCTTGAATGGCAAGAAATCAATAATGATAGGTTTCACTTTCTCCAGCCAAGACGCACTTCTTTGCCATTTCCAGCATGTCTTATCTCACTTATCATCCAACAAGCATGCAGGTGAGCACCTGCTGTGTCCCAGGTGCCATGCTAGGCACAGGGGTAGACATGAATCAAACAGTCCCTGTCCCAGAAAAGCCTGCAGTCTGGAAGTACAGAAACACGTGAGCCAATAGAAACATCTGAACGTGAGTGGTGCATTAAAGAAATGTACCACAGGCTGCAAGGCCCCCAAAGAGGAAGTCTGCTTGGGACAAAAAAGGGAAATGGTGCAAGGGGAACAGAAGGTGACATCTGGCCAATGGCGAGCAGTGAAAATCAAAAATTAGGGGAGAGAAGGTTCAATTAAGTGTCGTCAAATCGAAACTTCCACCACTTCCTTCATCCCTGAGTCAGCAATGTTGTCAGTAGGAGACTGGTCATGTGTAAGCTTGCAGGGTGCCTTAAACGGGGAGAGGTAAAGGGTTATGGGATCTTTTTCAACGCAGTTTGTGGGGGCCTATATGTCAGTCCACATGTGTGTGATGGTACCAAGTCCAAGAAGAAGGAAAACAAAACAGGCTCTGGGTAAAACAAACCTGGGTCTGGATCTCAACTGCACTACTTAAGAGTTGTGTGACATGCATGAGCAAATAGCTTAACGTTTCTGAGCCACAGTTTCTTCACACATAAATAGAGGTGATAATCACAATCCCCCATGAAAGGAATGAAACAAAGGTTCATGTGGACCCCTAGCCCAAGGCCTAACGCATACGTGCCCTCATAAATGACTGGTGGTGGTGGCATCACGGCACGATGTCAAGGGCCCAGCACAGTTCTCCCCTAAGACCTCTCAGGGTCCGCCTGTTCCCAGAGGCTTCCCCATACCTCTCAGGCATCTTTCACATAAGCTTGCCAGATTCTGCCTGGGATATACTTATATGAAAACGTTATTTATCTGAAATGTAGCTGGTCCTCCTCTCTTTTTAGCTGCTAACTCTGGCAATCCTACTTCCAATCTCATGTTGCAGGTATATGACCCAAGGCAGTCAAGGGAGATTACAGGAGTGGATTGGGGCTGTTGTGGAAGCCCCTTTGAAGTTGCAGGTAGTGCACACCAAGGTCAGAGGCTTTCTGGCAGCTTCTGCAGGTCAAAGCTTCATTGGATCCACTCTCTTATATCGCCAAAGCAGGTTCCCCTTGAATTCTGTGGGAAACTAGTTCTGAGGGATGGAAACACAGAGCACACCAGAGGTAATGAGTCTAGAGTCAAATAAACTTGGGAAAATCTGCATTAAACAAAAAGTACAGCGGTTCCCTTCAATGCCAGATGTCTCAAGATGCTTCAACACAACCATATGAATCATGAATTTCTAGCAGGCGGGTATGGTGTACAGAACTTCCCAAACTTTCCAGTCATGGAAACTTGATCTTCATGGTCCATCCCTTGGGATTGGCTTCCTGAGAAATACTCTCTGGGAAACACTGCCCAAATGGTTGACCTCTGAAAGCAAAGCCATGTTCAAAACTCCTCTAAACCTCAGACGAAACCCAGGTGCTGATTCAGTCCCTGTAAAATGAGCCATTTTTGAACCTGCCAGCAACTGAGGCAGCCTCTTAACCAGCAGACAGCCAACACAGTCACAGCCACAGCCCGTGTTTGGGTTTTTAAGGAGGGACCTACATTAAGTACTTGTGTTTTAAGCTGATAGGTATTCATCATCTTGTGGCACAAGAAAAGGGTCTGAGAAGCCTTCCCCTGACTCCCAGCCATCTCTCTCATTAACCTGCCTCTACACCTAAAACTTCATCGTTGGATGAAGAGGCCTCGATACAAAGGCAAATATGCCTGGGAAGAGTGGCACGTCACCACGTGTGACCCGTCACCATGAGTTAGCATGAGTCTGTAGATGGGATTCCTCTCAGGGTTGCAGCTCCCATGCCAGCTTTGATTTCCTGGCAAGGAAGTTACACTGGGGCTCAAATCAGGCTCTAGCAGTGCAAGGTTAGGGAAGGGGCAGGGCCTGCCTGAGCTGTCTGGGGTGGGTGCAGGCTCTGCTGGGGTTGGCAGAGAAGAAACAAGCCAGGTGCTCCAGAATTTGCCAAACTCAGATCTTACACAGAATCTTATAAAGATCTAAACACAGGTTTGGAGTGACCATCCCTCACATGCAGCTGGGCACTGACTCCTTTCCCATAGATCCAGCTCACCTCTGGGGACTCTGGTCAACCCAGGGGCCTCTCAGTCACCTGTGGGAATACCCAGTGCCTATGGTGCAGGTCAGCCTTGGACCACACCTTCCCTAACCTAACCCCCAAATCTGGTAACTGAGTCCCACCCACTACTGCAGTTCGAGACCCGAATGCCTACTCTTGGCCCCTCACCTTATTTCCTCAGTCCTGAACTTGGCTTCCTGCCAGACCGCCCCCCCCTCCTCCTGCCTCAGTCTTCTATCTGTCATTCCACTTCAGGTCCCCCAGCTCTTAACCTTACATCCCTTCAAGGGTCTGATGTCCTACCCCAAGCCACAGGACAAACCCAGCCCCTTACTTCCACAGCTTTGTCGATGCCTCCTGTCTGCTGGAAGGAGCCTCAGGCCATGCTGCACCTGCCTGCTGGGATGGCTGCTTACTGCCTCCTGCTAGGCCTCCCAAACGCCGTATGCCCCCCTACTTCTGGCTCCTTCCATGGTCCATCTCATTCCCATGGTTCTGTCTGGGTCCAGCTCCCACGTATCCTCCTCCCACGTTCATCTCCTCCCTGGAACACAGACCTCCACAAAGCTAGTGCTACTGACTTGGGTTGCCACCGGGCATTCTCTGAAGCTGAAATCCCTCCCAAGGTTCTTGTTGGTTCTGCTTTTCTGAGGTGACCTTCTGATAATTCTGCAATGGGGCAGGAGCAGGAATCCCTGGACAAACTAAGCTGAAAGCCTCCCACCAACGTTAAGCGGGGACCACAAGGGGGCAGTATCAGTTAATGCTTGCTTCACAGAGCTGCACGAGGTTACCCTCTTATTGTTGCTGAGGGGAGTGGGAGGATAGAGCAGTGCACACAGTGGAGAGTTCTTTAGGGGAATAAGCTTATTTTGTGTTAATTTATGCAAAATAAAAAAGGTGTCAGATGAAACATTCAAGGAGGCTTTATTGAGGGAGACTCCAACGATGTCATAAGGGAGACCCTCCGCTATCTTTCAGCTGAGCCAGTTTGTGCACCGGGAATTAAGAAAGCAAATTCTAAACGGCTTCTTGGGAGCAGCACCAACAGCAGGTGCATGACTATGCTCCAAGCCCACATGTTGTAAGATGGAAACAATAACAGCCCCATAGGAGGCAGAACAGGCAAAATTGCCCTCATTTTTAGATGCAGGAGCTGCACCCCCAGAGGATTCCAATAACTTGCCAAGGTCTTGGCTTGGCTAATGGCAGAGCTGGGGCCAGAATGCCAGGACTCCTGTCACCCGCGCAGAACATCTTCCACTACACTCCACCGGGTCTCTCCTCTGATCCCAAATGAATCAATCAGTAAGCTGTTACTGATAGCTACCATGGGCCCAGGCTGGATGGTTTCCAGGGCCCCTTCCAGCTCTGAATAATGAAAGCCGCAGATTTCAGCCTAACACAGACTCTACCTTGGAACATTCCTTTCTTCTGCAGCTCCAATCTGCTTGAGTCCAAGAACACCTTTATTCAGGTTTCTCCGAGGTCACCTTAAGGGGGCTTTGATTTACCAAACCCAGTACACGAATGACTATTGGGTTCCCATAAATTATAAACTGAGGGAAAGCAGTTTTTCCAATTATGCATAAAGTTCCTTTAAACAGCAAAGTTCCCACACCTGTCACCCTGCTACCCAAGCATTTAAAATAGAATTGAACTTATAAGACTTTGATGTACATCCAACGTTGTGAGAATTCATCTACTGCTGATCCACCCACATCAAGGTAGAGAAATAAAAGGAAAGTGGTTAGGAATTAGGAATTAAGGCCTCTGGTTCTGCTGGGTGTGTGTGAGCACAAAAAGGAGAAGGTGGCCAGGCGCGGTGGCTCATGCCTGTAGTCCGAGCACTTTGGGAGGCCGAGGCGGGCAGATCACGACGTCAGGAGTTTGAGACCAGCCTGGCCAATATAGTGAAACTCTGACTCTACTAAAAATAACCTTGGCAAGTTATTGGAATCCTCTGGGGGTGCAGCTCCTGCATCTAAAAATGAGGGCAATTTTGCCTGTTCTGCCTCCTATGGGGCTGTTATTGTTTCCATCTTACAACATGTGGGCTTGGAGCATAGTCATGCACCTGCTGTTGGTGCCGCTCCCAAGAAGCCGTTTAGAATTTGCTTTCTTAATTCCCGGTGCACAAACTGGCTCAGCTGAAAGATAGCGGAGGGTCTCCCTTATGATATCGTTGGAGTCTCCCTCAATAAATCAGCCAGGCATGGTGGCACACACTTGTAGTCCCAGCTACTCGGGAGGCTGAGGCAGAAGAATTACTTGAACCCAGGAGGCAGAGGTTACAGTGAGCTGAGATCGCGCCTGGGTGACAGAGTGAGACTCCATCCCTCCCCCGCACCCCCCCCCAAAAAAAAGAGAGAGAAGGTATAACTCTTTGACCCTCTGGTCCACCAGCCTTTTTCATACTTGCCAACCAGAAGGGAGCCAGTCCCTCCTGGCCAGGGCCATTGACCAAACTGACTCTTTAATGGCACCTACAGTGAGCAAGGTAGTGTGCTCCGTCCTCAGCCAGCCTCTAATCTAGTGGTAGAGATGACACAAGGCCAGAACATTTTATCACCAGGCAGCCAGAGAGACGTGTAGCACAGGTGGTAGTAGCTGGAGATGGGAGTATGTTCACAGGTGGAAATAAGAGGGTTTTGTAGGCCAAGGAAACTGCCAGCAAAGACAGGAAGGCAGGCAAGCATAGGATGTATTTAGAGAACATTAAGATGCATTCCCTGTCTCCAACTTGATTATAAATTCCAGAAAGGAAGGAATTGTATATGATGATCCTTGGTGTTTCCTCGGAGTGCCTAGGACAGGGTCATGAATGTGGAAGGGGCTTGCAAAATACTGTTTTTGGGTGAACTTCTCAAGTCAGGACATTTCCCCAGGGCAAAGAGGCAGGTGTGTTGAAAGGAAACTGACTTGCTAGTAAGTACACACTATGCCAGTTTCCCATGTATTGCCTCTCTGCAGCACATCCTCACTTAATTTCCCTGCTTGTGATAACTGAAGCTGAACCTATTAACATGTCCCTTGTTAGCTAGCACAGTATTAAGCTTTGTCAGTAGATAGCACTGGAGAGACGTCACTGGAGGAAGGGGCTTCTCTTCCTGGTTCTTGAGTGCCTTCCTTTTTTCCTACTCTGGCAAAGCTCTAATGCTTGGCCCACATGTAGAACACTTAGTGACTGTCACCCCCAGAAAACTTCAGTAGCACCTTGGGGAAGCTCCCCAAAAAGTTTCCCAGCTAAGGTTCTCTTCAGTAACTTCCTGGCAGGTTCAATGGCAGGAAGCTTACCAATGAGTTTTGTTCACATCCAGCACTTACCAGGGTTGACCTGTTTGACCTTGACCTCAGCAAACTTTTATGCCATTCAGTGCTTCAGCCATACCATCTCCAAAGAGGGGCACCTCTTCTAAGTTTATTCTAGTCTAGATATATTAGAGTTCTCTTTTACCCTCTAAGTAGTAACCAGTCCCCTGTTCCTAGTTAATAATTCTTTATATTCTACCTTCCCTGTTGGAATTATTGTGTGGTTTCTGTCTCCTGACTAGGCCCTGACTGATACAACACTCATACACGTGCATTCACCCACTTGCCTGTATACTCCCTTCTCCCTCCTCAGTCTGATTTCTCCAATGAATCCTTGGAGCACCCTGAGTCAAGTCTTTCTCTTGGATAGTACTTATGTCAGCCAGGGTTCAGCCAGGAAAACAGAAACCACACTAAGTATTTCAAGCAGGAAGGGATTGAATACAGAGACTTTAGTACCGAAATCCTAGCTTCACCTCTTCCTAGCTGTGTAACTGTGGGCAGGTAACTTCTGTCGGCAACTCAGTTTCCACTTCTCTAAAGATAAAAGTAATAATGGTACCTAACTCATAGATTGCTCTGAAAATTAAGTAAAATGATCCGTGAAAAATTCTCAGTGTCTGGTACATGGTTAGTGCCCGATAAATGTAAGCGATTATTACTGTTACTATTATAATCTTCTAAACACTTCAAGACATCTGAGGAAAGTGTTCAAAGCCACAACAGAGTCTGAAGCTGAGGCAGTTAGAAAAGGAAGAGGACATTTTTGCAGTAAGATGTCCATTCCTGGTTGAAGGAAGACTACCCTGGATTGGAGGTAGAGGGAGGTGGCAAGGATATGACCAAGTGGCTCAAAGATACCTGTCTGTCCTCAACTTGAACAAGTTATACATACTAAACTTTCTTCACCTGTGCTGAGCAAAGGTCTCTCCTCCAGACATCTTTTTACATTTTTAGTTGAAAAGATAGGCCAGACGCAGTGGCTCACACCTATAATCCCAGCTCTTTGGGAGGCTGAGGTGGGAGGATCACTTGCATCCAGGAGTTTGAGACCAGCCTGGGCAACATAGCCAGACCCCATCTCTGGGATCAAAAAATCAAAAATCAAAAATTAGCCAGGCATGGTGGCATGTGCCTACAGACCCAGCTACTTGGGAGGCTGAGATTGGATGATTGCTTGGACTGGGAGAGGTCAAAGCTACAGTGAGCCATAATCTCACCACTGCACTCCAGCCTGGGTGACAGAGTGAGACTGTGTCAAAAAAATTATATATATAAAATATATATGCATATATATAATGCATATAAATTACATATATGTATATTATGTACATGGTTTAAAAAAAAGTCAAAGAGTACAAAATGGTATTATAGTTAAGAATCAGTCTCCTTCTGACCCCCAACCCCTCAGCTCTCTGACCACAGACAGCCACCATGAAGCAGTTTCTTGTATCTTTTCAGACATACTCTACTATATTTTCATATTTTAATACATATGGAAGAACTGTTCTTGCTTTCCTAGTAAATAACATATCTTGGGGCCAAGCTCGGTGGCTCACACCTGTAATTCCAGCAGTTTGGAAGGCTGATGCAGGAGGATCTCTTGAGCCCAGGAGGTCAAGGCGGCAATTGAGCCATGACAGTGCCAATGCACCCCAGCCTAAGTGACAGAGTGAGACCCTGTCCTGAAAAAAAAAAAAAAATCTTGAAGAACAAGGTATTTGCACTGATGAAGCTACTGTATTCTCATTTTTTCTTTCGTCTTGTTCTTTTTAGCATCTACATGGTATTCATAAGGATGCAGCACTAATTGTTTAACCAGATCCCTTCTGGTGGAAATTTGTTTCCAGTCTTTTGCTGTTACAAATAACGCTGTAATACACCTCTATGGATATGCTAATTTTTATGAGGCAGAAAATCCTCTCACCTCTGAAGAGTTACAGGCCCCAAAGACCATCTTTGTAATATTGTATAAAGACACAGGGAAAGGAGATGGGAAGCCTGCATTCCAGTCATGGAATGCTCAACCACTAACATCCTTTGCATGCAGAGACGCATCACCTCATCTGCCCGAGTGACTCGATTTTCTTGTTTATCAGGCAGCATCACTGTACCTGCTTTAAATGGCCTCACAAGGGCATTGTGAGAATCAAATGAGATAATGTACATGAAAGCCTGTGCGCGCTGTACTAATACACAAGTCTCTCATCTGGTTGTGAAATCTAGAATTGATACGTTGCTCTGTGAATGTGCCCATCAATCTTCAACATGGTGCTTGCTACTCCCACTGTCCCTTCTAAGGGAAACTGACCCATCTGCAGCTCCTGCTGACAGACAATCCGAGGCTGCTGTGCACTGTGCCGTATCACCCTGCCCTCCCCATCCTTCCACTTCACCAGACTGAACTGGGCTGGGCACCTTCCCCATCTGATAATGATCCTCATCATCTGTTGCCTCTATGTTTCCTCTCTGCCCTTCCCCTAGGAGGCATACCTCCATGAAACTGCATTAATTCATTAACCAAAACAATACAAAGCAACACAGAGTCTAGCATTCTCATTTTCCTGTCTCTAGATACCAGTCCTTCAGGGAATTTTCCAGAAGTTGAGAAGACTGGTTGCATGAGCCTTGGGTTGGTTTGGCACTCGTGACAGTGTGAAAAGAGCCTCCGCCTCCTCCACTGAGCTCAGAGAAAGGTTTATAGTAAAGCCATTTGCAGGGGTAAGGGAGACAGGATCACATGGTAGCCCAATAACAGGCTTCCCTAGAATGAAAAGCTCTGTCCCAGTAGAGATAAGCCAGGTTATTCTGATTCCTGCCCTTGGAAAGGTCTACCAGGAAATCATGAGTGACTTAAGTAGGACAAACAACACAGAAGGCATACCGAGAGGCCATACAGTTGAGGCTATGAAGAACCATTAGAAGCTGAAGTTATGAGTAAGCTGAAGTCAGGAGGAAGCAGGAACCTTGCCTACAGTGAAGTATGAGGTTGGAGGTTGTGGGTTGACGGGGGTGAGGAAGGCTGTTGATGGGAAGTGAGGGGACACGGAGAAGCAGAAACACCGAAATCAGCTGAGTTATACGAATGACAAGGCACATGTGAAGCTGCACCAACTCTGGCTGCTGGTCTCAGAATTGCCCTGAATCCAGCACAGTCCCTGCTAGGCCAGCTCATCCCTCATCCCTGTTGCTGGGCTCCCACGTGTTCTTGTCTCCTTTACCCTTGCATATGGCTTTACTATACACTTCCTTTCTCTGAACTCAACAGAGAAAGCAGAAGCTCTTTTCATACTGTCACCAGTGCCAAACCGACCCAAGGCTCGTAAGACCTGTTTCCTCCACTTCTGGGAAGTTCCCTAAAGGACAGGGGTCTAGAGACAGGGAAATGAGAATGCTAGACTGTATGTTGCTTTGGAATACATTGCTCTGCTTAATGAATTAGTACACTTTCATGGAGGTCTGCCTCCTAGGGGAAGGGCAGAGAGGAGAAACAGAAGGCAACAGATGATGAGGATCAATTGACACTTTACTCATGCTGATCCTTTCCTCTCACCCAAATCCCACCCACCCTTCATGTTCCCTCTTCCACCAAACCTTCCTCAGCTACTCCAGGCACATCAACCCTGATCCTTTTTTTTTTTGAGTTAGTCAGACTCTGTCACCCAGGTTGAAGTGCAGTGGCAAGATCACAGCTCACTTAAGTGGGCTCAAGCGATCCTCACACCTCCACCTTTCAAGTAGCTAGGACCCCGAGTACATGCTACCATGCCCAGCTAATTTTTTTTTTTTTTTATAGAGGTGGATTCCCACTATGTTGCCCAGGCTGGTCTTGAACTCCTGGGCTCAAGCGATCTTCTAGACTCAGCCTCACAAAGTACTGGGATTACAGGCATGAGACCCTGAGCCCTGACCTCTTGACTCCTATGGTACATTGCCTGATTGGCCCCAGTTCTTCATCCCCTATATCGAGACCTTTTATCTTTCTTTGTGGTTCCTCCCACTAACTGGGCAGAGTACGTTTCACCATCCTTTGAGTTTCCCCATACAACTGGCTTTCTCCAATAACATAAGATGGAAGTGATGGTGTGCCAGCTCCAAGGCCTCTTGTACTTCTTCCATCCCCGAGCAAAGGGTATGCCTAAGCTACCCCACTATTCCCAAGAGGAAGATAAGAGACACATGAAACAAAGCTGCCTCGGCCAAGCTCCCCCAGTTGAATCCAGCCTAAATCAGCCTACCTTTAGATGTCTGAGCTAAGGAAATGTTTATTGTTGTGGGCCACTGATCATTTAGGGTTGTTTGATCTATAGCTGACAACTACCCATAGTACTTATTGTGCATTTCCATACTTGGTGATTTAACAGCAGTGGATTATTTGTACATATGTCATTGTTTCTTTAAGCAGATCTCTGCTGGTTAAGATTGCCAGGTTTAACAAATAAAAATACAGGATTCCCAGTTAAATTTGAATTACAGACAAATAACTTTTTAGAAATCTGTCCCATCCAATTTTTAGAACATATTTATACTAAAATTTATGTAAAATTCAGATTTAACTGGGAATCCTGTATCTATCTGGTAATCCTACTCCTAGTAGTGCCTGAGGCAGGATAGATATCTTACACAACAGCTGTGAGATCATTTACATGGTCACCACCATAATGTTGGGAGGGGAAAGCCATGGTTCAGTTAACGATTTGCAAAGACAGAAAGTGAACCTTGAGCATTCTCCTCTCCCCAGTGGCAAAATCTACTGCTCAGAATAATGGTGATCATGGTTCTCTTTTGCCTAGTCCCTGTATGGGCAGCTTGTGGGCTAAACACCCTATCTAATTTATTATTATACTTAAGTTCTAGGGTACATGTGCACAATGTACAGGTTTGTTACATATGTATACATGTGCCATGTTGGTGTGCTGCACCCATTAACTCATCATATACATTAGGTATATCTCTTAATGCTATCCCTCCCCCTTCCCCCCACCCCTCAACAGGCCCCAGTGTGTGATGTTCCCCACCCCGTGTCCAAGTGTTCTCATTATTCAATTCCCACCTATGAGAACATGCGGTGTTTGGTTTTCTGTCCTTGCGATACTTTGATGAGAATAATGGTTTCCAGCTTCATCCATGTCCCTACAAAGGACATGAACTCATCATTTTTTATGGCTGCATAGTATTCCATGGTGTATATGTGCCACATTTTCTTAATCCAGTCTATCATCCATGGACATTTGGGTTGGTTCCAAGTCTTTGCTATTGTGAATAGTGCCGCAATAAACATACGTGTGCATGTGCCTTTATAGCAGCATGATTTATAATCCTTTGGGTATATACCCAGTAATGGGATGGCTGGGTCAAATGGTATTTCTAGTTTTAGATCCTTGAGGAGTTGCCA
Organism: Homo sapiens; assembly: GCF_000001405.40. Classification (NCBI taxonomy): domain Eukaryota; kingdom Metazoa; phylum Chordata; class Mammalia; order Primates; family Hominidae; genus Homo; species Homo sapiens. The sequence goes on from NC_000002.12 coordinate 46,472,621, forward strand.
CACTGTCTTCCACAATGGTTGAACTAGTTTACAGTCCCACCAACAGTGTAAAAGTGTTCCTATTTCTCCACATCCTCTCCAGCACCTGTTGTTTCCTGACTTTTTAATGATCGCCATTCTAACTAGTGTGAGATGGTATCTCATTGTGGTTTTGATTTGCATTTCTCTGATGGCCAGTGATGATGAGCATTTTTTCATGTGTCTATTGGCTGCATAAATGTCTTCTTTTGAGAAGTGTCTGTTCATATCCTTCACCCACTTTTTGATGGGGTTGATTTTTTCTTGTAAATTTGTTTAAGTTCTTTGTGGATTCTGGATATTAGCCCTTTGTCAGATGGGTAGATTGTAAACATTTTTCCCATTCTGTAGGTTGCCTGTTCACTCTGATGGTAGTTTCTTTTGCTGTGCAGAAGCTCTTTGGTTTAATTAGATCCCATTGGTCAATTCTGGCTTTTGTTGCCATCGCTTTTGGTGTTTTAGTCGTGAAGTCCTTGCCCATGCCTATGTCCTGAATGGTATTGCCTAGGTTTTCTTCTAGGGTTTTTATGGTTTCAGGTCAAACATTAAAGTCTTTAATCCATAGTGAACTAATTTTTGTATAAGGTGTAAGGAAGGGATCCTGTTTCAGCTTTCTACATATGGCTAGCCAGTTTTCCCAGCACCATTTATTAAATAGGGAATCTTTCCCCATTGCTTGTTTTTGTCAGGTTTGTCAAAGATCACATGGTTGTAGATGTGTGGTATTATTTCTGAAGGCTCTGTTCTGTTCCATTGATCTATATTTCTGTTTTGGTGCCAGTATCATGCTGTTTTGGTTACTGTAGCCTTGTAGTATAGTTTGAAGTCAGGTAGTGTAATGCCTCCAGCTTTGTTCTTTTGGCTTAGGGTTGTCTTGGCAATGTGGGCTCTTTTTTGGTTCTATATGAACTTTAGAGTAGTTTTTTTTTTCTAATTTTTTGAAGAAAGTCATTGATAGCTTGATGGGGATGGCATTGAATCTATAAATTACCTTGGGAAGTATGGCCATTTTCACGATATTGATTATTCCTATCCATGAGCATGGAATGTTCTTCCATTTGTTTGTATTCTCTCTTATTTCCTTGAGCAGTGGTTTGTAGTTCTCCTTGAAGAGGTCCTTCACATCCCTTGTAAGTTGGATTCCTAAGTATTTTATTCTCTTTGAAGCAATTATGAATTGGAGTTCACTCATCATTTGGCTCTCTGTTTGTCTGTTATTGGTGCATAGGAATGCTTGTGATTTTTGCACATTGATTTTGTATCCTGAGACTTTGCTGAAGTTGCTTATCAGCTTAAGGAGATTTTGGGCTGAGACTAAGGGGTTTTCTAAATAAACAATCATGTCATCTGCAAACAGGGACAATCTGACTTCCTCTTCTCCTAATTGAATACCCTTTATTTCTTTCTCCTGCCTGATTGCCCTGGCCAGAATTTCCAACACTATGTTGAATAGGAGAGGTGAGAGAGGGCATCCCTGTCTTGTGCCAGTTTTCAAAGGGAATGCTTCCAGCTTTTGCCCATTCAGTATGATACTGGCTGTGGGGTTGTCATAAATAGCTCTTATTATTTTGAGATATATCCCATCAACACCTAATTTATTGGGAGTTTTTAGCATGAAGGGCTGTTGAATTTTGTTGAAGGCCTTTTCTGTATCTATTGAGATACTCATGTGGTTTTTGTCTTTGGTTTTGTTTATATGATGGATTATGTTTATTGATTTGCATATGTTGAACCAGCCTTGCATCCCAGGGATGAAGCCAACTTGATCGTGGTGGATAAACTTTTTGGTGTGCTGCTGGATTCGGTTTGCCAGTATTTTATTGAGGATTTTTGTATCGACGTTCATCAGGGATATTGATCTAAAATTCTCTTTTTTTGTTGTGTCTCTGCCAGGCTTTGGTATCAGGATGATGCTGGCCTTGTAAAATGAGTTAGGGAGGATTCCCTCTTTTTCTATTCATTGGAATAGTTTCAGAAGGAATGGTACCAGCTCCTCTTTGTACCTCTGGTAGAATTTGGCTGTGAATCTGTCTGATCCTGGACTTTTTTTGCTTGGTAGGCTATTAATTATTGCCTCAATTTCAGAGCCTGTTAATTGTTCTATTCAGGGATTCAACTTCTTCCTGGTTTAGTCTTGGGAGGATATATGTGTTCAGGAATTTATCCATTTCTTCTAGATTTTCTAGTTTATTTCCATAGAGGTGTTTATAGTACTCTCTGATGATAGTTTGTATTTCTGTGGGATCGGTGGTGGTAGCCCCTTTATCATTTTTTATTGTGTCTATTTGAGTCTTCTCTCTTTTCTTCTTTATTAGTCTTACTAGCACTCTATCAATTTTGTTGATCTTTTCAAAAAACCAGCTCCTGGATTCATTGACTTTTTGAAGGGTTTTTTGTGTCTCTTTCTCCTTCAGTTCTGCTCTGATCTCATTTATTTCTTGCCTTCTGCTAGCTTTTGAATGTGTTTGCTCTTGCTTCTCTAGTTCTTTTAATTCTGATGTTAGGGTGTCAATTTTAGATCTTTCGTGCTTTCTCTTGTGGGCATTTAGTGCTATAAATTTCCCTCTACACACTGCTTTGAATATGTGCCAGAGATTCTGGTGTGTTGTGTCTTTGTTCTCATTGGTTTCAAAGAACATCTTTATTTCTGCCTTCATTTCATTATGTACCCAGTAGTCATTCAGGAGCAAGTTGTTCAGTTTCCATGTAGCTGAGCGGTTTTGAGTGAGTTTCTTAATCCTGAGTTCTAGTTTGATTGCATTGTGGTCTGAGAGACAGTTTGTTATAATTTCTGTTCTTTTACATTTGCTGAGGAGTGCTTGACTTCCAACTATGTGGTCAGTTTTGGAATAGGTACGATGTAGTGCTGAGAACAAAGTGTATTCTGTTGATTTGGGGTGGAGAGTTCTGTAGATGTCTATTAAGTCTGCTTGGTGCAGAGCTGAGTTCAATTCCTGGATATCCTTGTTAACTTTCTGTCTCATTAATCTGTCTAAAGTTGACAGTGGGATGTTAAAGTCTCCCATTATTATTGTGTGGGAGTCTAAGTCTCTCTGTAGGTCTCTAAGGACTTGCTTTATGAATCTGGGTGCTCCTATATTGGGTGCATATATATTTAGGATAGTTAGCTCTTCTTGTTGAATTGATCCCTTTACCATTATGTAATGGCCTTCTTTGTCTCTTTTGATCTTCGTTGATTTAAAGTCTGTTTTATCAGAGACTAGGATTGCAACCCCTGCTTTTTTTTGTTTTCCATTTGTTTGGTAGATCTTCCTCTATCCCTTTATTTTGAGCCTATGTGTGTCTCTGCACGTGAGATGGGTCTCCTGAATACAGCACACTGATGGGTCTTGACTCTTTATCCAATTTGCCAGTCTGTGTCTTTTAATTGGAGCGTTTAGCCCATTTACATTTAAGGTTAATATTGTTATGTCTGAATTTGATGCTGTCATTATGATGTTAGCTGGTTATTTTGCTCGTTAGTTGATGCAGTTTCTTCCTAGCATCGATGGTCTTTACAATTTGGCATGTTTTTGCAGTGGCTGGTACCAGTTGTTCCTTTCCATGTTTAGTGCTTCCTTCAGGAGCTCTTGTAAGGCAGGCCTGATGGTGACAGAATTTCTCAGCATTTGCTTGTCTGTAAAGCATTTTATTTCTCCTTCATTTATGAAGCTTAGTTTGGCTGGATATGAAATTCCGGGTTGAAAATTCCTTTAAGAATGTTGAGTATTGGCCCCTACTCTCTTCTGGCCTGTAGAGTTTCTGCCAAGAGATCTGCTGTTAGTCTGATGGGCTTCCCTTTGTGGGTAACCTGACCTTTCTCTCTGGCTGCCCTTAACATTTTTTCCTTCAACTTTGGTGAATCTGACAATTATGTGTCTTGGAGTTACTCTTCTCGAGAAGTATCTTTGTAGCATTCTCTGTATTTCCTGAATTTGAATGTTGGCCTGCCTTGCTAGGTTGGGGAAGTTCTCCTGGATAATATCCTGCAGAGTGTTTTCCAACCTGGTTCCATTCTCCCTGTCACTTTCAGGTACACCAATCAGATGTAGATTTGGTCTTTTCACATAGTCCCATATTTCTTAGAGGCTTTGTTCGTTTCTTTTTACTCTTTTTTCTCTAAAATTCTCTTCTTACTTCATTTCATTCATTTGATCTTCAATCACTGATACCCTTTCTTCCACTTGATCAAATCGGCTACTGAAGCTTCTGCATGCGTCATGTAGTTCTTGTGCCATGGTTTTCAGCTCCTTCAGGTCATTTAAGGTCTTCTGTATGCTGTTTATTCCAGTTAGCCATTTGTCTAATCTTTTTTCAAGGTTTTTAGCTTCTTTGTGATGGGTTCAAACATCCTCCTTTAGCTCGCAGTGTGTTATTACTGATCGTCTGAAGCCTTCTTCTCTCAACTCATCAAATTCATTCTCCGTCCAGCTTTGTTCCATTGCTCGCGAGGAGCTGCATTCCTTTGGAGAAGAGGTGCTCTGATTTTTAGAATTTTCAGCTTTTCTGCTCTGGTTTCTCCCCATCTTTGTGGTTTTATCTACCTTTGGTCTTTGATGATGGTGATGTACAGATAGGGTTTTGGTGTGGATGTCCTTTCTGTTTGTTAGTTTTCTTTTTAACAGTCAGGACCCTCAGCTGCAGGTCTGTTGGAGTTTGCTGGAGGTCCACTCCAGCCTGATCCTTGCTCTAGAAGCTTCATCTCAGAGGGGCACCCAGTGGTATGAGGTGTCAGTCAGCCCCTACTGGGAGGTGCCTCCCAGTTATGCTACTTGGGGGTCAGGGACCCACTTGAGGACGTAGTCTGTCTGTTCTCAGATCTCAAACTCCGTGCTGGGAAAACCACTACTCTCTTCAAAGCTGTCAGACAGGGACGTTTAAGTCTGCAGAAGTTTCTGCTGCCTTTTGTCCAGCTATGCCCTGCCCCCAGAGGTGGAGTCCACAGAGGCAGGCAGGCAGGCCTCCTTGAGCTGTGGTGGGCTCCACCCATTTCGAGCTTCCTGGCTGCTTTGTTTACCTACTCAAGCCTCAGCAATGACAGACGCCCCTCCCCCAGCCTTGCTGCCGCCTTGCAGTTGGATTTCAGACTGCTGTGCTAGCAGTGAGCGAGGCTCCGTGGGTGTGGGACCCTCCAAGCCAGGAACAGGCTATAATCTCCTGGTGTGCCATTTGCTAAGACCGTTGGAAAAGCACAGTATTAGGGTGGGAGTGTTCTGATTTTCCAGGTACTGTCTATCATGGCTTCCCTTGGCTAGGAAAGGGAATTCCCCCACCCCTTGCACTTCCCGGGTGAGGCGATGCCCCTCCCTTCTTTGGCTCATGCCCCGTGGGCTGCACCCACTGTCCGACAAGCCCCAGTGAGATGAACCTGGTACCTCAGCTGGAAATGCAGAAATCACCTGTCTTCTGCGTTGCTCACGCTGGGAGCTGTAGACTGCAGCTATTCCTATTCAGCCATCTTGGAACTCCCCCTCCTACCCTATCTAATTTTCACATCGGTGCTGCAACGTAGGGAAGTGGCTAAATCTTTATCCCATTTACAAATGAATACACTTTCCCTTGATCACACAGCCGGAGAGAGTAGCGAAGCTGGAATTCAAATGCAGCCCTTTGTCTTTCCATATTGCAATCCTGCTTTCAACTACCAAAGATGTTTTGCTGCTTTTTTCACAAAATGGAAGATGACAAAATACATTCCCCAGCCCTCCATTCTACCCACGTGGAAGTATGAATGATGGGTTGTATTAGTGTCCTAGGTTTGCTGTAACCAAGAACCACAGACTGGTTGGCGTAAATGACACAAATTTATTTTCTCGCAATCCTGGAGAGTCAGCATCAGAGATCAAGGTGCCAGCAGGGTTGGTTCCTTCTGAGTGCTAGGAGAGAAAGATCTATTCCAGGTCTACGATGGTTAATTTTACATGTTGACGTCAGTGAGCCATTGGATGGCCAGATCTCTGATTAAATGTTATTTCTGGGTGTTTCTGGAAGAGATTAACATTTGAATTGGTGGACTGAGTAAAGCAGTCTGCCCTCCTCAATGTGGGTGGGATTCATCCACTCCACTGAGGGCCTAAATGGAACAAGGCAGACTGCCAGTTGAACTGGTGCTCTCAATTCAATTGCCTGACTACATGAGGTGATCCGTCAGTCTTCTCCTGACCTTGGACTGGGACTTCCACCATCAGTGCTCCTGGTTCTCAGGCCTTTGCGCTCAGACTGGAATTTATACCACCCGCTTTCCAGGGACACCAGCTTGCAGATGGGAGATCATAAAACTTCTCAGCCTCCATAATTGCATGAGCCAATTCTGTGTAATAAATGTCATTTTATGTTTCTTTGGAGAACCCTAATACAATGCCGGTCTCCTTGGTTTGTAGATAGCCATTTTCTCCCTTGTCTTCACATCATCATCTTCTTACAAGGACACCAGTCATACTGGATTAGGATCCCACCCTAATGATCTCACTTTCACTTAATCACCTCTATAAAGACCCTGTCTCCAAATAAGGTCACATTCTGAGGTACTGGGGGCTGGGAGTTAATACTTCAACATATGAATTTTGGGAAGAGAGGGGGACCTGGTTTAGCCCATAACAGGGTTTGTGGAGCTGTGACTCATTTCCAACACAATCTTCATTTAAAAAAGGAACCCAAGGAAATGGATTTCAAATGGTGGAATTCTGAGTTGCATGAGTTGGAACTCTAGTTTTCAAAGCCATCCTTATGGGCAGCAAAGGCCCATCCTGCAGTTCTTAATGTTAGCATGTTACTACCTCAAAGGTGTCACACCCTCCACCAAAGGGGCCCTAGCAACTTGTAGAATGTAGGCTATGATGACGACAGGGGATTGTGATGGTGGCCAGGCTGTGGAATCTGGTGAGGCCAAATGTCAGCACCTCAAATGATGTCTTGTGACCCCACCTGGCAGCGTTCTGGTTTTCTGGATGGCAGCAGAGGACAGGGAGATGATGGAAGCCCGGGGTGCGGGAGAAAGTTGCCCGACCTTCCCCAAGATGGTGCCTGGTGACTCCAAGTCTGAAGGGAAGCCAAGGGCTTATCTGGTAAGGGGGCTGCTGTGTCTCACCACCCCCGCCTATTCCGTCAGGGGGAGCAAGAATACTGTAGGAACACATGCTTTGAGCTTCCAGACAACTGCCAAGAACATCAGGTGACATGTACCCCAGCCCTGTAACTGGCACCAGCTGTCACCAGGGACCAGGTAGCCCTCCATAAGATTGTGAAGTCATATGAAGCTGGGTTTGGTCTCCTCTATCTACCTCCCCACTTGGGGTCCTTTCCTTGCTGGGTGGATAGGACCTGGCTCCCCACCATAGCCCTCTTCCTGGTCCCCAAATATTTAGGTTCTCTCAATTCAGACCCTGGGTTTCTTTCTCCCTCTGTAACTTCCTGAAGACCTGGCATCTAACTGACCTCAAAGTCAGGTAGAGTTGAGGATGGGCCCGGAAGTTGCCTCTTTGGTGATCAGAAAAATCACTAGAAAAATGGACATCAATCTACTCAACTCCCAGTGCCTCCACTTGCAACTTTAGGGCACTATTACTTTGTGCTAGTTTGCCCTCTCCTTGACCCGCAGGTCCTGACAACTCCCGGTAAGAGCACTTCTAATAAGAATTCAGCCTAGATCTTTACAATTCAAACACCCCAGTCCACTGCGGCCTGGGGCTGCGGGAGTTCCATGGGGTCAGGGGCAGCCCCATCCTGACTCTTCAAGGTACCTCCCCTCCCTGCTTCCCCTACGCCAGGAGGCAGAGTCCCAGAAGCCAGACTCCTCCTATGACTACTTGGAAGAGATGGAAGCTTGTGAGGACGGAGGCTGCCAAGGGCCGCTTAAATCGCTGTCCCCCAAGTCCTGCCGTGCTACCAAAGGCCAGGCTGGCGACGGACCCAAACCCGCAGAGCTGCCCCCGACCCCTGGGACTGAGCGCAATCCCGAGATGGAGCTGGAGAAGGTGCGCATGGAGTTCGAGCTCACGCGGCTCAAGTACCTGCATGAGAAGAACCAGCGGCAGCGGCAGCACGAGGTGGTGATGGAGCAGCTGCAGCGGGAGCGGCAGCACGAGGTGGTGATGGAGCAGCTGCAGCAAGAGGCGGCGCCCCGCCTGGTGGGTGACAAGGAACGGGGCACTGGGAGGAGGGAGGCCTGGAGCTGAAGTCCCATGGGGCCTGGAGCAGGCGCCCACCTTCCCTGCTTTGCGCGGCACCCCACCCTGCAGATCCTGGATCTCGGCTGAAAGGGGCTGAGCATCCACTCGGGCGGTCTCCAGCCCTCTCCGCCTTGGCTCACTTCCAGAGATGTCTGCTCACTGCCTTAAAGCTCGCTACCCTACCTGGCCAGCTCTGTTAAACAGAGCTTCCACGGGAAGCTGAGATGTGACTCTCTAAGGAGAGCTGAGGCCGGGAGGGTCCCCAGAACCACATCGCCCACCCGACAGCCTTTTTGGTAGCTTCAAGGAAAAGTCTTCAACATTTCCTCCCTCTTCCACCGCTCACAAGTCCTCTCTGCATCTCTTAAAATTTGATGCCTGGAGACTAGACCCAGAATCCCCACTGCACCCTGGCCAGTGGATTTTGATAGAACCATCACCTCCCCGATCAGGGCTATGTTTATTCTGTTGGATCATACTGCCTTCTAGTCAACTGAAACAGCCATCTTTTCACAAGAAGTACACCACTGTTCCCTAATCTGTATTAAATGGGGGATAAGAATGCCTACTTGAGATTAAATGGGATGTGAAGAGCTTAGCACAGTGGCTAGGCTATCATAAGCATTCAATAGTGGAAGATGTTGTTTAAAGCAGTGTTTCCTGCACTTTAAAGTCAGAAAGTCCTGGATTAAAATGCCAGTTATAAACTCCCTGACATTGGGCAAATTACTAATTTCCTTTGAGCTTTGGCTTGCTCATCCATGAAGTAGTACCTACCTCACAGGGTTGTTGTCAGGAATCAATGAGAGAACACACGCAAAGCACTTTGCAATTAGCCCAGCACATTAGGTAAGCACTCAATAAACGTTAGCTACTACCATTTTTATGTACTCATGCAATTCACTTCTTGACCCAAATGCAACAACATACATTTATCACTTTTCAGTTTTATTGGGATATGATGTATTAGCTGTGCTTCCCAGCTCTGAGTCATCCTCAGTTCTGAGAACCATGCCTTCTGCCTTTATCCAAATCATTGCTGTAATTGTTGAGGAGGAAATGACCTAAAGTAAATACCACTAAATGTCTCTGTATAGGTTGGCAATGTTCCATTAATCATCACCCTTGAGTTACATTTTATCCTGCTCACATTTCTCCACCTTATCCAAAAAACGGAGACGCACTGTCAAATGGTTTCCCAAAATTAAGATATTACATTACCTATAGCATTTCCCCAATTGACTGGTCCAGTTTTGTTTCTGTTTTTTTAAGAAAGTAAGGTTGGTTTTGCATCATTTGTTCTCAATGAGCACGTGCTGGCTTCTTAAACAATTATCTTTTTTTCTGTTCACAAAATACCTGCTTCATTATAAACATGAAATGATTTCACTGAACTCAGTCAAGCTTACTGAACTTGGATTTCCAGAATCTTCCCCTGCCCCCACACCCTTTTTGAAAAGTCTAGAAAACATTTGCCTATTGCTTAGACTTTAGCACACTTCCTAATATTTTTGAATTCTAAGTTCCATTTGCAAACTTGTGACTTTTCTCAGTAGCCTGGGATAAAATCTGTCACAAAGTGGAACCTGAAACTATTTAAAGCAGATATGATATTGTAACTATGCCTTTGGCCTGTGTCTCCTCCTAACCATATTTATTTTACCCCCTTTTCAGTTTGAAAATCTTTCTCCTTGCTGGATGAGATGGAAATCTTTGGTATATAGTCCTCTCTCTATTTCTCTCTTCTGCTCAAGAATTAGAACATTGAAAGTATTTTGAAAAGTCTAAAGGGTTTCACAAGCACTTTCTTTTTTAATGAAAGTCATAATGATCACTCATCAGCATTTCAGACTGAAACACGTGCAGACTGCAGACAGGTGGCAAAGTCCAGGGGTCCAGAGCCATACTGAGCCTGCAGAGAACCGTCGGGTCAGCCCCGTCCTCCACTCCCATTAGAACACTGGATTGCTTCCTCTGGTCTCCAACCTTCCTAGCTATTCATTTTAGAGGCAGCATCATCAGGTCATTTTCTGTCCCCTCAGTTTGGTCTAGTTGCCCTCACATTTTATGCAGCTGTTTCAACAGTGATGTGTCCCCATCCTCCAGCCTTTGGTGATAGTTTACAAAAGTGCTTACTTTTTGTGCATTTACTAAAAATTGGGGAGTTGACTTGATGTTGTACCTTCCTCTCTTCTCTTTTTCTGGGAGGGTGAATAGATGGACGGACAGAGAGAGTGTATTGAATTGAAAATACCTCTTTGAGTGTGTTTCTAGCTAGTTTAGGGCATCTCGGTCCCTGCCACCTGGTGCTTTCCAAAAATATGCCATGATTTTTACAAATATTTTAAAAAATAATGCATGGGTTATGCCCTCTTAACTATGGATCAAAATAATATCAGCTTTTGCCTTACTTATACATTGATACTTTCTACAGTTAAAATGAAGACTGTTGGGCCCCAGTTATATAGATTCAAGAAAAGAGCAACCCACAGACAGAATTAGCCAGACAACTCAAGCTGCTTTCCCCCAGCCCAAATACTCTGAGGGTTTAGGGAGACCCCATCACCTATCTCTCAGCACCTGCCTCCAAGAGACACCAAACCCTGGACTGAAGGACCATGGGCTGACCCACGTGATATGTGTCAGGACCCAGGGAGTGAGAAACAGTCATTTATATGCAAGGGACACCATGTCATTGGGCCACTGTCCAGGAAACTAGGTTGAATGTCAGGGCACTGTGAGAGAACACTCCCAAGACCCAACATCCACATGTGGGGCTCTTGGAGTCAGAGGGAGAAGACCCACGTGTGTGGCTCCAATGGGCCGTACAGACCATAAAGAGAAAGGAAGGTGGTGGCCTGGCGCCCCAGTCAGGAGGGATAAGAGCAGCTCAAAAAGTAAAAAATGATGAGTTCCTTCTATGTGCTAGTTACCTGACTAGGAATGTTCATTATCTCACTTTTCCTCCTTGTGATCTTTTGTTTTGTTTTATTTTTTTAAGAAACAGGATCTTGCTGTCTCACCCAGGCTGAAGTTAGTGGCATGAGCATAGCTCACCATAACCCCGAACTCTTGGGCTCAAGTGATCCTTCCACCTCAGCCTCCCAATAGATGGGACTATAGGCACACGCCACCAGATTTGGCTAATTTTTAAATTTTTTTTTATAGAGATAGGGGTCTCACTACATTGCCCAGGCTGGTCTCAAACTCCTGGCTTCAAGCAATCCTCCCACCTTGGCCTCCCCAAGTACTGGGATTATAGGTATGAGCCACCTTGCCCAGCCCTCATGATTTTGGAAATGGGCACTATTACCCTTTCTTTAGGTGAAGATGATGACTTGAGGTCACATACAGGCAGGGTCAGAGCAGGACTGAACCTAGATCTGCCTGGCGCCAACAATGGCATCATCATCTCCACTGTCTTCTCTCCCCCACAGTTTTCAGGAGGCCTCCAGAACTTCCTGCTGCCCCAGAACCAGTTTGCCATGTTCCTGTACTGCTTCATCTTCATTCACATCATCTATGTCACCAAGGAGATGGTCTTCTTTCTCTTCGCCAAGCACTACCTATTCTGCATTGCAGCCATTTTGCTCTGTTTGATTAAAACTTTCTGGTCATACTTCCAAGTGCCTTTGCTCTCTCCCTCACTGGGAACCCTCGCCCCTGCCATGCTAGAGTGTTATCCGTGCATGATCCCAGCCTCCCAGGCACCTCCTTTTTTCACTTTGTGCCTCTGTCCAATCAGAATCCACTCTTAGGAAGGGCCCTGCTGTCAGTCATTTACACCTGAGAGTGAAGAAACACGTTCATGCCCCTTATACAGAAACTGAGTTCTCACTGTGGACATGATGCCTTATCCCAAGAGGACGATTTCAGATGTTAGCAGGTCAGGGAGATATCTGCAGGGAAGGTGGGTTTAGAACACCTTTCCAGAACCATAGAAGTACATCATGACCAAGCTGGCTTGGGTTTCACCACATCTACTCATGTTCATAGACCTCTGAGGGGTGGGAAGCCTGTGATTTGCTTGGGAGCAGCCCCCGCCCCCATCTTCTGCAAAGATGTCCATGTCCTAATCCCCAGGATCATGAATACTTTATATGGCAAAAGAGGCTGAGATGTGATTGTGTTTAAGGACCTTGCAGTGGGGAAATGATCCCAGATTATCCAGGTAGGCCCGCGGTAGTCACAAGGGCCCTTGTAAAAGGGAGGCAGGAGGGTGCGAGTCAGAAAGGAGATGTGACCATGGAAGCAGGGGCCAGAATGACGTGGGACTGCGGGTCAGGGAACATGGGAAGCCTCTAGAAACCAGAAAAGGCAACAGAAGGATTCTCTGCTAGAGCCTCCGGAGGGAGCCCAGCCCTGCCACCCCATGTTAGGCTCCTGAAGCCAAGATGCCCAAGCTCCCTCCAGCTTGCCAACATGGCAGGATACCATCACCAGGCCACTGGCCAGGACTCATTTAGCACTGGGCCTGAGGAGACTTGTACACAGCTGGCCTTCAGACAGCATATGGTCAAAAAGGAGAGGCAGTGAAGCTCCAGCGAGCCTGGCACAGGCCTAGCTGAACCTGGTGGACAAGGGGTACCCCTATCACTAAGCTGTGTATCCCCTGGGTGAGGCATGTGGCAAAATAAGGGCATACTCCTAGGGGACATAAGGAAGGAGGAATTAAGTGCCTGATTAGACCCAGAGGACGTCATTAATTCTACTCTATTAGAAAGCTGGACATGGAAAAAAAAAAAGTTGACACACACCCCCACCCCGTACCCACCTACTAACCCAAGCACACAGACTCACAAAAATGCAGAAAGGCTAACCCAGAAACAAATACACTGACACAGAGATACAAAACAAGTATACAGTTGTCCACAGTAGAGAGGTTTACAGCCCCTCAAATAAACACACAACAACCCAAAGGAACAGACTTTGAACACCAGAAGGCTCACGGTCAGGCACAAAGTGAAGCTGCCCTGCAAGTATGCAACAAAGGGGTTCAACTCCCCCAGTCACCAGCCCCTCAGCCCTTCAATACACACACTCCTTGCAGACTGTCGGCTACTCTGAGCCCAGCAGCCCAGCCACGATGGCTGGCTGTGCCACAGGACACTTTAGTGATAATGTGGCAAACTGAATGAGGCTGGACACAGCTGTGCAATTAATCAAGTCTTTACTGACCCCTTCTCTCCTCTGGCATAGGGCTCTGCCTTAAGAGTGACAAGAGAATAAGTTTCTGTCTCATTGGGCTCTCGAGCGACTCTCAGTAAAATCACGTGAAAAAAATGACTGCCTTGGGACTTCAATGTCAGTACACATTATCATGCCATGTAAGTCCATGGTGACTTCTCATTTCCCACCCAACTCCATATATCCAATCCCATTGATAGCTGCATGTGACAGGTACTTAATTTGGAAGTGATAAAAGTATCATTTCTCATTAAACTTTCAAGGAAGGGCCGTTGTGGTATGGGTCACTTCTTCTGATCATTTTATTTGATCTGGGTTTCTGCCCCATGGGGTTGAGGTGAGAGAGATGGAGATAAGGATAGCAAAAAGTTTAAGGTCCACCTGTTTACCTTCTTAGAGCAGACAGAACTGGGCATTTATAAAACACACACACACACACACACAAACCAAAACACCCAAGTGCGTAAGGTCATTTAATCCATCCATCTGTTGCCAGGTAAAACTAGACTTAAATACATTCATTTTTCTTAATCTTCAGAGAAAGTAAACTCCCCTGAACGGTTAAGTGAGCATCTCATCCCACATGTTTAGCCACAGGCATGAAATCTACTCTTCCCTATTGTGTTTGAATACTGAAGCCACTAGCCTCAGATCTGCCCTCTAGGAAAATGAGAACTACTCATGGTCACTCCCTAAACTTAGAACAGATCTTCTGATTCAAATGCAAAGCAGAAAATCAGAAGAGAGAGGGAGGCAAAGGATAGGAAAAAGGCCCAGCTAAGCAGTTACCAGCCAGGTAACAAGCCAATGTACAAGCGCCTCTTCAGCACCAATGCTAACATACCATGCGCCCTAAGTCCCTAAGGAGGCTATCTTCACCAAAACCCTGCAGGTAGAAATGTATATCATCTCCACTTCACAGCCAGGGATACCGAGGTTCAGAGACGTTAGACTTAACTGAGATCATCCCAGAGCACATGTTCTTTCCATGTTACCCTGCTCCCAAGATCCTACCTTGGGAGGATCTCACAACCTTGCTGGGGAGATGAGTTTAACACACATGAAAATGTAAAGCAGCTATCAGTACACAGACCTCAGCTATAAACGAGATCATAGAAGAGCTCCCTGGAGCCCTGGGTGATAGAGGAAGTCTTCTTAAAAGACGAGCTCATAAGGCTAGGTAAGCCCGAACAGGTGGAAATCAGGAGGGATACCTCACACAAATGAAGATTAGGGTGGGAGTGTGTAACGTGTATCCAGGAGGGAAGGGTCACTCTTGCTCCAGGGAATGGTGTACAAGGTAACAGGCCTGGAAAATTGGTTTGGGGCTAAGTGTTAGGGAGCCTTGAATATTGGTCTGAGGAATATAAACTTAATCCCTTGGGAAATAGGCAATACACTAAAGATTATAGAGTGGAATAGTAATTCAAAACAGATAAATAAAAGCCTTCCTCCTCCTTTAATTCCTGGGGGCCGCTTTTTTGCCTGGACCTTCCCGTTTCCAGACCAAAAACTTTCTGAGGTCCTGCGTTTGAGGATTACTTTCAGCTGTAAAAGAAATCCAGCCACAATGGCTTCACCAAATAGAGGTTTGTGTTGCTCACATACCAAGAAGTCCCAGGTAGTCCATCCACGGCTGGTGAAACTGCTCTCAGAAGTCATAGAGGACTCAGGTGGTGCCTTCCTCCACCACCACAGGGCTCTTATCCTCAGCCCATGGCTTCCCGCCTCAGTGTCAAGTTGGCTGAAGCAGCTCCAAGTACCAGGTCCGTTACTCCAGGTCAGAAAAGGAGCCGCCTTTTAAAAGCATCCCAGGAAGCCCCACCCAGAGACTTCTGCTTCCGTGCCATTGGTCAAACTAAGGTCATGTGGCTGCACCTATCTGTAGGGTGTCTGAGGTGGTAAGGTTTTTGCGTGGACACTGTTGCAGCCTCAAACAGAATTAGAATTCTGATAGTATGAGTGGAGGGGGGAGATACTGAATTAAGCAAATAACTGGTGTATCATCCCTAATTCCTTAGGCCCAGCTCCCACTCCCTTCCTGAGCTGCTGAGCCAGAAAGCCTTGATGGGGTTGAAACCATCAGATGGAGCACAGCCGTAGCCAATCTGGGCCGGGCCACTGCTGCACTCTGCTTTAAGGAAGAGTACTGCATACCACAGCAGGGAGGTCATGGTTTTCCCTGGCCACACGCCTGGAGCCACTCTGCCTTCATCCTCCTGACCTCTGCCTGAAGCCCATGACCTGACACAATCAGGGCAGCAGACTGGGAAGGGCACTCCTCTCTGTGCTGGGTGCCCTCAGCAGAGCTGCAAGGGGAGGCAAGTTGGACTCCAGAGCCCCTTCCCTTCCTGATCCCAGATCCCACAGAGCAGAGCCCAGAGACAGTCAGGGGACTGTGATCATCCTATGGACACCAAGCTGCTAAAGTCTATGTATAAGAGATTGCACTCATTGCAAAGGACCACTAAGCTTCAGCCCAAATAATGAAGCACTAATAGTAAAGTTTCAGGCAGGCTTAGGGAGAGAAAGATGGGAAAATCTCTCCTGTTCCCTAAATGGAATATTGTAGGCTGCCCTCCTGAGCCCAAGGACAGGACTACAGTTGGAGAGACTCGGGGGCAGGAGGGTTAAGCCTTGATTCCAAAGGCCACTTTCCTGCCATGTCTATTTCTAGTCCCAAGTTAGCAGATGACTTGTAAGTAAGCAAGTCAGTTAAGTTTTCTAGGCTTCATTTGGGCGACCTCTAAATTATCTAGACTCTAACTCAGAAAAAAGAAGGACCAAAGTCTAGAGATTGTTCGAGAAATTCTGATTTAATTGATCTGAGATGACATCCAGAGATGATTTGTTAGCCTTACAAGTGCCCCAGTTGATTCTAATAAGCAATCAGGGTTGAAAGACCTAAATCCTTGCTCTTCAATGTGTGATCTGTGGATCAGCAGCATCGGCGTCTTAGAAATGCAGCATCCCAGACCCTGCCCCAGACCCACTGAAGCAGATGTGGTTTGACAGTACCCACCAGCCCCCAGCAATTCATATGCATCTTAAAGTCTGGGAAGCCTGTTATAGGTGATGAGACTCAATGCAATCTGTCCTGGTCTGTCCTGGGCTAGCGCGGTGGCTCACGTCTGTAATCTCGGCCATTTGGGAGGCCGAGGCAGGAGCCCAAGAGCTCAAGACTAGGCAAGGCAACATAGGGAGATCCCATATCTCCAAAAAAAAAAAAGCCAGGTACGGTGGCATGCACCTGCTGTCCCAGCTACTGGGAAGGCTAACAAGGGAGGATCACTTGAGCCTGGGAGGTTGAGGCTGCAGTGAGCTGTGAT
The DNA here is from genome assembly GCF_000001405.40 of Homo sapiens. Taxonomy (NCBI): domain Eukaryota; kingdom Metazoa; phylum Chordata; class Mammalia; order Primates; family Hominidae; genus Homo; species Homo sapiens. The sequence goes on from NC_000002.12 coordinate 46,489,323, forward strand.
CGTGCCACTGCACTCCAGCCTGGGGGACAGAGCAAGACCCTACCAGAAAAAAAAAAAAAAAACAAAATCTGTTCTCTTTATGAAGACAATGCTCTTGGCCAGGAGGGTCTTCTAGGGGGAATGAGAGGGAGAACAACCGAGTGCACAGCCCTTCAGAAGTGCTATGGGGTTTCCATTAACCTCTGCCGCAGGCTAGGGGTGGCAGGAGCTTACTGTGCCACATCAGGAAGCTGAGCCTGTGGCAGCATATCTGCCCCTCCTCCCTTTCACCAGTTCATGCTCTGGGCTTCTGGGGAACCAAATGATTTCACCCTGCAGGCCAGGGCTGAGCAGAAAGTTCCAGAATGCCCTCAGGCCTGTGTCTGCTTCTGTCCCTTTTTTGATCTGACTCCCACGTGTAGCTTTGGGGAAATCTTGCTAATATACGTTCATTCATTATTTAAAGGTTGCTGCTGTTCTTCAGGAAGGTTAAGCATGATTAAAAGATGGGATTTTTCCACAGGGCACAGCAGAAAAGCTAGGGCTCCCACATTTTTAAGCTGTTTTGGCCAAGCCTTGTTGCATAATTCAAAGTCTGTGATTTACTTAGATTTAATTAGCCAAAGGAGCAGCAGCTGCAGGTTCATTAGTTAGTATTTATTAAGCGCCCTCAGAGGGCTTTTTAGGCTCTTAAGAGTGAAGTGGAGGATGGGTTTCGGACTTGCAAATTTCTTACACTTAAGTAGGAGGGGATTACAGATAGCTTCAGGAGGTAGGCATTTTTGTTCCTCAAAGAGAGCAAAGGGGTGGCATCAAAAGGCCTGAGCTCGTGGGGCAAATCCTACAAAGGGCCACGAGTCAGAGAGATGTCAGTCCCTCACAGGGTTATAGTGACAATTAGTGAGATAACAAGGTGGAGGCTGGTGGTGAATAAGAAGCTACACAGATGAGAGGTATCAGCCAGAGCAGGGAAGGGAAGTGACTGCTAACCTGAATTTCAAGAACTGGGAGAGGTGGGGAGGTCCGGCTCCTGAATTTGTGGGCCCAGTGCAAGAGGACAATGCAGTGTCCCATCATGAATTCCACGACGGTGACAGCAGAGCATTAAGCCATGTGGAGAGCCCCCACTGAGAGCAGGGCCCTGTGCCACTGCCCTGGCGGTGGATGACGGAGACCCCAGGGTTAAGGGGCTTTTGTGGTGCCTCTCAAATCTCACCCAGAGAGTGACTATCCTTGGCCTGTACTCCATCAACAGGAGGGAGGGAGGGAGCAGGCTCTGTGCATTTTGCAGGGGCAGGGACCGTTGGAGCAGGCCATTGGAGGAAGGAGTCTGGTGGCCCCAGGGCAAGTGGCCCCTGCATGCCTTCCAGCTCTGGGCGCAGAGTCTGCCTGCAGAGGCGCCTCTTCACAAGCAGGTCACGCTCTAGGCTTCCAGCTGCTAATCACAGGGGCTCTCCAGCTTGGGTGCATTTCCTCCCTCTGCTCCTGGCTTCCGCCCCAGTCCCATTCAGCTGATCATTCTCCGCTGGGCTAGAAAATCCAAAAATAGAAGAAAGCTACACTTTTTACCCCCTTGAGCCTCTTGTATCAAATGACACAGTCACTTTGCCTCAAACTTTTCATCAAAGCAGCCTTTGTAAGGTCCTGGGGCAGAAAGCAGGCCTTGGAAGACAGCCACCAGGAAGCCATGCAGAAAGTGCTGAGCAGGGGGACCCTTGGTGGAGGAGGTGGGGAGGGCAGGGTTTCAGGAGCTTCCCTCTGCCCCAGAAAGAGCCAGTGACAGACACTTGCTACCATGGGGCAGCTCTTCTCTGAGCACCAGCTCTAGCTTCAGGTCTTGGAAGTGCAAGAGCAGCAAATAGTGTGGCTGCACAGACCACCCATTGCCAGGGTTCAACAACCAGACCACAGAGCTCAATCAGTGATTAAGGAGCAATGATTGATCAATCAAATAAACAGAAGGAGTGTAAGAGACGATCTGAGAAAGGCTCTGTGAGCTAAAGCATTCTGTGACGGCTTCTTGAAAAGGAAGCTCACCCTTGCCGAATACCTAGGATGTATTGTACCCTGTCCAACACTCTCATGTCATCTATTTTATCCCATAGCCCTCCATGAAGGAGCACTGGTACGCACTAGATTAATCTGCCCAGGCTGCTCTAACAAAATACCACAAACTGGGTGGCTTCAGCAACAGATGCTCATTTGTCCACAGTTCTGGAAGTTGAAAGTCCAAGATCAAGGTGTTGGCAGGTTTGGTTTCCTCTGAGGCCTCTCTCGGCTTGCAGATGGCTGCTGCCTTCTCACTGCATCCCCACGTGGTCTTCCTCTCTGTGTGCATCCCTGGTGTCTCTCTGAATGTCCAAATTTCCTCTTCCAAGGACACCAGTCAGATTGGATTAAGCCCTCATTTTAACGCCATGACTTCTTTTTTTGATTTCAATAGTTTTTGGGGTACAGGTGGTTTTTGATTACATGGATAAGTTCTATAGTGGTGATCTCTGAGATTTTGGTGCACCCATCACCCGAGCAGTGTACACTGTACCCAGTACGTAGTCTAAAGCCCCTATCTCCAGATGAGGTCACATTCTGAGGTTTCGGGGGTTAGGACTTCAACACTTGAATTTTGAGGGGAGATAATTCAGCCCATGACGCCCACTTTGCTGATGAGAAATCAGACTCCGAGAGGTTCAGGAATTGCCCAAGCTTGCTCAGCCAGGAGGTACCAGAGACCAAGTGTGGCAAGGAGCTGAAAGATGATTGGAAGAAAACAAAGAACCGTGCTGCGTCTCATTCATTTAGGTTTGTGAACAAAGGTTCCGAGCTGGTTTGATAACATGGGAAGAGAACTGCTACTCCATTTCAGATGGCATTGTGTGGCCCCCTGTATATCTCTCTAGATATGTGTAGCTGGGGTAGTGGCTCCAGAGTTTTTCTGCTTATGAATCTACCCTTTTATTCTAACTGTTCCCGTGTTTCTTTTTTGTTTGTTTTGTTCTGTTTTTTTGAGACAGGGTCTCGCTCTGTCACCGGTGCTGGAGTGCAGTGGCGCAATCTCGGCTCACTGCAGCCTTGCCCTCCTGTGTTCCCACACTTCCCTCACCAAGCGCTAAGGAGGAAAATGTCTTTGAGAGGGGACAGATGTAAGGCCTCACTCACTGGCCCACCTGACCCACACACCTGCCATTTCATGAGTGGCAGCAGATCTATACTCAAAGGCCTCGGTAACTCCCTCTGGATCCCACCCCATGTCCTCTCCTAGGTCCCCTAAGACGGGAGAGTCAGTCTGTAACTGGCAGCCTGGGGTCTTCCCTCTTCAATCTGCTATGCCTGGCTCTTTTTCTGAAGACCAGGTTGGTATGTCCACTCTGAGACAGGAGTAGGTATAAGAAAGAAGAGGGAGGTGGTTGGGTAAGAGAGAAACCCTATACAGTTCACTCAGGCTGACTTTCACTTCTGAGCAATCTCCATAGCCTCACATACATAAAGCCCATAATATTTGAGCTAGCCTGAGTGGGTTCCAAGAAAACAATGATTGGAAGACTCTGGAAGCACAGTAGTTGGTAGAAAGCTCACCTGCTCTCAGGTATCAGGCCAACTTCAAAAGAACTCCAGATGACTGCCCTTAAGCAAACTCTATGCACTGTGGGAGAATCCTTGTTCTCAAAACAGATCAGTTAGGAAACTGAGCATGGTGGCTCATGCCTGTAATCCCAGTACTTTGGGAGGCCAAGGCGGGCAGATCACCTGAGATCAGGAGTTCAAGACCAGCCTGACCAACATGGCAAAACCTCATCTCTACTAAAAGTACAAAAATTGGCCTGGCATGGTGGCATGCGCCTGTAATCCCAGCTACTCGGGAGGCTGAGGCAGGAGAATTGTTTGAACCCAGTAGGTGGAGGTTGCAGTGAGCCGAGATCGTGCCACTGCACTCCAGCCTGGGTGACAGAGCAAGACTCCATCTCAAAAACAAAAACAAACAAACAAAAACAGATCAATTAGGGCCAGGGTCAGAAGCTCAGATGCCAGGAGGGCCCAGGTGGGCCAGATAAAAGTGGGAAGCTGGCCAGGCATAGCTGACTGGAAAGGAAGAAGCCGTAAAGCAGGAAGCCTCTACTCCTTTTTCCCTCCTTCCCATCTTCACCATGTGGAGATACATGCCCCATGTCCAACTCAAGGGCAGCCAGAAATCCAGACTTTTATGTGATACCTGCTGATTTTTAAATGTTGGTTCAATTTTCTTTAGCCACTATACAGACCTAACAAAAGTCCACGGGGCCAACAGCTCACAATCTCTGAACTCGAAGTGTTATTTCCTTTATGATAAAGTCTCTGTTTCACTCAGAGACACGCTGGGGGATTTCGTTAAACAGAAGACACTCCTAGTACAAAAATAGAATGTGATTCACTCTCTAACAATGTTTAAGCACAGAAGCCGCAGTAAGGGATGCTTCTTCCCTTCACAAATTGCCTCACCTTGAGGTGTTTCAAAAGACAGATCTCTTAATGCATTTCAAATCAGGTTAGAGTGGCAAAAATCTAATTTTCATACAACTTCTTGAAGAAAGATGGCAATTTCACTAAAGCCTGGATCAAGATTAAGGAAGGCATGAAACAGAAGCCTGGGAGCAGGAAAATGAGGCGGGAGAGGGTGGCGGGGTGGAGGGTGAAAAGAAGGTGAAGCTGCATGCCCAGGCTCAGTGTTTGCAAAGAGGCTGGCAACCGCGGTGTGAAGCCAGTCAGACAAAGAGCAGTGGGGCCTGGGGACCCGAGTGAGCAGAGAGGGGAGGAGAAGGAGGGAGCATCATTGGTTTCCATGGTGACAAAGGAACAGGGATGGGAAGAAAGAGTGAGGGGGATGTCAGAGAAGAGCTATGTTGTGCTGCTGCCTATAACAAAGTCTTCTTTACCCGGACACCCTTGTCTATGATTTCTTGGCCCCTCTGATACTTCCCCCATCCTGATTCTCTGCTCATTCCTGGCATGAATAAATTACTATGAAATTAAGGACATTTAGATCCTAAACATGGATGTGATGGATGAATGGGTACCTACTTACTGAGCCTCTGTCTCCAAAAGGCCTCTTGGATTCAAAATATTTTCTCCAACGTGCTTCCGTAAAGCCCATGATTCCACCATTAGGGCAACATTGCTTATACTAAGGCTTTGTTCGTGTTCAATGATAAACCCTCATTAAGAGGGGGAATATCTGGGCTATCAATTTCTAGGGTCTCATAAGGAATTGATTTATCATATGTAACGACATGTATGTAACGATAAGTATTTAACGGGATCCCGGCTTCAGCCTAAGAATGTCCACTACTAGGGCTCAGGCCTACCTAGATATGCATGATAAACTGGTGGGGCAGACCCTAGACAGGACAGTTCATAGGATGGTTCCAGTAACATCTGCTGCGTGTGTCCGGCATTTATTTCCCCTTGATTTTCTTTTGGGCCACTCCCTCTTCCTCAATCTTAGTCCATGAGGTTCAGGTTAACTGACGTCTAGTCAAGGGGTAGGCCCAGGACCCAGATCTGGCCAACCAGGGTATTCCATCTTCTGGCCAAAATGACTGGTTAATATGTGGACACATGACCCAAGCCTGACCAATGAGTTTCAAACCTGGATGTTTTGCCGAAACTCTTGGAAAGATGAGCTCTTATTCCATTGGCTACTAAGCTGGTAGACTATGTGTCCAGAGATGCTGTTGGTCATCTTGTTCCACTTGGGGAAAGCCTACCTGAGAATAAAATCGATATGGAGAAAAGCAGAGCCAAGATATGGGAAGACAGATGGAGAAGGAGGGAGAGAGAAAGTGATTTCTTGATGACATGATTTGGGTCCCTGGATCCACCTGAGATAAGAGCTATCCCTAGACCTTTCAGCTTCCATTTTTGCTGTTAACTGATTTGAATTGGGTTTCTCTCACTCACAACCAAGAATTCTGAATCCTGCAAGGGCTTTCTCGTTATATGACTTGGCACCTCAGCTCAGCAACAGCTAACATAGGAGATACCATGGCATCTGTGCCCAGCCTGTTCTATAAAGAAAGATGTATTCATGAACCTAACCAAGGGAGTCTGAGGGAGATGTAGAGAAGCAGAGCCATTGGAACATATGTAAGCACGTGTGCCCGTCTTCAGGGAAGGGAGCCATTTCCCCACTTCTTGAGAGAAAACAGCCCTCCTCTAGCACCACGAAGGGCTTGATGATGGTGCCAAAGGAAGTGGCAGCAGGGCCTGGCTGAGAGGGGATGCCCAGCGGGAAACTCCACAGACACAGCATATGCTGTGCGCTGCCAACATACAGAGCACTGCGCTCGCAGGATGGTCCATGAAAGGTCTGGAAGCAGCCCAGGTGTCAATCAACCAGTGGGTAGGTAAATAAAATGTGGGATATCCATACAATATTTGGCAATAAAAAGGGATGAATTACTGATTCCTGCTATAACATGGATGAGCCTTGAATATATTATGCTAAGAAGCTAGTCACAAAGAGCCACATGTATGATTTCATTTACATGGAATGTCCAGAATAGGCAAGTCTGTAGACAGAAAGTAGATTCATGGTTGCCTAGGGCTCGAGGAACAGAGGGATTTGGCAGTGACAACTAAAAGGTACAGGGTTTCTTTTGGGGTAAAGAGATGTTCCAAAATTGATTGTGCTAGTGGTTGGTTGTTCAGCTCTATGAACACAGTAAAAACCACTGAAGAATCAGTACTTTAGAGGGTGAATTGCATGGTACGTGAATTATCTCAATAAAATTGTTACCAAAAAAAACCAAGGTTCTTGAGATACCTGCCCAGTTTGTGTGTGATGGGGGTGAGGGTCGGGGATTGGCCTCCAGAAGGCAAGGGCATATCACATAGCTGCTGTCACTCTGGGAGGCAGTACTGCCCTCAGACCTGGACAAGAGGGACCTTGCTCTGGGCATGCACTTTAAGAGGCCTCTACTCTGGCTCTCCTCCAGCCTGACTCTTCTCTGTGGGGTAAGGAGTCTCCAGGACCCAGTGGCTGTCTCCACCCATGCTCACACCTCCTTCCTCTTTCCTAGACCATACTCTGGGTATACAGGACCCTGGAATTACTTGCCCAAAAGGCCTCAGATCTGTCTCTAGAAACTGCAGGCCATGGCCAGGCACAGTGGCTCATACCTTTAATCCCACCACTTTGGGAGACCGAGGCGGGCAGATCACCAGAGGTCAGGAGTTCGAGACCAGTCCGGCCAACATGGTGAAACCCCTCCGGGAGTGGTGGTGGGCGACTGTAGTCCCAGCTACTTGGGAGGCTGAGGCCAGATAATCGCTTGAACCCGGGAGGTGGAGGTTGCAGTGAGCCGAGATCGTGCCACTGCACTCCAGCCTGGGTGACAAGAGCAAGACTCTGTCACCAAAAAAAAAAAAAAAAAGAAAACTGTAGGCCATAAGAGGTGTGATTGGAACTTGGATATGGAGTCTGGAATGCCCGTATCAGGCTCCCCAAAGATTAAGGCAGAGCTCAGTGTGACAGGAGGAGGGCAGGCCATGGGCTATGAGCTGCAGGCTCCGGGGTCAGCGATGGGGAAGGCCTGCAGCCAGATCTCCCCACAACCACAATGTTTCAGCATGGCTATCTCAGGACAATGAGATTCTAATTCAAACTTGACCTTCCAGGTCATTATGAAGATTTGTCAAGATAGGGGGCTACAGCATTTGACAGTTTGCTATTAACGGATTATAGTTAAACATATGTCAACACAATGTTTGTGGATCTCCTTTGGTCCTCTTGTCCTAGGTCCCCACAAATGTTAGGCACTGACTTGCTGGGAGGTGCTGTATTTAAGAGAGAAATCTATCAGAGCTTTTCTTTATAGCAAATCGCGGTGTGGGGTTTTCTCAGGTTGCATTTACGGATTTGGGAAACGTAATTCATAGACTCCTTGCTCCAGGCTTAAAAAAAAAAATAGCTAACACATGGCTGCCTGCAACCTTGAAGTTTAATGATTTCTTTCAATGACATCTTCTCAGCTGAGCCCAAGGATTGAGGCGTGTGCTGAGGCTGGAGACTAGGGTAGTTCTATGAGCCATGCATGCTAGGGAATTCCATGTCAGTCTGGCTGTCTTTAGTTTATTTTTTTAAGGTATAATGTAATAGAGTCCATTTGGCAGGGAATTCCAGCAGAAGCGTATGAGAAACATCTCAGAGCAGGGCTGGGGGCAGGCCAGAGTATCCGTTCATCCTTCTTCTACATCTATCCTGAGTGTCCCCAAACCCCCCTGGTTAGGCAGCTGTGCAATGCCAAAAGGTGTCCAGCTGCGGGGACATGTGGGAGCTGAAATCCAGCCCACCCTCCCCTGGCCAAGCTATGCCCCTTGGCACTGGGCTGCATCAGTTGAGAAGAAGGGGAGCTTTTTTCTTAGTACAAAGGTGTCCTGTCCTCCCCACCCCATGGGCTCATGGTGCTGCATCTGCCCAAAAGAGGGTCTTTTTCTAAGGACACAAAGGCACCATGAATGAGCGTGCCCTGGCTGGTGAGGAGAGGGAAGCTAGCAAAGGAGGCCAGTGCTGTGTCTGGGTCCAACAGGACTCTCACTCTCCCTGGCCTTGGCTGACCCCACAATGCTCCCCTCCACTCTGATGGGTCTGTTGCAGACACCACTCTGCCCTTGAGAGGCACCCCATGGAGGAATGAGAAGTAGGTTCTTTCAAGAGCTCAAATCAAGTTGAACCAAAAAGAGAAGGAAGGCTCTGAGAGAAGAGTTTCAGTCTGGAGAGACAGCTGGCGGGCGTGGGGTTCAGATCGGTTTTACTTTTGCCTCCTCCCAAGAAAGGCCCTGAAGAAAGAAGGTCACCCCTCAGGGAGGTCAGCCCTCAGGAGAGTACCTTCCCTCCTGCAAATAAACCTTCAGAACTTGCAGGAACCCCTCACCCCATCGCCTTTCTTTCCTTTGCTCACTAATCCAGGAATGGGCCAGTACAAACTAAGAGGCAGGCACTCTTAAGGATATGAAGATTTTCCAAAGGATACGTATTTTGGTGTGGGTCATTTGAAGAGACTCACGGGACCAAATCCTCAACTTCTGCTTGGCTGTCTTATACAGGTGACCTGTCTGAGTACATGCCAGTGGATGCTGCTGCTGTGGTTCTCCCTCCTGCCTCCCCTTTCTCCCATTTCCCCCCAAAAAGGGCATACCTCTTACCGATCCCACATCTTACCATGGTGCATTGACCAGGGAAAATGTCCAGTGCAGTGAAGGGAGAATCTAAATCCTGGTATCCATGCTGAGAAAATGAGCAGGAGCAACTCTAATGACCGAACAAATCAACTAGCTTTCAATTCCCTGCCTTTACTCAAAGTGAAGGAGAATCAATTCTAGCGGTCAGCTGATAGATTTTTAATGATCGGCCCATATGATTTTTGGCATATAACTCGAAAGGAATTTATACAGTTGAATGACACTGCTATCACCAAAGTCCTTGCATTCCTTTGTCCTTATGTGAAAAAGGTTTCTGAGCTGAGCATCAATTTTTAAAAAAGAAAAACAGGAATAGAATTAATGCTGAACTCTGACCCTTTCTAGCAATAACGATTATTCACCCATGAATATAGGAACTAACTGGGATGAAGAAGGAAGCGTCATTTCCTTAAAAGATGCATTTCAAATTAATTATTCTTTATGCTTTCTTGTTACCTATTACAATTTGTAAAGCATTTGTTTTGATTGTGTACTAGTCATCCTGGTACAAATGAAGACAAAATGTTCTTTAACACTGAGTATATGGTCACAGAAAAATTTAAAAGTAAATTCGTCTTATACACATAGTTTTGTTGGGAAGAAGTATGATAGAGTGAAGGGTGATACATAAAAGACTTTGAACCGTAAAAATATATTCTGCTAAAATTCTGTACGGGAAGTAGAAGAGAAATATAAGTTCAAGGAGAAAAAAAGAAATGAAATTTGTTCAAATTGTTCATGTAGTTTTAAAAGGGATGATGGTTGTATCCAATCACAATAGCATTACATTTAGAAACATTTTTCAGAGTACTGTGACAGTTTTATTTTAAAATGTCAAATATTTGCAATACACCAGAAAGTAGACTCTATGTAACTATTTAAACTTATGAAAACAATTTAAATGTTTGCACCTAAAAATGTGCAAGGGGTACACAGATTTTCAAAATTCTTTTAGGAGTCTGCAAGGAAAATGTTTAGAGAACCAGGGTCACGGAGCTGGCGCTTCCCTGCAAGGGGAGTGTACTTAGACGTAAAACCAAGGGCTCTGGGGATGGGAGGGCACCCTCAAAGTTAGGGGGTAAACTCTCACTGGGGCTGGGTTGGTGGCAAAGGAGCCAAGGCGCTCCCTCTTCACCCTAGCAATACTTTCCTCTGGTCTTTTGTTTTCTTGTTTTATTTTCAGCGTTCCTCTAAAATCCCATTCTCTCCACTACAGATGCTCTGCCAGGTCAGGGTGCGTTCTGCTCTGCGTTTTTCCATCCTGCCTAAACGGTACGTTTCTTCAGGGAAGCCCTCCCAGCCGGCCGCGCCCCCACCCCACCCCGACCCCTGGCTCCCCGAGTCCAATACGGTTTTGCGTAGCTAGGCGCGCGCCGCTTCCTCCTGTTGACTGTGACTTTGGGCCAGTCCTCCCTCCCCAGCTGGCTCCTAAGTTTTCTCATCGGTGTCTGCAAGTCTGTTTCCTCGGCAGTGAGATGTCGATAATCAGAATGAAGTAAGATGAAACCTGGCACGGAGCTTGGCCTGCAGCCAGAACAGGGCACCTAGTTGCATTTAGCAAATGTTTGCTAATTGTGAGGCTAAATCGTCTCGCTTCCCAGTGATTAGAGAAGCCTGGGCTTCCCAGTGCCCAGGAAACCAAGGAGAGTTCCCAAACCCTCACGTATCCTTTGAGTAACTTGCCAACTTGGGGTGATGAAAACGCACTCCCCTCCTCCCGCCGCCGCTGGGTCGGGCTCTGAACGCACGAGCCTCGGAGCTATGAGGTCATACACGGGTCACGTGGCCGCTGTCGCATCTGTCAACTGTGATACAATTACTAAGACTGTCCGGACATTCAAACCTGCTCTCTCCTCCTCCTCCCTCTCCGGTACGCCGGCCCTTTTCACACCAAGGGACCGTCTCAAAAGTCTAGGCTCCAAATGCTACGACGTAAGAAAGGAGGAGAAAGAGGGAGGAAAAAAGTCGAAGACTACACTTCTCGTTGCTGCCGTTTGAAAACTATGCCTAAGCCCCGTTATTTAAAATCCTTTCTGCCAAAGCAAGTTGGCATATGTATTAAGAGCCTTTTAAAAATCGTCATATTCTTTAACTCATTAATTCCTGTTCTAGGATGCTTGCATATGGAAATAGTCCAAACTAGAGCAAAGGTTTACAAAATTCACTCTCTTATTATTAAACTAACTATATATGATGAGAATGAATAAATCAGGTATAAAAGAACAATATGAAAGTCATTTAAAATGCTGATTTTTAAGAATTTTTCATGACATGCAACATGCACCCACCCAATGACAATAGCAAGTATTTGTCATGTGCCAAATGTTCTGCTAAATGCTTTATGTGGATTGACTCTTACAACCTTAAGAGACAGATCATCTAATTCTTTCTTTCTTTCTTTCTTTTTTTTTTTTTTTTGAGGCGGGGTCTTACTCTGTCCCACAGGCTAGAGTACAGTGGCGCAATCATGGCTCATACGGCCTCGACTTCCCTGGCTCAAGCAATTCTCCAACCCAGCTTCCCAAGTAGCTGGGACTACAGGCACTCGCCAACACGCCCTGCTATTTTTAAAATTTTTTGTAGAGATAGGGTCTCATTATGTTGCCTGGACTGGTCTCTAACTCCTAGATTCAAGCAATCTGCCCACCTCAGCCCCCCAAAGTGTTGGGGTTACAGATGTGAGCCACTGCACCCAGCATTCTTCTTCTTCTAAAAACTGGCCTAGACAAAAAAAAATTGCCTAAAGTTGAATAGCTAATAAAGTGTGAAAAATTGAGGGTTACAGTTTATCCAAAGGGATGAACTCTGATTTAGGTTAATTTGAGTCTAGAGCCCAGCCTCTTAGCCTCCACACTCTGAACTGTCTGCCACAATAGTAACTAGGAAGAAATAAGAATACAACACTGCATATACACCATCAGGCCAGTGATGTGTATATATGTGTATACATTTGCCACTACACACAATGTATGCAGAGGAAAAGGATGGGAAGACAGACTCCCACATTTTCACTATGGTATCTCTCAGTGGTACAATCACCAGTGATTTAGATTTTCTTTTAAATTTTCTATAATGTGTGTGTGTGTGTATTAATTTAACAATTAGATAAAATGTTATGTACAGGTCGATTTCACTAAAAAGCCAGGTGCTGATTACAGCAGTATTCATTATAATGAAAACTTGAAAGTAGCTCACATATCAATTACTGTTGATACTCGGGTCACTATTGGATTTGTTAAGTGAGTTATAAAATATATATCTATTGCAATAGTTTGCAGCCATTGAAAATGAAGATTACAAAGACCAAGTGAAACCATTATGTGAAAAAATAAAAAATGCTAGGCATATTATGCATAATTATTTGAGGATATCATTGTAAAATCTGTAAGGAAAGAGGAAATGATAACTGCAACAGGATAGTAAAATTAAATTTGATTTAAAAATATTTTTTGAACTTCTATAACATTTTTCTATTTCTTGTTTAATAATAAAACTAGTTTCATTGATTTAAGGTTTAGTATCAAAATTAGCATGGAACACCTAGATGCCTCTTTTGCCTTTTAGAGTATGCTTTCTGCTTCATCTCATTTTATGGCCCAAACATCCCAATGCAAATAGGCATTTTCTCTCCCACGTTAATGACAGGACAGTTATGGCCAAGAAAAAGTGAGCAAGTTGCTTGATGTAAACTAGCAGGTGAATGGCAACGCTGCACTAGAACCCTAGGCTTGCAAGCTCCCGCCTCAAGGCTCTGGCCTATAAACGCACAGTGATTCTCTCACATAGAGGGCTGCAAAGCCCTGCCTAGAGAATACAAACTGCTATTATTAAGACCCCAAACCCAAGATCCAAGTGTAGGTTCTCTCTAGTGGGTAAGCCTGGAGGCAGGAAACATGCCTGTTAATGCTCTTGGTCTTCAGAATGGGAAGTCAAAGGCCTAAAGCATTCTCCTGCACTCTCCAAACTCATCCACCCACCCACTTCCCCCCAACCATACACACACAGCCACCCTTGTCCTCAAAAGCAGTCTCCCTGGTAACGTGTTCTGCCCTTGGATGGAGACAGAGGCCAGTGGATTTGTAGTTTATCCTCTTCTTGCAGTTTAAGGTACAACCCTGCCCACAACCCCAGTAAGAGAAGCAAGGATCCCCGAGGCCAGAATGTGCCAAAGTCCAGTTGCAAACCAGGCCGGTATCAGTGAAATAAGCCTGGAAAGAGAGATGAGAAGAGGTCAAGGGTCAGCGACAGCTGGTGAAGCCAGCACTGGGGTGGGGATTGGGGGCCTGGAGAGCCCCAGAAAAGTTGGTCATGGGCCCCTGGTCCCTCACTTAATAGATATGTGACTTGCCAGGGTCACACAGCAGCTGGAGAGAACGGGGAGTGAGCCCAATCTAAAGCCCAAAGGAATCCATCAAAGACAGGGCCACAATTCCACAAAGCCAGGCTCTATTCATTCATTCAAGATATACCCAGCACCCTTCTTGCTAACCATATCTTTCTGATTTTTATGGGGCCAGAGCCAATACCCTAGCCCTCACCCCACTCCCTAGTCCCTTGGTGGGGCTGATGAACCTCATGGCTCAAAGTGGGAAAAATCTGGGAAGTCACAGGTAAAGGGGTGGTCATCTCTCCAGGGCAACAAACTGAAACTCCAAAGCACATGAAACAAACCAATGGGCTGAGAGTCCAGGAGATGTCCGAGTCTGAGGATTCCACAGCACAGTGGGGAAAGTTTCTGGAAGGTAGAAGGAGGCAGGAAGAGGTGCCTCTCAACTCAAGTAGTCAAGAAATTTAAGCATGCTTTAAAGAACTAAGAGAAAACTGAAAGGTATGGAGGTGTGGTAATGGCACAAAAATTTAAAAGGGGGAGCTAAGCCTAGGTTTAGCAGTCCTGCTGGCAGGTGAGGGTCCCCAGTAAGGAGAAAGGGAGGTGAGAGTGCGTGGATAAGGTGATGCTTCCTCTGCTGGCCTGAAGGATTTCTGTAAACAGTGCATGTGTTTGTTCCTGCCTTGGGGTGGGATTGTCATCATGTTAGCCACTTCTGCTACTAAAGACATAGGTGAAGCTAATGGTATTCTTTGCAAGGAAAAGGAATATCATTGTCCCCAGAAACTATTTACAGGGGGCTTTCCAAAAAAAATGTTTTAAGTGTGCATTGGTTGGAGCTGGCTGATGATGGGGCATTGGCTTTCCTACTTCTGCGGAGTTGCTGAGAGTTATTTTGAGCAAGGAAGGGGAGAGGCAAGTGCAAGAACTGGCACACAGTAAAATGAGGCCGTGTCCCTTACATACTTTGGAGCTCCCAGTGGCTTCCCACTCTAGTTAGGATAAATCCAAATTCCTTAAATGCCGCCCACAAGACCCACAAAAGCCTTATCCTTTCTCTTTCTCCTCCACACACTTAGCAAAGCCCCATTGGTCTCCTTCTTGCTCCTTAAACCAACAGAGCTGTTTTTGCCTTGATGCCCCCATGGTTCAAGTGTTGCTGCGGTCTGCATGTCAGTGTCCCCCTAAAATTCATGTGTTGACACTTAATCCCCAAGGTGATAGTGTTAAGAAGTGGGGCCTCTGGGAGGTGATTAGATTGGGAGGGCTCTGCTCCTCATGAATGAGATTAGGTGCCTTGATCTTGGACTTCCCAGCCTCCAGACTGTGAGCAATGAATTTCTCTTGTTTATAAATTGCCCAGCCTAAGGTATTTTCTTATAGCAGCCCAAACAATCCAAGACAGATGTGACACGCTTGCCGTTCCCTCTGCTTAGAATGAATGCCCTTCCTGTTTCCCCAGTTCCCTCCTCCCCTTCTTCTGTTTTTGTGTCTGGCTCCTTCCCTTCCTTTAGGTGCAAGGGAGATTTAGGAAGAGGCCTTCCTTGAGCTGGGGTCATGGAAGGCCATGCTGCCCATAACCCTTTACTTCTCCTTAACACTTTAACCAATCCCAAGTCATCACCTGCCCACTTGTTTAGGGTTCCTTCACAAACCTGACCCCTCCCACTGTGCCCACCCCTCCCTGCTTTATCCACATTAGAATGTTCCTTTGTGAAGGCTGGGCCTTAACTGTCTTGTTCATTGCAAGGGATGCAGTGCCTGGCAGAGTGTCTGACACTTGGTAACTACTCAATAAATATTTGTCAAATGAATGAATGAATAAGAGGTCTACTGAACTGAATTTAACTGAATGAAAACCCAAGGTTCAATTTCCAAACAAGCAAAGACAAAAATCTTCAAACACTCCCTATCGTTCTCCTTCTACGGGTTGAACCCCAACGCATTTTGTTTCTACTCCCTCCCCTCCCCCTCCTTCCCTCTCTCCTTTCCTTTCTTCCTTCCTTCCAGCCTTTCCCTGGGCCCCTCAAGTCACATCCCTTGTACAGTCACCCACAGGCACCCCTTCTCTGTGGGCCTTCATTTTGACCAAGCCCTGAGGTCACAACACCCTGGGAAGGAGACATGAAGGATTTTCCAAGGACCCAGCTGTGGCCACGCACTTTCTGTCCTCTCTGTCCTGCTGGAAGCCAAAGTTCTTAAGCTTCTGTACAGCAAGTTTTTCATAAAATGAACGATGACAACCTAGTCTTTTCAGGCTTTCTGTTTGCAGTTGCAGGAGGCTTCTTAGCTGGTGATGACCCTGGACTGCTTCCTGGCTTACTCTGGGCTTCAGATTCGGACAAACATTTGGCTCTCAAGGTCACTTCATGCTCTAAACCTTCTGTAATCTCCAGGACATCAATCCACTCAGGTTTGGTAGGAGCTAGGGTGAGTCAAACATCACCCTCTACAGGCTCATCTGCCAGTGATGAAAGCATGTGCTCGGTGCCCCCACTCCAAGGATGTGCTGGAGGGTGTGGGGAGCCGGGCCCAGGGCCTGCCTGGACTGATCCCCTTTTGCTGCATCAGCAATGGGAAGCAGAGTAACTCACCTCCCAATGAAAGGAGTTAAGAAAAGAACCTTTATCTGAGGAATACAAGTCCTTTTAATTATCAGGCCCAGAGAGACACTAAAACGAGACAGCAATCATGTCCTACTCCCCTGCTTTGAGCAATGTGTTCGTCTCTTGAAGCTGCTTGCTATCACCACAGGTAGCTATAGATCAACCTAATAGTGCCTCACCAGACACTGTAACCCACGCTTTATAGCTTAACAATGTATAGCCAATCAAATCAATGTTATTTATGTAAACCAATGAGAATTCCTGACAAACAACTTTATATCAGCCCATACCCCATCCTCTGCTTTTGCCTTTAAAAATCCACTTGTAACTTCAGCTAATCAGAGTGTGTATTTAGGGCAACTTGAATCTATGCTCGCAGGTTGCAATCCTCAAACTTGACTCAAATAAACTCTCTACTTATATTAATTTTGTCTCTGCTTCTACCGTTTAGGTTGACATATTGCCGTTTTGTAAGGCAAGACCACTGGGTAAGCTGTGTGATTGTGCAGGAAAGCACGGGGCGCTAGGAAAGGTGAGGGTTTATCGTGCTTTAGGACCACCCATAGTAAGGTGGGGGTGGGAGGTGAGACTAGAGTCCTTTCCCAGTGCTGTCAGTACCAGGTGTGATTTCAGAGATGAACTTGTGAATTGGAAGGGGTGTCTGGGTGGACTGGGGAGAGCATAGGATGGGGGCAAAGACTTCAGCAATGTCCCTGTGGAGCCTAGGAAGGGGCTGCAGTTGCTCCCTAGAGCTGAGGTGGGGTGTGTGTGGTTGGGCCCAGAGTTGATCTGCTGACCCACTTCTACGGGCCCCATGAGCCCAGGGTCAGAGATGAAGCCCTGCAGCATTTCCTGTTGGTTCCCCTGCCTTCTCTGAGGTCCTGCCACACAATCAAAGCATCCCCTCCATCTCTGGCTCTCCAGGCAGCTCAAGATCAGAACCAAATCCACACTCTCCCTTCACCAAGTTACTCTGCCTACCATCCTCAGGAGGCAGCTGGCCTCCTAGCATGTGGGGCAGGACCTCCCTGCTGTGTGTTCAGCTTCCCCCAGCTCTTCCCCAGCAGGGAGTGAGTCTACAGCAGTCCCATCACCATAAGCAAAGCCTCTGCATCCGTAGCAGACAGCTTCCCTTGCGCCTGGGGAGGAAGTGTTAATGAAGAGAGGTGTGGGGAAGGGTTGTGCCTGTCTGCCGTCGTAACAGTTTGCTCCTTTTGGCTCACGGGACCAAGGAGCTTACACAAGGAGCATGCCTTCTAGAGGGGAGGATGTTAATGCCAATAAAAGATGCATATTAGTGTGTACCATTCACTCAACTAAGAGAATGCGCCCAGTGCAAACCTTTCTAAGGTAAAGACCTCTACAGGGCCGTAGCTGTCGGAGCTCAACAGGATGGTGACAGGTAGCCCACCCCAAAGGTCAAGTCTAGCCTTGATGGCCACATAGACATGAAGGCTAAGATGTGCCTCTCCCATGGCTGAGGCCCCCATGGAGGACACAGACCAGGCCCAGTCCCTCCAGAGCCTCCTGCCTCTGCACCC
The DNA here is from genome assembly GCF_000001405.40 of Homo sapiens. Classification (NCBI taxonomy): domain Eukaryota; kingdom Metazoa; phylum Chordata; class Mammalia; order Primates; family Hominidae; genus Homo; species Homo sapiens. Next base: position 46,506,989 of record NC_000002.12, read on the forward strand.
AGGTCCAAAGCAAAGCCCCTCCCATCTGTTTCCCATGGAGGGATGGGATTCAATAAATCCTCAGGCAAGCCCAGGAGTAACCAACCACTGGACTGAAGTGAGGCAGGGGGCATATCCTGCCTGAATTTCAGGCTGTTCCCATCCACAGTCTTTCCCTGGGAGCAACAGAGGATTTTCTTGTCCAGAAGGATCCTTGGAATACAATGCACCACCTTTCCCCTGACCACCATCTCATATCCTTGCCCATTTTTATGTCCAAATCTATGGACTAGGAAAGGAGAGAGGCTCTGGAGTCCTCCATCCATAACCCAGAGCCAGGCCTGGAGAGAAGAATGTAACAATGATCAACGCTTGTTCAGAACCTACTGTGTTAGGCACTAAAGTAACACAGCAGCAGGGGATGCAAAAAAGAGAAAAGACACAGTCTCTGTCCATAAGGAGCTGTGTCTAAAAAGATGAGACACAGTAGATAAAGTTGCTAACAGTATAGAAAAGTAGTGTGTGAAAAGTCCTCAACGAGAGACACAGTCCCTACGTCCAGAGACTGCGAGAGGCCAAGGCTTTTGTGTTGCTGAAGGGACATGGTGAGGTAAAGGCTGGAACCCACGGGGTTGAGAGGGAGAAGGCTGGGGAGAAAGAGCTAATGTGTGGCAGCTCCAGGAGAGAGAAAAGTTGGAAAATATAGAGATGCTTAAATGCAACTTAGGGGAAAGTTTGTCCCATAGGTACAATGCAACACTCTCCTCAACTTCCCACAAAACCCTTCATAAAACCTACGACTGTCCATTTTTGGGGGAGGTGAATTGATGTTGGGGGCAGCTAACAGATTGAGGGTGGCTCAGGGGGCCAGAGCTAGGGTAGGCCGAGGGGGTTCAGACACTCCAGGGTTACAGCAGGAAGTGGGGGCTGACTTCCCGGAAGGGGAAGGGCTGGGGGCTTGATCAGCTGGGAAGTGGGTGCTTTGCTGGGCCTGGAATGATGGTGAGGAGAGAGGGGGGAAATCTTGGAGCATAGGGAGACTCTCATAAGAAAAAATTGTAAGATGATGTGAAACTAATAGAGCCTCAAGCCTGGACAAATGAAAAAATATATTGGGGTGGGGGAAGGGAGGAGGCATAGGACAGAAGTCACTGATTCTAATCTCTTCCACCTTTGTGTCGTGAAGTTCACCTGCCTCACGAAAGAGCGGGTAGGTTATTTATCACCTCTCACTCAGGCTGATAAATAGCCCCCATGAGAGGTGCCCTACCTCCAGTCTCTCCCCCACATTAATGTGTCCTCCACCTAGAGCGACACTGGAATAATCTTTCTGAAAGTCCAGCTCTCATTGTTTCATTCACTCTTAAAGTCCCTCAATGACCTCCTTATCACTCACCCACCAGAATTAAGTCAAAACTCCTGAGTAGGCCAGGTGTGGTGACTCACGCCTGTAATTCTAACACTTTGAGAGGCCAAGGCTGGAGGACTGTTTGAGCCCAGGAGGTCAAGACCAGCCTGGCCAACATAGTGAGACCCATCTCTACAAAGAATAAAAAAAACTGGCCAGGTGCAGTGGTGCATGCCTGTAGTCCCAGCTACTCAGGACTGGGGACCAAGCCCCCAGCCCATCCCCTTCTGGGAATTTGGCTCCCACTTCCTGCTGTAACCTGCTGAGATGGGAGGATCGCTCGAGCCTAGGAGGTTGAGGTTGCAGTGAGCCAAGATCACACCACTGCACTTCAGTCTGGGCAACAGAACAAGACCTCATCTCAAAAAAAAAAAAAACAAAAAATAACAAAAAACAAAAAAAACCCCACAAAAACAAAAACAAACAAGAAAACCTCCAGAGCAACACCCTGTAATGAGGCCCATCTTTCCACCTTCATCCATGGTCTCTTCCTCCTCACCCCTCACATTCCATCACGCTGAACTACACACAGCTCCTGTAATGCACCCTGCGTTTTCACACCTCAGGGCCTTGGCACATGCTTTCCTTCCTTTGCCTGGAGCGCTTTCCCCAGCTCAACTGCCAAAGCCCAGGAACCCTTCTGTTACCCTCCCTTCCAGCCACTGTCTTCCCACAGGATTGCACATCAGCACTAGGCTGGCACTTGCTACATTGTATCATTATCATGATCATCATCTGTTTATGTGTCTATGACTCCTTAAAGAAAAGAGCCAGATCATATTCTTTTTTGCAGCCCAGCACCCAGCACAGTGCCTGGCTCATCACTGGCATTTGGAAAATGTTCACTGAGGCTGGGCGCGGTGGCTTGCACCTGTAATCCCAGCACTTTGGGAGGCCAAGGCGGGCAGATCATGAGGTCAGGAGTTCGAGACCAGCCTGGCCAACATGGTGAAACCCTGTCTCTACTAAAAATACCAAAATTAGCCAGGTGTTGTGGCACGTGCCTGTAGTCCCAGCTACTCGGGAGGCTGAGGCAGAAGAATCACTTGAACCCATGAGGCGGAGGTTGCAGTGAGCCGAGATCATGCCACTGCACTCCAGCCTGGGCGACACAGCTAGACTCCATCTCAAAAAAAACCAAAAAACAAACAAACAAACAAACAAACAAAAAAAACAATGTTCATTTGAAACTCAAAAGGGCCCACATAGAAGACACCCTGTGGGGAGTCCGTTCAGTTGACAAAGACCCTTCTTTCTCTGGGAACTACCCCAGACACCACATGGACCATAGGTAGACACCTGACCCCAGCTCGGCCAAATAGATTCCCTCCTGGGAAAATGGAATGGACTTCAAGAGAAGCAAGTTTGTTTCTGGAACTATAACATGTCAACTTTGGAATTGTGGGGCATGCATATTCCACCATTTAAACTGGGCAACAGAGAAAGTCACTCGTTAAAGAAAGAAAAATGGCCATATAGAGGATTTCAGATGGCTTTCTGAGTCCCAATTCCAGCCCTCTCCTGAGATCATGAAGGATTCCTATTCTAGGTTCTGTGAGACACCCCAACTTACTAGTAGCCTGTCCCCTACTTTGTGTTTGAGTTTCATGAAGTTTCTGTTCCTTACAGAGTCGTAACCACACAGGCCAACCTTTGCCCTCAGCAGAGCATCTTGGGATTTCTTTTCTTCAAAAAAATTCTATTTTAATAAGTAAAGCAACATCAGGCATGCACTAGACCTTAAATCACACATACATATGCAGAACCTGCTATGTAATCTGCAGAGCCCAGTACAAAATGAAAATGTGAGATCTGGCCAGGCACGGTGGCTTACGCCTGTAATCCCAGCACTTTGGGAGGCCGAGGCTGGTGGATCACCTGAGGTCAGGAGTTCGAGACCTGCCTGGCCAATATAGTGAAACCCCGTCTCTACTAAAAATACAAAATTAGCTGGGTATAGTGGCACGCACCTGTAATCCCAGCTATTCGGGAGGCTGAGGCAGGAGAATCACTTGAACCCAGGAGACGGAGGTTGCAGTGAGCCATGATCGTGCCACTGCACTCCAGCCTGGGCAACAGGAGAGAAACTCCATCTCAAAAAAAAAAAAAAAAAGAAAAAAAAAAAAAGAAGAAGAAGAAAAGTAAAGAAAATGTGAGATCCTTTGTTCAAAAAGCAGGAAAGAAGTGCCATGAATGGCACTAAAAGATAAAGCTTTTTCCTTTCTTCTGTAGTTTTTTCTTGACTTTTCATAGTGTTTATTTGCTGTTTAATGTCTTAAGTGAAGAAAATTTAAATTATTAGCATGAATTCTACCATTCGAAGTTTAAATTATTAGCATGAATTCTACCATTTACTTTTCTATTGTGCAATGCCTATATGCCAAGTCACCAAAATTATACAATCTGTATTTCTTGGCTCCTCCCAGAAGGTGCCTCACACTGGCCAGAAGAGATGCATCCAAGTTCCCCCAGGCACTGAGCTGTCCAAGGGAGGACCCGGCCAGGCACAGAGATACTTTGCAGGCCAAGTGCAGACATTTACAAGCTCCTGAGGGTCCTGCCCTAAGACTCTGGTGCAGCAAGTTCGGCAGTGGTTGGGTCCCCCTTCCCACTAGCCACCACTGTGGGCCTGGGCCAGGATCAGGGAAGATGAGCTGGCATCTCTCCTTCCAGTGGGCTGGCTGCCCTATAGCGGATAGGTAACTCCTAGGGTCTTTAAACCTCTACACCAGGACGGGCTCAGTATCTGGTGTGTAAGAGACTCACCCCTTCCCTCAAGTTGTCTACTGAATATGCTATGGAGCTGCCAGCCTTGGGCAGAGATTTCAGGCCCTGAAACTCCACAGAGCATGAAACCCCATTCTGACCCTCCCTGCAGGTACACCAGGCCCCCACCAGGAGCAGAGGGAAGCAATGCTTACTGGGTGAGGTGGAGGAAGGCTGGGCCTCAGGGCACCAGGGGACTGGGAATTGGTTGGCCAACAACCCATCCCAAGAAGGTGGGTAGGCTTTGGGAGTCAGTACCATGTGTGAGCCAAGGCTCCAAACCCCTGGCACATGCCCCAGGGTTCCATCAAGCATCCCTTACAAAGCATACATCCAAAGTTGAAATTAGGAATTTCAGGGCAGCAAATACAGATCACTAATCCCCAGGTGCGGGGCCCTTCTGAGCTTGGCCCCTGTGTGACTGTGCTGGTTGGATGCACATGAAGTTGGTTCTGGACATGTGAGGAAGATCTCTAGACCTCATTAAATAACATAAATTTGGGTACTGAAGCTGAAACAAAAGAAAAACACACTTCATATGCATATTAAACTAGAGCACCCAGATTCACAGGCGAAGAACACTATTCACATCTCACACATTCACCACCTGAGGCCAAGCTGAAGAGCAGATGTCATCACTCCCCTTATCCCAGACTGCAGAATGGACCAGAAGCTGTGGCATGTATGGATGAATTGGAATTTGAATTCTGAGCATTAATTTGGGCTTTATTTCAAAGTTAACACTTTAGCTATCCAAAGGGTATTTCGTGAAGAAAAACAGAACAGTATCAGAGCATCAAAGAGGAGGAAACACTACTAGTTTCCTTTCCCCAAAAAACTTAAACTTTTATGGTTTAGTGGTTCAACACTAGCTTCACTTCCCAGAGGCTTATATAAAGAACTTTCTGTTGGTGTTAGCACCAAACAAGGCCATTCGTATTTCTGGCATCTTTTGCTTGGCTGAGAGATCCAGTCGGCTTTCCAAGGTATTTGAAACCTTTATTCTCTGATTGCCACTGTAGACCTCCACACCTCCAGCTGCATTCACAGCCAGGTATGCCTCTTTATCAATCTGGACCTCCACATGTTTCTGGGAAATTGTCATGTACTCGGGGATGGCTTTTTGTACAGCAGCCTCCACCAGGAGGAGGTCTTGTGGCCGGCAGCGTACAATCATCACAGGTTCCAGCAGTCGGAGCAGACCCTGGAGCACCAGTTTATCCAGCAGCCCCTGGTAGACCTCTGGGTCCTCCACAATCCTGCTGAGTCTCAGCTTCGCCTCACTGAGCAAATCTGAGATGAGGTCATTTCGGGCTCTCAGGACTTTCAGCCTCGCCTGATTCCTCATGGTGGACATCAGGATTTTCTTCTGCTGCTCTATCTGCTTCTCCTTTTTCTCATAATACTCCATAATCTTCAGTCGTTGGGTTTGCACGAGGCGTCCTTTCTCAATGTTAAACTCTTCCTCAGCCTTGGCATCGATTTCCTCTGCTTTCTCATTGGCTTCCTGCTCAATGAAAGCCATCATGTGCTTAATCTGCTTTTTCACATCGACATCACTCAGGGCCATGGCTGCTCTCAGAGGGGACGGCAGAGAGGGAGCTCGTACACCGTTTGGCTCCTTTGACTTAGGACAATTTCAGGAGTGTCTCTGGAGTTCCACTTTCTCAGCTATACCAGTGAACAAGAGGATGAAAGAGAAAGTCAGAGGCTATAGAGGAGGATTACAGAGACTGTATATATACCCCTCACTTCACAGATGAGGAAATTGAGGTCCAGAGAAGGAACACAATTTATCTAAGGTTATACTCTAGAAGAATGAGACTTGAACCAGGATCTCCAGAATTCTATCCCTGCTACACTCACTCTCATTGTTATCAAATAATAATGAGGTAGTTAGGGCAGACCTAGTCCAGAAGTTCTCTACACAGCAGTGGCCTAAGACTCAGATAGCAAGCCAACAGAATGGAAACACCAAATTAATACATAAATGGAAAGCATATCCACATTTGGGGTCAGGAGGGTTGGGGAAAGTCTTAAGAAACTCATGGTCAGCCAGGATTTAATCCAGCCAGGATTGAATCCTTCCTGGAGGTAGGAGGGTTGTAAGAACCTTCAAACGATACAGAGAAAAAGGAGTACTACTAAGCGGAAAATGGCACCTTGGAGAGATGAGACTTGCTTTGTAACCTAACATGAGATTCATCCTAAAGAATGTTCCATGTGCACTTGAGGAGAATGTGCATTCTGCTGCTGTTGGGTGGAATGTTCTGCATATATGTCTGTAAGCTCCATTTGGTCTATAGCGTTGTTCAAGTTCTCTGTTTCTTTACTGATTTTCTGTCTGCATATTCTATCCATTATCTATTCACTTCCCCGAAGCTTTTATTTAAAAACTTTATGGCTGGGCGCAGTGGCTCACGCCTGTAATCCCAGCACTTTGGGAGGTTGAGACGGGTGGATCACGAGGTCAGGAGATCAAGACCATCCTGGCCAACATGGTGAAACCCCGTCTCTACTAAAATACAAAAAAATTAGCCAGGCTTGGTGGCACGTGTCTGTAGTCCCAGCTACTCAGGGGGCTGAGGCAGGAGAATCGCTTGAACCCAGGAGGCAGAGGTTGCAGTGAGCTGAGATCGCGCCACTGTACTTGAGCCTGATGACACAGCAAGACTCCATTTCAAAAACAACAACAACAACAAAACACGTTATATTCTTTATATAAGCCTAGACTTCCCCATTTCCCTAAAGCTTATATAAGGGAAGGGGAAGAGATTGAAGGTGGTCTTTTTACTAGAAGTGGTTCCAAACCCGGATGTATATCTGAACCACTTGGAGGATCTTTAAGAAATATAGCTTTTAGTGTGGTGACTCATGCCTGTAATCCCAGCACTTTGGGAGGCCGAGGTGGGTGGATCAACTGAGGTCAATAGTTCAAGACCAGCCTGGCCAACATGGTGAAATCCCATCTCTACTAAAAATAAAAAAATTAGCTGGGTGTGGTGGTGGATGCCTGTAATCCCAGCTACTCAGGGGGCTGAGGCAGGAGAATCGCTTGAACCCAGGAGGTGGAGATTCCAGTGAGCTGAACTCGACTATTGCAGTCCAGCTTGGGTGACAAGAGTGAGACTCTGTCTCAAAAAAATAAATAAATAAAAAGAAAAAAGAAAAAAGGAAATACAGCTTTTAAGGCCCCAACCCTACACCTACTGAATCAGAATCTCTGCCAGTAAGGTCTGGGAAGCCATATCTTTAAAAGGTTCCCTGGGATGCTCAACAAGCCCAGGAAAATGATGTATGAACAAAATGAGAATATCAAAAGAGATATAGAAAATATGAAAAAGAACCAAACAAATTTTGGAGCTGAAGAATACAATAACTGAACTGAAAAAATTCACTAGAGGAGTTCAACAGGAAAAGATCAGTGAGCTTGAAGATATAACATTTGAAATTATCCAGTCAAAGGAGCAAAAAGAAAAGAAGAATGAGAAAGAGTAAAGAAAGCCTAAGAGACTTACAGGACATCATCAAGCAGACCAATATATGCATTATGGGAGTCTCAAAAGAAGGCTGGGAAAAAAGGATAGAAAGTTTTTAAAGAAATAATGGCCAAAACTTCTCAAATCTGGGGAGGGAAATGTCTATCCAGATTCAAGAAGTCTAACGGACTCCAACTAAGATAAACCCAAAAAAGTCCTTATCAAGACACATTATAATCAAATTGTCAAAAGTCAAAGACAGAAAGAGAAAAGAGCCATCACATATAAGGGAGCTTCTATAAGACTAACAGTGGATTTCTCAGTAGATATCTTGTAGTACAGGAAAGAGTAAGATGATATATTCAAAGGGCTGAAAAAAAAACCCTGCTAATCAAGAATACTATATTTGGAAAAACTGTCCTACAAAAAGGAAAGAAAACTAAAGATTTTGCTAGATAAACAAAAGCTGAGGAAGTTCATCACCACTAGACCTACCTTACAAGATATACTAAATGGAATCTTTCTATTTGAAACAGAAGGCCACTAGACAGCATATGAAAGTGTAAAGCTCACTAGTAAAGATAAAGATATTGGCAAATACAGAATACTGTAATACTGTAATGGTGATATGTAAATCACTTTTAATTCTGGTATAGAAGTTAAAAGGCAAAAGTATAAAAAGTAACCATAACTATAAAAATATGTTAATGGATACATAATGTAAAAAGATGCAATTTGTGACATAAATAACAATGTTGGGGGGTAAAAAAAGAGTTTTTGCTTGTGATTGAAGTTAATTCATCAGCTTAAAGTAGACAGTTAAAATTATAACATGTTTCATGTTAGCCCACAGTTACTACAAAGAAAATACCTTTGGAAGTTACACAAAAGAAAATGTGAAAAGAATTGAAGTATGTTGCCACCAGGGGTTGGGGGCAGGTATGGGGGAGTCAAACACAAGGAAGATAGCAAGAGAGGAAAAGAGAGACAAAAAGCCGTGAGACAAAAAACAAAAAACAACAGTTAACAAATAGCAACAGTCAGTCTTTCTCTATCAGTAATTACTTTAAATATAAATGGATTAAATGTTCCAATGAAAAGATATAAAGTGGCTGAATGGATTAACAAAAATAAACAAGATCTTACTATTTGCTGTCTACAAGAGACTAATTTTAGAAATTAAGGACACACACAGGCTGAGGGTGAAAGGATGGAAAAATATATTCCATGCAAAAGTAACAAGAGAGGGCAGGGGTGGCCATACTGATGTCAGACAAAATAGACTTTAAGTCAAGAACTGTCACAAGAGACAAAGACATTATATAATGATAAAAGAGTCAATTCACCTGGAAGATAGAACACTTATAAATATATATGTACCCAACATCAGAGCACCCAAATATATGAAGCAAGCATTGACAGAACCAAAGGAAGAAATAGACAGCAATACAATAATAGTAGGAAATTTCAATACCCTACTGTCAAAATGGAGAGAATATCCAGACAGAAAATCAGTAAAAAAGCAGAGAACTTGAACAACACCATAGACCAAATGGACCTTACAGACATATATGCAGAGCCTTCCACCCAACAGCAGCACAATACACATTCTTCTCAAGCACACATGGAACAGTCTTTAGGACAGATCACATGTTAGGTTATAAAACGAATCTCAATAAATTTAAGAAGATTGAAATCACACCAGGTATCTTTTCAACTATATGGAATGAAACCGGAAATCAATAGCTGAAGGAAAATTAGAAAATTCACACATATGTGGAAATCAAGCAACACATTTTTGAACAACCAAGGGTTAAAGAATAAGTCAGGCCGGATGCAATGGCTCATGCCTATAATCCCAACACTTTGGGAGGCTGAAGCAGGAATCGCTTGAACCTGGTAGTGCGAGGCTGTAATAAGCTAATGAGGTGCCAGTGCACTCCAGTCTGGGCAACAGAATGAGACCCTATCTCTAAAAAAAATTTTTAAAAGAATAAGTCAAAAAGAAAACTAGAACATATCTTGAGACCAAATGAAAATGAAACTACAACATACCTAAACTTATGAGATGCAGCAAAAGCAATTCTAAGAGGAAAATTTATAGTAGTAAACTCTATATTAAAAAAAAAAACTCTCAAGTTACCTAACTTTACACCTCAAGGAACTAGAATACTTGTTTACTGAAAAGTATAAAACATTGCTGAAAGAAGTTAAAAACAAATAAATGGAAAGACATCCCATGTTCATATGTTGGAAGAACTAATATTGTTAAAATGTCCATACTAACCAAAATGATCCACAGATTCTGTGCAATCCCTATCAAAATCCTGATGCTGTTTTTTGCAGAAATAGGGTGGGAGAATTCTAAAATTCATATAGAATCACAAAGGACCCCAAATAGCCAAAAACAATCTTGAGAAAGAACAACAAAGCTAAAGGTCTCACATTTCCTGACTTCAACATATACTACGAAGTTAAAGTAATTAAAACAGTATGGTACTGGCATAAAGCTAGATATATAGACCAATGGAAAAGAATGAAGAGCCCAGAAATAAACCCCACATTTACAATCAAATGATCATCAATAAGGGTGCCAAGACTACATAATGGGGGAAAGATAGCCTCTTCAATAAATGGTGTTGGGAAAACTAGATATCCACATGCAAAAGAATGAAATTGGACCCTTATTTTAAGCATACACAAAAATCAACTAAAAATTGATTGAAGACTTAAATGTAAGGCCTGAAACGATAAAATTCCTAGAAAGAAACAAACGGGAAAAGCTTCATAACACTGGTCTTGCCAATGATTTCTTGGATATGACAGAGAAAGCACAGACAACAAAAGCAAAAATAGACAAATGAGATTGCATAAAATTTAAAAGCATCTATGCAGCAAATCAAACAATCCACAGAGTGAAAAGGTCACCAATGGAGTGGGAAAAATATCTGCAAACCGTATATCTCATAAGAAGTTAATATCCAGAATACATAAGGAACTTTTACAACTCAAAGCAAAAGCAACAACAACAACAAACTTGATTTTAAAATGGGCAAAACACCTGAGTAGACATTTCTCTAAAGAAGACATACAAAGGCCAACAGGCATAGGAAAACATCATGTGCTCAACATCAATCATCAAGTAAATGCAAAGCAAAAGCACAATGAGATATCACTTTACTCCTGACAGGATGGTCATTATTTTTTAAAAAAAGAAGAAAGAAAAAGAAAATAACAAGTGTTGGCAAGGATGTGCAGAAACTGGAACTCCTGTGCACTGGGTTGGTGGGAATGTAAAATGATGCAGCTGCTATGGAACACAGTATGGTGGTTATTCAACAAGTTAAAAATGGAATTACCATGTAATCCAGCAATCCCACTTCTGTTCAAAAGAACTGAAAATAGAATCTTGAAGAAATGTTTGCACACCAATGTTCAGGGAAGCATTATTCAAAATAGCCAAGAGGTAGAAACAATCTACAAGCTTACTGATGGATGGATAAAAACAGTGTGGTGTATACATAAAATGGAATATTATAAAGCCTTAAAAAGGAAGAAAATCCTGTCACATGTTACAACATAGATGGACTTTGAGGACATAATTCTAAGTAAAATAAGCCCATGATAGAAGATTAAATACTGCATGATTCCACTTATGGGATATCTAAAGTAGTCAAACTCATGGAACCAGGAAATATTAACAGAATGACACTTTCCAGGGGTGGGGGTAGGGGAAATGGGGTTCTGTTCAATGGGTGTAGTTTTCGTGATGCAAGATGAAAAAGTTCTAGAGACCTGCTGTACAGTAACGTACATACAGTTAACAGTACTGTACCATACTCTTAAACATTTGTTACACACACACACACAACACACACACACACACACACACACACACACACACAAATGCTATCCCAGAAACCCGTACCACTTCCCAAGCTTGGTGGAAAAACCACCCAGTGTTTGTGACAAAGACCAAGCCCTTGGGTTCAATCTTACAAAATGTCATTAGAAGTCAGAAAGAAAATTTATTTGGGCCATCCACTCCTCATTACTTTAGGATGTACTTTTAAAAAAAACCTGCATTTTGTAACTACAGCAAAAGCATTTTCTGCTCCTAAATAAGACAAGTCAATTTTGTGTGTGTGTGTGTGTGTGTGTGTGTGTGTGTGTGTGTGTGTGTGTGTGTGTTTTAAGGCTCCCCGGGTAACCGTGATGCTGACCAGCTTTAGGAACCACTGTCAATGAAAGCAGACATAGTACAAGGTCTAGGAAGCCCCAGGTTACGTGTATATAGGAAGAAATATATCAGGTGAAGCCTTACCAGTCCCCTGCCAGGGGCCTGCCTTTGCTCTGGCGTTGGGAGTCTGCACACAGAATGTGGAACTTGGAACGCACGCTGGAACCTGGCACTGTTGCTTCCTTCTTTGTACAGATGACCCTTGCAGTCTGACCAGGCAGCTTGAATCCAAAGAGCCAGGCTGTCACTGGGGAAGGCTGGCCAAGTCTGCCAAGAGGAGGCTAAAAGGGATTTCCTTGGCACCCGGGGCCATGACGGGGGTTATCCTTGCACACTCAGAATCTCAGTTAAGTTGGCACATGGTAGCCTTTAGCTCTGGGGCGGGCTCACCTTAACAGGTATGCATGGTGACCCAGGCAGCCAGTTTGCTAATTTACTAATGAAAAATACAGCTGTCATGTTGGCGGATCATGGTCTCCTTTCCCTCTATGTGAGTTGCACGTGAAGCCAAATCTGAAGGTTGTTTAATAAGAAACCAGCACAAGCAAAATTCACCAGATGGTCTTTAAGAGAGCCACACCCACAACAGGGGATGCTGTGTTCCAGCTCATGAGGGAGGGCATCCTCTTCATGCCCAGACAGGGCCTAATGGGCATCACCAGCTTCCACGGTGTCGGCGTGGACTCTGCAGTCAGACTGACGGAATTCAGATCCTGGTTCTGCACTTACCATTTGTACGACTTTGGCAAAGCAGTATACCCCTCAAGCCCTCAGTTTCTTCATCTGTATAATAAAAATAATAGCAGCTACATCATTGGATTATTGTAAGGATTAAATGAAAGAAGTGAGACGTTTAACACAATGTTAGGCATGGTTAATCTTCATGTCTGGTAGTTATTATTATCATCATGACCACTACTACTATTATTGTCCTCGTCTCCTCTGATTTAGGCCTCACTCTTCATCATAGTTGTTCTGTGTGTACAGGATACCTATGAATGATTAGGTTTCCACTCACTAAAGTGGAAACATATTCTAGTCTTGCCTGTTTGTAATAAACTTAGCAGCCCTGCCTGGAGTTGGTGACCCTCCTCTCCACAACACTTCATGGTACCTTTGCCCACAGTCTCAGGTGACCAGTCATATCCTTTGTGATGGTGGTGGAAGCTCCTGAATCCCAGGATTCTGAACTGGGGATGAGGTGGAAGTCATCTCACAGCCTGTCACACATCCTTGTGCCTGAATCTGCATCCTGAGTTCTTGTGTCCCCTCCCTGCACTCCCACTTCTAAATAGCTCATTAGTGCTGGGACATGAAGGCAGCTGCAGGGCAGGGCAGGGTTAAAAGGCAGGGATTGAGCAAGTCCCTCTGCAGGAAAGCGTGTGCCCATGTAATGTGTCTAGCAGATGTAACTTCTCGTCTGTCTGGGATGGAGATTATGAGCCCACATGGGCCTGTGACTTGAGCAAAACAACAAAACAAACCAAGAAATGTGAAACGCACATGCCTGTCCTTATACGAGGGCTCAGACACTTCTACCCTGCTGAAGCAGGTGGATGCTCTAAGTGGCACCCACTCCGCCTGTGCTGGGGACAGCAGAAGGGGCCCTCCAAGCCAGACTCGGCTCTCGTGAACCCTTCACGACTGGGGCCTCCCCGCTAAAACAGCCTCATTCCCACTTAACAGCTTTGGCTCATGCTGTTGTCTTGGCTATAATGCTTCCCTCCACTTAATAAATCCTGCCCATATATTCAGGCCCAGTTTAAGCCCCACCACTCCTTGATCTCTGGACTCCTCCTCCAAATGACAGCATGGTCTGTTTTCCAGATACAATTCAGAGCTGGATTCGGTGTTTGTTTTTCCAGTTATTTTTGCTTCCTCTAGGAAACTTCTTTGAAAATGAGACTCTCCTTCCCTAGCAGGGGCTGGGTGCAGATAGGTGTTCATTTAACGTGGATTGATTGGATTAAGGGCTTGGGGATGGAAGGGAGGCTTTTTTTTTTCTTTTTTGCCTTTTTCAAAATTATGAAATACAAAATGCAGTCAGACAAGTACATGAAACGGCAATGTCTGGCTTAATGAATATTACGAGGCAAATATCCTGTAACCACCATCCAGATCAAGAGAACATTACCAGCATCCCAGAAGCCTCTCCATATGACCTTTGGGAAGCAGACATTTCCAAACTGGTGATTGTATATCTGTGGGCGTGGGAAAGGTCTTTATTTCATTTTTAGAAATGGGTCTCACCATTTTGCTGAGGCCGATATCAAATTCTTGGGCTCAAGCAATCCTCCCACCTTGGCCTCCCAAAGTGCTGGGATTATGGCCATGGGCTACCATGCCTGGCCTGGGAAGGATCTTTAGAGGAAGTGTGAGCTGGGAAATCTCTTCTTGGGCCCTTGCCCACATGAGCTTGTGAGTATCTTGGGGAAGTACCAAATCCACAGCACCATGAGAGGGAGGAGGCAGCCGCAGGGAGTTCTTGGTGGGCAAAATATGTCTGTCAACCTGGAGCCCTGCCCAGACCCTGAAGCAACTGTTCTTCATTCCAGCTGGGATTTGTAAGCAAATATGAGGTCAGATGTGTCTGGGTGTGTGCTTCCTACCCCTAGCCAAAAGGGAAGCAGGACCAAACGTGGGCCTCCAGACACTTAGAGATTGCAGACTGAGGAAGGAGGAGAAGGGGCTTTCCAGAGCTTGGAGCACAGGGCAACTTACAGGGCCCAGGAAGTGGGTGAGAAAATGTAGAGAAGTAATGACTCCTTTGGGGGATTTTAAATATTGAGTATGTGGAAGTGGGGCATCCCCTCTTCTGTCTTTCTTTCTTCTCTTTTTCTTTTTCTTTGAGACAGAGTCTCACTCTGTCGCCCAGACTGGAGTGCAGTGGTGCGATCTTGGCTCACTGCAACCTCTGCCTCCTGGGTTCAAGCGATTCTCCTGCCTCAGCCTCCCGAGTAGTTGGGACTACAGGTGCATGCCACCACACCCGGCTAATTTTTTGTATTTTTAGTAGAGGCGGAGTTTCACTGTGTTAGCCAGGATGGTCTCGATCTCCTGACCTCGTGATCCACCCGCCTCAGCCTCCCAAAGTGCTGGGATTACAGGTGTGAGCCACTGCGCCAGGCCCTGTCTTTCAAAAAGTATTTTTTGGCTGGGTGAGGTGGCTTATGCCTGTAATCCCAACATTTTGGGAGGCAGAGGTAGAGGATTGCTTGAGCCCAGGAGTTCACAGTGGGCATCACAGTGGGACCACATCTCTACAAATTTTTTTTTTTAATTAGCCAGGAATGATGGTGTGCGCCTGTGGTCCTAGCTACGTGGGAGGCTGAAGTGGGAGGATTGCTTGAGAGGTCGAGGTTGCAGTGAACCAAGACCGTGCCATTGCACTCCAGCCTGGGCGACAGACGGAGACTCTGTCTCCAAAAAAAAAAAAAGGATAATGGCAGAACGTGCAGGTTTGTTACACAGGTATACGTGTGTCATAGTGGTTTGCTGCACTTATTGACCCATCCTGTAAGTTTCCTCCCCTAACCCCCACCCCCCAAAAAGCCCTGGTGTGTGATGTTCCCCTCCCTGTGTCCATGTGTTCTCAATGTTCAACTTCCACTATGAGTGAGAACATGCAGTGTTTGGTTTTCTATTCCTGCATTACTTTGCTGAGGATGATGGCTTCCAGCTTCATCCATGCCCCTGTAAAGGATATGATCTCATTCCTTTTTATGGCTGCATAGTATTCCATGGTGTGTATGTACTACATTTTCTTTATCCAATCTATCACTGATGGGCATTTGGGTTGGTTCCAAGTCTTTGCTTTATAATTAGTGCTGCAATAAACATACATGTGCATGTGTCTTTATAGTAGAATGATTTATAATCTTTTGGGTATATACCCAGTAATTGAATTGCTGGGTCAAATGCTATTTCTGGTTCTAGATCCTTGAGGAATTGCCACACTGTCTTCTTACAATGGTTGAACTAATTGACATTCCCACCAACAGTGTAAAAGTGTTCCTATTTCTCTACGGCCTCACTGGCATCTATTGTTTCCTGACTTTTTAATAATTGCGATTCTGACTGGCATGAGATGGTATCTCATTGTGGTTTTGATTTGCATTTCTTTGAAGATCAGTGATATTCAGCTTTTTTTCATATGTTCATTGGCCATGTAAATGTCTTCTTTTGAGAAATGTCTGTTCATATCCTTTGCCCACTTTTTGATGTTTTTTTTTAATTGTAAATATGTTTAAGTTCCTCGTAAATTCTGGATATTAGACCTTTGTCAGGTGAGTAGATTGAAAAAATTTTCTCCCATTCTGTAGGTTGCCTGTTCACTCTGATGATAGTTTCTTTTGCTGTGCAGAAGCTCTTTAGTTTAATTAGATCCCATTTGTGAATTTTGGCTCTTGTTGCAATTGCTTTTGGCATTTTTGTCATGAAGTCTTTGCCCATTCCTATGTCCTAAATTGTATTGCCTAGGTTTTCTTCTAGGGTTTTTATGGTTTGGGGTTTTACATTTAAGTCTTTAATCCATCTCAAGTTAATTTTTACATAAGGTGTAAGGAAGGGGTCCAGTTTCAGTTTTCTGCATATGGCTAGTCAGTTTTCCCAGCATCACTTACTGAATAGGAGATCCTTTCCCCATTGCTTGTTTTTGTCAGGTTTTTCGAAGATCAGATGGTTGTAGATGTGCGATGTTATTTCTGAGGTCTCTGCTCCATTGGCCTATATGTCTGTTTTGGTACCAGTACCATGCCGTTTTGGTTACTGTAGCCTTGTAGCATAGTTTGAAGTCAGGTAGTGTGATGCCTCCAGCTTGGTTCTTTTTGCTTAGGATTATCTTGGCTATATGGGGTCTTCTTTGATTCCATATAAAATTTAAAATAGTTTTTTTTTAATTCTGTGAAGAATGTCAATGGTAGTTTAATGGGAATAGCACTGAATCTATAAATTACTTTGGGCAGTATGGGCATTTTCATGATATTGATTCTTCCTATCCATGAGAATGGAATGTTTTTCCATTTGTTTGTGTCCTCTCTTATTCCTTGAGCAGTGGTTTGTAGTTTTCCTTGAAGAGGTCCTTCACATCCCTTGTTAGCTGTGTTCCTAGGTATTTTATTCTCTTTGTAGCGATTGTGAATGGGAGTTCATTCATGATTTGGCTCTCTGCTTGCCTATTGTTAGTGTAAAGGAATACTTGTGTTTTTGCACATTGATTTTGTATCCTGAGATTTTGCTGAAGTTGCTTATCAATTCGACAAGTTTTTGGGCTGAGATGATGGGGTTTTGTAAATATAAAATCATGTCGTCTGCAAACAGCAACTTGACTTCCTCTCTTCCTATTTGAATACACTTTATAATGTATTGTTGACCTGAAGATGTTTAAACCAGGTAGGGGATGGTTTGAGACCTTCCATGGGTAACAACAGAACACCAATAGGGAGGGAGGGAAATGAAGATACATGAAAGAACATAAGGCAATTTCGGAAAACTCAGACAAGAAAATGAGGTTTCAGGGCACATCAACATAGTACCTTAACTTGGAGGCAAGTCACCTGGAAAATGTAGAAAGTTGGTAGTATTTATTAAGCAGAATTTATCCAAATAGACAAAAATCAATCACATCTTTATGGAGACCCAACTTTAAGCAATGCCTTGTGGTTTCAGAGAGGGCCCTGGTTTAAAATAGGAGAAAAGCATCTGGCACTCAAAATGGGATGGGATAAGGGGCAGGAAAGGACACAGCCAGACTGACTGCACACTTCAGCCGAGGTAGCAGCCCTGTGGGCAAGGGGCCAGTCAGGGAGGGAGTAGTAAGGATGGGCGCTGAGAGATGGACCGTCATCATAAGCAGAAAGAAAGTAAGACACTGGATGGGGAGAACACTGCGGGCAAAGGCCTGCTGGTGGAAAGGGGTCTGAGGTCTGCGTGTGGAGAGCAGGTGGGTTTGGCAGTAGTCAAGAGACTTGCAGAGGACAATGTCTAGAAAGACACTGGGGTGTGAATGGGAAAGGGTGGAAATGTCTGCCTGAGAGTTGGGGCATTATGCAAAAGAGCCCATCAAAGGCTTCTTAGCAGGGCTGTACCTTCGCCAAACCTGGACTCAGGAAGATCAGCCTGGGGGTGGTGGGGGCAGGAGTCTTGGACTATATGCCAAAAGCCAGAGGGAGCCTGTACACAGCGAGGGCCAGGACACAAGACAAGGCATCGCGATTGGAAGGAAGAGATGTGGCCCACAAGCTGTTGGGTGTCAGGTCTGAGGACTCAGCCTCTGGCTACACAGAACAGAGCAGCTCAGCTTGGGGTGAGGTTGTGAGAAAGCAGGGACAGGCGGCCGGGCGCGGTGGCTCACGCCTGTAATCCCAGTACTTTGGGAGGCCGAGGCGGGCGGATCACGAGGTCAGGAGATCGAGACCACGGTGAAACCCCGTCTCTACTAAAAATTCAAAAAATTAGCCGGGCGCAGTGGCGGGCGCCTGTAGTCCCAGCTACTCGGGAGGCTGAGGCAGGAGAATGGCGTGAACCCGGAAGGCGGAGCTTGCAGTGAGCCGAGATCGCGCCACAGCACTCCCGCCTGGGCGACAGAACGAGACTCCGTCTCAAAAAAAAAAAAAAAGAAAAAAAAAAAAGAAAGCAGGGACAGGCACCCTGCTCCCTGGCGAGCAAGCTTGGGAGAGAAGGCAAGGGCGAGAGAGTTCATTTGGTCTAGAAGTAACAGGAGACACCTGGAGAGAAAATCAGAAGGGCCTGAAAAGCTTCATCTCTGCTTCAGTTGCTGATGAGTAAGGAGCCACATAGAGTTTTATTCCAAGAACTCCACTCACACTGGCAAAGCAGGCTTTGGTCAGGACTGGAGAAAGCTAATGCCTACAGGCAGGGGAAGAAACCTTTCTCCCAAAATAATTTACATGAAGAATTCACAACTGAATTTCTCCTTCTAAAACATCTGCAGACAGCTTACTTCAAAGCAGTCAGGTTCTCCCCAAGAGTCATTTGCTTCAAAGCTGCATATCTAGAAGTTTCCAGTGGCAGTTTCTCCAAAAAAAAAAAAAAGCCCTTCATTTCCATCCCTGTCTAAAGGGGCAAATACTTCCCCGGTCTGTTGCCTTAGAAAATGTGGACTAGGATGTCATAAGATCTGATTTTTTAGAGAAGTTGGAAATCCTGTTTTAAAAGTGAAACCTTTTTTGTTTTATTGTAGTAAAATGTACATAACAAATTTTGCCATTTAACCATTTTTAAGTGTACATTATTTATTATTATTATTATTTTGAGACGGAGTTTCACTCTTGTTGCCCAGGCTGGAGTGCGGTGGTGTGATCTCGGCTCACTACAACCCCCGCCTCCTGGGTTCAAGTAATTCTTGTGCCTCAGCCTCCCGAGTAGCTGGGACTACAGGCGTGCATCACCATGCCTGGCTAATTATGTATTTGTAGTAGAGATGGGTTTTCACCATGTTAGCCAGACTGGTCTTGAACTCCTGGACCTTCAGTGATCCACCTGCCTCAGCCTCCCAAAGTGCTGGGATTACAGGTGTGAACCACCACACCCTGCCTTTTTAAGTGTACATTTATGTAGCATTAAGAATATTCACATGGTTTTGCAACTATCACCACCATCTCCAGAACTTTTTCGTCTTCCCAAATTTAAACTCTGTATCCATTAAACACTAATCCCACATACTCTTCCCCAAGTAACTGTTGGCAACCACCATTCTACTTCCTGTCTCTGTGAATTTGAGTACTCCAGGTACCTCATATAAATAGAATCATAATATTTGTCCTTCCTTGGCTGGCTTATTTCACTTAGTATGATGTCTTCAGGATTCCCCATGTTGTAGCACAGGTCAGAATTTCCTTCCTTTTTATGGCTGGATATTTCATTGTGTGTATATACCATATTTTGTCTATTCATCCATTCATAGAGACTTGGGGTGCTCTCCTTTCTTGGCTGTTGTGAATAATGCTGCTATGAACATGGGTATATAAATATCTGTTCAAAGACCTGCTTTCACTTCTTTGGGGTATATGCCTAGAAGTAGAATTGCTGGATCATATAGTAGTTCTAAGCTCAGTGTTTTGAAGAACATCTGCACCATTTTCCCCGGCAGCCGCACTATTTTACAGTTCACAGCAATGCACATGGGTTCCAGTGTTTCCACATCTTTGCCAGTACTTGCTGTTTTCTGGTTTTGTTTTTGTTTTTTTTCTTTCTTTTGTGTCTTGGCTCTGTTGCCCAGGTTGGAGTGTAGTGGCATGATCATAGCTCACTGCAGCCTCAAACTCCTGGCTCAAGCAATCTTCCCACTTCAGCCTCCTGAGTAGCTGGGACTACAGGTGCACACCATCGTGTCTAATTTTTATTTATTTATTTATTTTTGAGACAGAGTCTCACTCTGTCGCCCAGGCTGGAGTGCAGTGGCGTGATCTCAGCTCACTGCAAGCTCTGCCTACCGGGTTCACGCCATTCTCCTGCCTCAGCCTCTCGAGTGGCTGGGACTACAGGCACCTGCCACCATGCCCGGCTAATTTTTTGTATTTTTAGTAGAGACAGGGTTTCACCATGTTAGCCAGGATGGTCTCGATCTCCTGACCTCGTGATCTGCCCACCTTGGCCTCCCAAAGTGCTGGGATTACAGGCGGGAGCTACCGCGCCCGGCTAGTCCAACTAATTTTTAAATTTTTTTGTAGAGGAAGGAGTCTCACTTTGTTGCCCAGGCTGGTCTTGAACTTTTGGCCTCAAGTGATCCTCCCCTTCAGCCTCCCAAAGTGCTGGGATTACAGGTGTGAGCCACCACGCCTGGTCCTGGGTTTGTTGTTGTTGTTGTTTTTTGTTTTTAAATAATAGCCATCCTAATGGATATGAAATTACCCATTGTGGTATCATTGTGGTTTTGATTTGCATTTCCCTAATGATAAGTGATATTAAGCATCTTTTCATGCACTTATTGGCCATTTGCTTATCTTCTTTGGAAACTGTCTACTCAAGTTCTTTGCCCATTTTTAAAATCAGGTTGTTTGTTTTTTTGTTGTTGTTGAGTTATAGAGGTTCTTTATCCCTCTGTGGTCCTGAGCACTCACCTCCAGCCACAAGCCAGTGCACTCAGCCAGCAGAGACCTGCATTGGGTGTCTCCAAGTGTGAACCGTGACCGTTTGGTGGACTATGAAATCATTTACTGGATCATCACTGAATAAAAAGAAATGAAACCAAATAGAATCAAAAATCCAGAATTCATTACAGGTGGTAAGGTTAAGTATTGTTATATCAAACCTTTTGTTATATGTATAGATATATGTGCACACACACAAACATAATATATGTATGTGTATGTATTCCAGTTTACAATGAAAAATGTATTTGTTAACTGCAATTTGCAGGACAAAATATTTGAGAAACACTGCACTACAAGTTAAATAAATTCACCCTTCTTAGAAAGCAGTGAAGCAACCATCAGTTGTTACTTAAGAAGATCTTGGAAGGTCTCATGTACCCACTCAATCCACTTGTCAAAGTATTCACCCCCCAAAATAGCCCTCTTTGAAGGTGGGAACAGGGTGGTGGTAGTGATCTGAGAGTCTGGCTGCATGGCATATGAGCAGTTTATATGGTTAATAGTTAGTGGGCATGCCCACATGCTGGGTAGACATGGGACATCACAGGATGGTGACTCCTCCAGGGCAGGACTCCCTTCTCCCGCCTCATGAGGGTGGAAACCAGGCTGCCCCTGGAACAGGAGGTCTCCCTCTGCCTTGGAGGCTCCATGGGCAGCCGCTTGGTGTCACAAGATGCATCCAGGACTGGGCATCAGAGGTTCAGACCCCAGTCCTGATGCTACTCGTAGGTTGGGCAATCTGGATAAAGGCTGACAATCTGCCTCAATTCACCTAGAGACACAAAACTACTTCTGTAAAACCAGGATGTTGATGAAGAGTTCTGTTGTCCTCACAGTGGAGCTGAGAAGGCCGAATAGTGGAAGAAGCAAACAAGTTTTGTAAAGTGAGAGAGAAATATCAGATGCTGTCTTTCACAAAGCCCATGGGTTTGTCTTTCCCTGCCCATGGGTTCCCAGAGCCCCTCATTCTGCCCTTCCTAGAACCATACTCCTAGAGCTGCCTATGGAGAAGTTGGCCCAGGCTGGAGGTCAGAGCCCCAGGCAGCCTCCAGAGGGGCCAAGGGTAGGTATGAAGTCAGCAAGGAGCCCTGGGAAATAGCCCTTCAGAGGCAGCTGGCTGCCCAAGCCTCCATCCAACCTGTAAGTCGTGGGTAGGGACAGCCCCAAGAGGGAGGGCAGGAACACCAGAAGCAGTGTCTACTAGTCCTCAGCCTTGAGTTACACATTCAGATGCCCAACACTGCTATGATACTGACTTAATTCTCACCATGACAAGTCCTGGCTGGCCTCACATTTGCTGTTAGACACAGCTCAACCTATAATGCAGGGAAGGTACTGGTTTGCAAGGAAAAGACTGTACCCATTCAGTGCTGTCCCTCACCATGCCTAGGGGCTTCCTCAGTGATCTTCTTGGGAAGAGGACTATTTCTGACCCACTCTGCACTCATCTCAACCCTGCCCACAGAGTCTAGTACATAGCAGTAGCTTAATAATGATTTGGCTGGGTGTGGTGGCTCACGCCTGTAATCCCAGTGCTTTGGAAGGCCAAGGCAGGAGGATTGCTTGAGGCCAGGAGTTTGAGACCAGCCTGGGAAACATAGCAAGACCCCATCTCTACAAAAAATTTTAAAAATGAGCTAGGCATGATGGTGTGCACCTATGGTCTCAGCTACTCAGGAAGCTGAGGCGGGAGGATCACTAGAGCCCAGGCATTTGAGGCTGCAGTGAGCCGTGATTGTGCCACTGCACTCCAGCCTGGGTAACAGAGTGACATCTGTCTTTAATGATGATGATGATGATGATAATAATAATAATAACAATTTATTGAACCCATGGATGAATGATTTGGGTGGTGAGGAAGTAGTTTCCCCAATAGACTCTCAACAATCTTAGGAATTTGCAACCTTCTTCGAGTTGAAGGAGATGGGGGTACAAAGATGATGAACGTCAGGGTGATGCAGTGGCCTGATCAGGGCACTCAGGGAGCTCAGGGTAGGAAATGTTTTCGAACCAGAAAGAAATTATTTCAGTATATTTATAACCTGTCCTGTTACATTGTTGCAAAGGGGGTTGAAGGATATCCCTGACTGTAAGGCATCTGCTGGAAATTCCCACCTTTAACTGAAGGTCTCAGGATCACTCAATTCAGGCCACAACTGCACATCTCCAGAATGCAGCTCAGTCTCCTACCACCTACATACAGAGCCCTCTCCTCTTCCAGCCCCAGGATTCCCTGGTCCCTACAGCATGTGAGACACCAGGATGGCGCCAGGAGAGAAGCACTGGGCTGAACAGAAGCTGAGAAGAGGTTCAGGCCTGTGCACAGTAAAGGGATGATGGTGGTGGGTGGGGTGGTCATGCCCCCAATTCTGCCACTATCTCAGGGTAGGTCAGGCATCCACCTCTCAGGAACCAAGAACCATCATCCTCCTCCCTTCTCCAATATTCATTTCAGAGGTCAAACAGTTTGTCATTTAGGTCTTCAAACACAAAGGTTCTCATTATTACCCGCTTTCCCTGGCCACCTGCCCTGCACTCTCCTCAAGTGTTATTATATATGATATAATTATCAGTATGGCTGGATTTAAGTCTTTTATCTTGCTATTTGTTTTCCATTGTAACCAGCTATTCTTTCTTCCTTTTTTCCTCTTTTCCTGATGTATTAGTTTGTTCTCACACTGCGAATAAAGACATAACCAGGACTGGGTAATATATAAAGGAAAGAGGTTTCATTGACTCACAGTTCAGCATGTCTGGGGAGGCCTTACAATCATGGCAGAAAGCAAAGGGGAAGCAAGACACGTCTTACATGGCAGCAGGCAAGAGAAAGCTTGTACAGGGGAACTCCCCTTTGTAAAACCATCAGATCTCATGAGACTTATTCACTAGCGCAAGAACAGCACAGGAAAAACCCAAGCCCATGATTCAGTTACTTCCCACCGGGCCCCTCCCGTGGCACGTGGGAATTATGGGAGCTACAATTCAAGATGAGATTTGGGTGAGGACACAGCCAAACCATATTACCTGACTTTTTTTCTCTTGGTTGGTGAATACGTTTTTTGAAATTGAGGTGAATTTAAAGTAATATTTCAGTAGCATTTATTACATTCACAAGGTTGTACAACCATTGCCTCTATCTAGCTTCAAAACACTTTTATCACTCCAAAAGGAAACCTCATATTCATTAAGCAGTTGCTCCTCATTTTCCCTTCAAACCCTACCATCCCCAGCCCATAGCAACCACCAACTTACATTCTGTCTATGAATTTACCTGTTCTGGATATTTCATGTAAATGGAAACATACAACATATAGCATTTTGTGTCTGGCTACTTTCACTTAGCATAACGTTTTTGAGATTCATCCACATTGTAGCAGCTGTCAGTACTTCATTACTTTTTATGGCTCAATAATATTCCACTGTATCCATATACCACAATTTATCCATTCACCAGTTGATAAACATTTGAGCTGTCTTCACCTTTTGGCTACTGGGAATAGTGCCACTGTGAACATGGTATGCACATGTATTTATTTGAGGATGTGTTTTCAATTCTTTTGGATATATACCTAGCTCTAGAATTGCTGGGTCATATTGTAATTCTATAATTAACTTTTTCAAAGACCTTCGAACTGTTTTCCAGAGGTTGAACCATTTTACGTTCCCACCAGCAATCTAAAGGGTTCCAATTTCTTCACATCTTCACCAACACTTATTTTCCTTCCCCCACCCCTAATTATAGCCATCCTAGTGGGTGTAAAGGGGTACCTCATTGAGGTTTTTATTTACATTTACCTAATGACTAACTACTAATGATGTTGAATACCTTTTCATGTGCTTGTTGGTGATTTATATCTTGTTTGGAGAAATGTCTGTTCAAGTCTTTTGCCCCTTTAAAAAAATAAACTATTTGTCATTTTATTGTTGAATGATAAGAGAACTTTATACATTCTGGATGCTAGAGTCTTATGAGCTATTTAATTTGTAAGTATTTTCTCTCATTCTGTATGCTGTCTTTTCACTTTCTTGATAATGTCCTTTGAAGCAGAAAAGTTTTGTAATTTTTATGAAGTCCAGTTTTGGTTTTACTTTTGTTGTTATGCTTTTGACATCATATATAAGAAACTGTTGATCTATCCCTAGGTTTTCTCCTAAAAGTTTATGGTCTTAGCTCATGTCTTTTGGTTGTCAATTCATTTTGAGTAAATGTCTGTATATGTTGAGAGGGAAAGATCCAGACTCATTCTTTTGCTTGTGGATATCTAGTTTGTCTCATCACCATTTATTGAAGAGACTACTGTTTTCCTAAGACCATTGAATGATCTTGGCACCCTCCTGACTTCCTTTTTGATTTTTTTTTTTTTTTTGGTATTCCACTTTGTCTTTACTGTTGGCTTATTAAAAAGACCTCTTTGCTTTATTTATGTATTTATGTATGTATTTATTTATTTATAGTGATTGCTCTAGGTTTTACAACATGCATCTTTAAGTTTTCTTAGTCTACCTTTGTTATAGTTTGAATGTATGTGTCCTTCCAAAATTTATGTTGGAACTTAAACCCCAAGGTGATAGTATTAAGAGGTGGAAACTTTGGGAGGTAATTTGGAAGGGGAGAGCCCTCATGGATGGGATTAGTGCCCTTATAAAAGGGCTTAAGAGTTTTTTGTTGTTTGTTTTAACCCCCTTTTCCCTTCTACCATGTGAGGTCATAGTGTTTGTTCCTTTCCCTCTGGAGCATGCAGCAACAAAATGCCATCTTGGAAGCAGAGCGTGAGCCCTCACCAGATGCCAAATCTGCTGATTCCTTGATCTTAGACTTCCCAGCCTCTAGAACTAAGAGAAATGAACTTTTATTATTTATGAATGACCCAGTCTATGGTAGATTGCTATGACAGCAGGAAGAGACTAAGACAACCTTCAGATAACACTATATCATTTAATGCGCAATGTAAGGATTTTATAAGAATATAGTTCTATTTCTGTTTTTCTATCCCTTTTGTTATTATTGTTATAGGTTCTATTTCTACATGTTATAAACCATGTAATATACTGCTATTAGTTTTGCCTTAGATGGTCAATTGTGTTTTTTATTTTTTTAATTATATATATATATCTAACATTATATATCTAACATTATATTATATATCTAATGTTATATTATATACCTAACATATTATATATCTAACATTATATATAATGTTATATCATATATAGTGTGTGCATGTATGTGTAGATAGATAGATAGATAGATAGATAGATAGATAGATAGATAGATAGATAGAATGGTTTGGGGTTTTTTTGTTTTGTTTTGTTTTTTTGAGACATGGTCTGGCTCTATCACTCAGACTGGAGTGCAGTGGCATGATCTCAGCTCATGCAGCCTTGAACTCCTGGGCTCAAGTGATCTTTCCACCTCAGCCACCTGAGTAGCTGGGACTATAGGAGTGTGCCACCACACCCAACTATATTTTTGTATTTTTTGTAGAGATGGGGTTTTGCCATGTTGCCTAGGCTGGTCTTAAACTCTCCAGCTCAAGCAATATACCTGCCTCAGCCTCCAAAAGTTCTGGGATTACAGGTGTGAGCCACCATACCCGGCCAAGGTCAATTATGTTTTAAAGGAATTTTGTAACAGAGAAAGAAATGTCTCATATTTACCCATATATTTACCATTTCTGGTGCTCTTCATTTCTTTGTGTAGGTCAGTGGTTTCATGTGGTACCATGTTTTTTCTGCCTCGGGAACTTTATTTTGTATTTCTTGTATTGAAGATCTTCTGGTTTAAAAAAAACTTTAAGCCTTTTGTTGTCTGACAAACATTTATTTTACCTTCAATTTTACAGAATATTTCTGGTGGATATAGAATTCTAGATTGACAGTGCTTTCTTTTTCTTTTATCACTTTAAAGACGCGATTTCATTAAGTTCTAGTTTGCATTATTTCTGAAGAGAAGTCTGCAATTATATCTGTCTTTGTTCCCTGTATAAAATGTGTCTTTTTTTCTCTTTCTGCTTTTAATTTTTTTCTACTTATTACTGGTTTTCAGTGATTTAATTACAAAGTGCCTCGCTTGATATGGTTTGCTTTGTTTTTCTCCTACTTTGGATTTGTTGAGCTTCTTGGCGCTATACGTTTACAATTTTCATGAAATTTGGGACTTGTTTTTGGCCTTCAAATCATCACCGTTAATCCTTTTCGAGGACTCCAGTTTTTAATATCATCTTAAGGTGACTGAGGCTCTGTGTTTCTGTGTTTCTTTTGTTTCCTTTCTCTCTGCTTTAATTGGGACAGTTTCTATTGCTATGTCTTCAGTGTCACAGATATTTCATTCCACAATGTCTAACCTACTGTTAAGTTCAGCCACTGAATTATTCATTACAGGTGTTGTATTTTTTAGCTCCAGAAGTTCCATTTGGTTATTTTCTATATCTTCCAGTTTTTTCTTCACTATGTTCATGTTTTCCTTTAAATCCTTGTTTTATTTTAATTTTTTAAGTCCTTGTCTGCTAACGTTATTATCTCTGTCATTTTGGGGTTTGTTTCTATTAAATGATTTTTCTCCTGATTTTGGGTTCTATTTGCCTACTTATTTGCATATCTAGTATTTTTAACATTCTGAATTTAATGTTGTTAAATGTCTGTATTTTGTTGTTTTAAAAATGGTAAAATTTGTTTTGGCTGGCAGTTACGGTAGTAGCGGATGAACTTCCTCTTTTTGAGGCTGCTTTCTAAACCTTGTTGGAGGAAGTCTAGAGTTACCTCACTTTTCGGCTTAGTTAGCCCTTCTCCTAATGCCTTACCCTTTTGGGATTTCTACTGAATTCCCTGGACAGTCAGCAAGGTTTCTTCACATTGGCGAGTTGAAACTCAAACATTGCCCAGTGAGCCCTGGGAACCAATCAGCTCACAGCTCCGCAGTAGTTCTTTGCATCGCACTGTGAAGTTTCACCTTATGCATGTGCAGCTTAGTATTCAGCAACAGATTCACAGGGATTCCAGGAGCCTGTTTTGCTGTTATATTCTCTCCTTTCTGATACTCTGCCTTGAAAAGTCTGCTCAACTATCTCCTCAACTCAGCAAGACCACTATGCTCTGCTTGGGTTCCCCCTCATTGTGCTGCAATTTAGACAGCATTTTTCAGCAGAAAGTTAGAGTGATAGGGTTTGCCCCATTTGTTCCCTACTTTCAGGAATCACGGTGCTGTGCTACATGCTGTTCAATGTCTGAAAAGAGAGGTTTCATATATTCTGTTCAATTTTAAAGTTGCTCACATTAGAAAGGTACAGCCAATACCAGTTATTTGGGTATGGTAGAGGTGGAAATCTCTACTCCCTCTACATGAAGCACATTAATAAAGTGATCTGCTTCTCCAGTCTCTTCTCAGGAGCCTGGGTTGCAAGCAACAGAAGCTGTTTGTGGCTGATTAAACAGAAAGAAATCTTAAAAGGATCACAGGCAGGTCACAGGATTTAGAAAGGCTAGAGAAGCTGCTCAAGATAGAAACAGTGTCCGACACATGACTCAGGAACTAATTTGATGAGAAAACCACTTTCAATACCATTGCTTTCACCAAACCCTAGACAACTCATGTGTACAGTTGTCACTTCTGAACCAGGAACTCAATTATACCACAACCAACACCACTGCCTGCCCTGATGTGCCACTTCCTGGGTCAGGAACTGAACTGTGTACCCACCACTAAAGCTGCAGCCTCCAGAGACAATGTGCCCTGTATTTAACTCTGGCTACACTAGCTTTTAAGTCTGACAAGGAAAGCAAGAGTCTGTAATTTCAGCTTCTATAAGGAAGGGATATTCTTTTCTTCCCACCAAGGCTCACCATGTAGAAGATTCTTCAAACCCAAAATGTGGTTCTGATGTCCAGTGGCCAAAACATCCACTATGGAAGAACAACTCTGTGTGAGTCTTGGGATGGTTTTCTGGCACTCTTGGTTCTGAAACATAAAATAAAATCATTAATTTCATTTTTGGAGGAGGGATCTGTGATCTAGCCTCCTTTGGAGCCTATGAGAGGAGACCACTCCTAAATCATATGAGTATTCCATACCAGCAACCTCTAAGGAAATGTCCTTTCCTATAGTTCAGCAATGGGTGGTGATGCCATCAGTCACAATGACTAGTCTCCTGACCTTAGGTTGCAGCAGAAAACAGTTAGAAATGAAAATGGCAAAACATTAAGAGCGCTTGAGCCGAAGTTCTCAGAGGCTGGGCCATTCTTCTGAGTTTCTGGTATGTAATCAACTAGAAAAAGAGATCTATGTACATTCTAACTGGGAATGAAAACCAGGCAAACCAATCCTACTGGATTTATTTATCAGCGTGATCATTAGGAACCAGTGACCTTTAAGAAATTGCTGTGGTGTTTAACTCATTGCAGTGTACCTACACTGGAGTGCAAAGAGAAGAGGGTGCCAATGGGAGGTTTTAGTGGCAGGGAGAAAAATAGGGATAGGGGTAGGTAGGGCATGTGGCAGGATGCTGCAGGGAAGGCCAACAGGCACCCTGGGGAGTGAAGAGGCTGCAGTGTGAGGATTCTGGGCATTGTGGTGGGAAGAAGCATAACATAACAGCAGGGCAGCACCAGTGTTAAAGAATGCCCATCATTTTATCTCCTTACCAGTGACTTCTAAGAAGATGGTTCACAGAGGGAGAAGAATACAGGCCAAAATTAGGGATTCAGTCAGTATGGACTCCTGTATTGACAATCCACCTGAAATTTGGAACAAATCACAGATTAGATTTGGAGCCATCTCATCTTCCTCTCCTCTTAACATTTGCCTCTCTCCTAAACTTCTTTTTTTTTTTTTTGAGACAGTGTCTTGCTCTGGCGCCCAGCCTGGAGTGCAGTGGCACCATCTCAGCTCATTGCAACCTCTGCCTCCCGTTTCAAGTGATTCTCCTGCCTCAGCCTCCCGAGTAGCTGGGATTACAGGCACCCGCCACCACGCCTGGCTAATTTTTGTATTTTTAGCGGAGATGGGGTTTCACCATGTTGGCCAGGCTGGTCTCAAACTCCTGACCTCAACTGATCCTCCCATCTCGGCCTCCCAAAGTGCTGGGATTACAGGTATAAGCCACTTTGCCTGGCCTCTCCTAAAATTCTTTATTTCCAGTGTAGCCAGGGGAAGGCCTAGGAACGTTGACCCTTAGGCAATAATGTAGATGTATATTGCTGGTTGCCTCCTCAGCATGCATTCCCCCAGACTTGTCACCCACTGTGCAGAAACCACAGAACCTGGGTAGGTGTGAAACCCCAGCCCCTGTGGGGGCAGGGCTGATATGCCCAATTAGGATAGTCCCAACTCCTTGCCATAGTGATGGTTTTAGGGATGGACAGTAGCCCAGGCCTAAGGCAACAGTCACCTGACAGTTTACTACCCACCATGACTGGTTCAGGGATGAACTAAGTTGAGCTAATCAGAAGAAGTTCAAGACTTTGTTCAATGAGTGGGTCAAGAGAAGCTCTCTTTCCTTCTGGAAAACATGGTATATGGATGGTGATGCCTGGACTTGGTGCAACCATTTTGCTTCCAGGAAAGAAGGTATGCTGAGTAGAAAGTTGACTCATAGAGAAGAAGAAAAACTGAGAGATGTGCAGAAAAAAAAAAAAAGAGTTCTGATCAATTCATGCCTGAAGCTTGGACTGCTTCTGGATTTTTCCATAACAGAAGTCCATACACTTCCCTCATTGCTGAAGCTGGTTCGAGTTGAATTTTCTATGACTTGCAACCTAAAGCATCCTAGCCACAACACCAAATGATCCCTTGGAGTCCATTTTTCCATTTCCTAAGCAGACATGAGGGAACACACAAAATGATGCAAATGAATGTGTTTTAGAACATACTGTCCTCTAGAGTTCTAATCTCAGCTTGATTTAGACAGTCAGTTGCGTGGTTAGGAAACAATCGGAGATGGAAAGGCTCAAAAAGCAAGGAAGAAGTCCAAAGAAGAAGTGGGAAGATAACAACAGAGGACATTAAAAAGAAAAAAAAAAGTAGATGAAATCATAATGTAGATGCCTCAGAGTTATCGTAAAAACCTTGTTCTCTCTCGCCTCCTCTGTCATCCCCACATCCCCACACTGCTACCAAGCCCTGTGGATTCCATCATCCAAATCTCCCTGAAACCCACTGCCTCCTCTTCATGTTCACTGCCATGCTTGGGTCAGACTGTTGTGATCTGTCTCCTCCTGGCTCTTTCTGCCTTCACCCTTATCCTTTCCAAATCCATTTTCTATGAGTCTCAGAGTGACCTTCCCAAATGACAGGTCCAAGCTTGTCATTTTTTTACTCAAAAACTTTTGATACCTTGTCAATGTGGAATATGGCAAATGCATTAGCTTTGAAGAGAGATGATTTTGAAACCTAGCTCTGCCACTTACCAGCTGTGTGATCTGGGGCAAGCTTCTTAATCTCATCATCTAATGTGAACTATAGATATAATATTATAATAGGATTCCTTTGGTTACCAGTTACAGAAAACTAACCCCTACTCACTGGGCAAAAAAAAAAGGGGAAGATTTATTAACTCAAATGACAAATCAGAGAACAGTTGTGCAACAGGATCTCGGGGGTGATGCAAATTAGTAACTCACAGATGGCCTGTTTACTCTCTGCCCTTTGTGATGGGGGAGTAGTGGTGGTGGTGGTGGTGGTGGTGTTCTCTCTCTCTCTTTGCTTCTCTCTGCACTTTAGCTATATTTCCTTGGACTGGCTACTTTGTGAATGGCTGAAACATAAATGACCTACAGCTTCCAGGCTCACATCGCTCAGTTTAGTTAGCAAAAGAGGAGAAACTCCTGCTGTGAATCCCAAATTCAAAATTCTCAGGCAAGGCTTGGTGGCTCATGCCTATAATCCCAGCTTCTTGGGAGGCTGAGGTGAGAGAATTGCTTGAGCCTGGGAGGTTGAGGCTATAGTGAGCTGAGACTGCACCACTGCATTCCAGCCTGGGTGACAGAGTGAGACTCTGTCTCAAAAACACACACAAAAAAAAATTCAGGAAAGAGTTCTAATTGTCCCATCTTGAATCAGGTGTCCACCTAGGGATCAACAGGTACCAGGGGCAGGATGTATAAGAAGACGGCAGCTTCCAAGATTACAGAGATTACATTATAAAAACATTTAGCAGAAGCAAATGGTGCTGTTCTGGATAGACAAACCAATAGATACTCTCTACAAAGTTTACAAGGTTGTTTGGGGGATGAAATAAGATGTCCTATATCAATGAGCACCAAATACCCGGGACCATAACTGGATACAGTATACAGCAGATGCTCTAGAAATTTGTGTTTATTCCCTTCATTACATCCTCGCTCCCAGAACCACTGCTTGCCTAGACAGTGCCTTCATCTTTTGCTACATAGACCAAGGTTCCCCTCTGAGTGGATGCACCCCTATGGGCACAGGGTTTGACAAACAGAAGTCACATTTGTGGTAAGAAAAAAGTGCCCTTCTTGCAATGAACGCAGCCTTGAGCTGGGACCATGCCTTTGTAGTAAGCGTGTGGGTCAGATTTCTTCCTCAGTGGCCCCATTGGCCCTGGCCTTTGGCCTTTGTACAGTGGAGACTGCCCAACCCATGCCAGACCCTGCATTCTTCATATGGCTTTCAGAAGCTCATGGACTGCCTGCATTATATGGTTCCCAATTAAATACAAACCAGTTCCCCAGCACCACTAATCATGCACTCTGTCCACCTTACATGCCTCACCATTCCCAGGAAGTTGTGTGCTGTTCCTTCTTGCTTTGATGCAGTGCTCTTGGCCTTTCCCAGGCATTCTTACCTTACTCCCATTAGACTCTTAAGCCCCAGGTCAATGACATCACTTCTGCAAATCCTTCCTCAACACACCTGGACCTATGTACTAATTGCCTCCTCTGCACCTCCAGAAGCCTATTCTCTATTCTCTAGCACAGCACTGCTCACACTATAGAGTGCTTTCCTGTTTGCTAATAAGTTCCTTGAATGGTTTAGCTAGAAGTGACTGTGGCTTTCCAGCTCTTTGTCCCCAGCCCAGGAATAAAATCTGGCATCTAACAGACCTCAATAAATGCTTGTTAATTGAAATATGGAATGAATTAAGTATGAGAGGAAGGAGGGAGTACAGGAAAAAGAGTAAGAGAAGGCTGATTAGGAATTTCACTGTTCTCAGCCAGATGCAGTGACCTGTAAGCCCAGAACTTTGGGAGGCTGAGGCAGGCGGATCACTTTGAACTCAGGAGTTCGAGACTAGCCTGGGCAACGTGGCGAAACCCCGCTCTGCAAAAAAATACAAAAATTAGCTAGGCATGATGGCACATGCCTGTAATCCCAGCTACTTGGAGGCTGAGGCTGGAGAATCACTTGAACCAGGGAGGCAGAGGTTGCAGTGAGCCAAGATCATGCCTTTGCACTCCAGCCTGAGCGACAGAGTGACAGAGAGACAGAGCAAGACCCTATCTCAAAAAAAAAAAAAAGAAAGAAAAAGAAAAAGAAATTTCACTGTTCTCACACAGACCTGTGTCTGTTTCAACATTTGCACAAATAAAAGGAGAGAAGCAAGCAGACAGCCTATGGGACGCTCAGAAACAAAGTGCTTTCTATCTCCAATCCCTGAAATTTGAGAGCTTTTTCTGTAACTTTTTTTTTTTTTTTTTTTTTTTTTTTACCACTTGGACATTATCTTCTTTGCTCATGGGAAAGTGAGGTTTCTGTTGCGGTCTGATTGGTGCTTCCAGCTAAGGCATTCATGGGCTGACAGGGGGGCATTCTGGATAGCCCCCCTCCCCATCCCACATATACACCAAGTGGGATCAGCTCCAGAGCTCTAAGTATTCCTGGCAGTCAGTTTTGGCAACTCTGTGGGCCAAAAGAATGAGGTCACTGTCACCAATGAAGTCACCACTGCATGATTCATCGGACATCAGTTCCCCACTGGGAATGCTATGACATTCCCAGAGCTTCTCCTACTCTTAGCTCACATTTATAGATGAGAAAACGGAGGCCCAGAGAAGGGAAGTGACATGCTCAAGGTAACACTGCTAACCAGGGTCAGAGCTAGGACCAAACTCAGCTCTCCTGGCTGAGTGCTCTCCTTTTCAAGCTCCTGGATAGACCCTCCTTTCAGGACACGAGTCCCTGCAAATGCTGCCTGAACAAATGGTCCTGCAAGCCAAGAATGGGGCAGGCCCTGCTCTCTTTCTCTCTAAGAGCAAGTAGCAGAGGCCGGTCTTGAACCAGGAACTGACCTTAAGGCACTTTTCTGCCTTCCTCAACCTGTTATTCAGTCCATACAAAATATCTTCCAGATTCATTGCATCTAAAGCAGCTAGCAATGCGCATACCTAGTCGCAGACACGCAGGGCCAAAGGGTGGGTCCTGGGGAGAGGCTCAATGAGAATCTGCAAGGAACTTACAGTGATTTCCGAAGACTTCCTGGGAGAGTGGAAATCAGATTCGGAGTTTGAGAGTTCAGGCCTCCTGGATAGTGAGGAACGGGAATACAACAGTGAGCATTTCCCCAAGTGTGCTCCAAGTCCTTGAGTACTGGGAGCAGCTGGAAGCCTTTGGGACAACCGCTTCACCTTTCTAGGTCTCAGTTTTCTTCCCTACAACCTAAGGGTGATGGTCCAGTTGACCTCCGCGCTGCCTCTCAATGCTGCATTTTTCTAACGCTGTGAATCGATGAAAGGAAGCGATTACCTCTAGTCAGCAAGTTGAGGGGAGGGGTGCGGTGTCAGCGCAGAGTGCACCCCCGCCCCAATGCCCAGTGTTCAATGCTGCATTCTTGGCCAGTGAACAGGACCTGGCCAGATGGGTGTGTTCCGGCATCGCCAGGCAGAGGGGCAGGGGTTGCCGCCTCGAGCACAGGCCAAGTTTCAGAGCACTAGTGTGTATCAGTTCTCCGGGATTACAACGGAATACCTTTGAGGAACATTGGGGACCGAAAGGCGACCTCGGAGAATGTGGCCTCCAGGGGGAGCCCAGGTACATTTGCCGGGTCCGGAGCCGACGGGGTATCCTTTTTCTGGCTGGTGTGTGTGTGGAGGGGCGTGCTTCAGTGGTTCAACACGCTGTATCTCCCTTAGTTACCGGTTTCATAGTAAATGATTAAAGCTCGTGCTACGGAAGGCGTGGGGTGGTGGTGGTGGGGGGGACCACGCAATAAGCCAGGGTTCCTGCTTTCCAGCTCAAGGACCGCCACCACCCCACGCGCCTTAAATTTTTTTTTTTTTTTTTTTACCCTTTTGGTCTCTCCTCCTTGATTTCTAGTTCCGTTGTGCACTTAGAGGCCGAGAGGATGGCTCTGGCCTTCCGGGTGGAGGTGAAATATGCATGTATAATTTGGCATGACTATTGCGTCATCGTGGAGGTCGTCGTGGTTCCCCGAGAGGCCTCCACGTCTTCTCCCAGCATCGGGGCCTTTGGACGCTTCCGGGCGCTGCGGGCACTTGCGCGAGGAGCCCTCGGCTCCCCAGGCGACTCCCCTCCTCCCCTCCGCGGTCCTCGGCTCCTCCTCCTCCTGCGCGCCCCTCCGCGCGGCCCTCGCAGGGAGTGGGGCTCGGGTGCGCCGGCAGGGCCGCGCGGCGGCAGCAGGCGGGGGCGCGTGGCGCGGGCCGCGCTCGGGGAGGCGCCTGGGCCCGCCCTCCTCCGGGGCGCCGCGGGAGGGGCCCGGGTTGGCGCGGGGCGGGGAGAGCCGCCTGGCCCCTCCCCTCCGCCGCCCTCCCCAAAGTTGCCGTCTCCCCCGGGGCCGGCCGGTCTTATGATCCGGCGGATCCTCCTGGGGAGGCCGGGCCGGGGAGAGGGCGCGGGCGCCGAGTGGCGGGGGCAGCGGGCGGGCGCGGCGACCGGGGCCGGGGCGGGGATCCGGGCGGCGACCGCGGCGGCGGCAGCGCCCCGGGCCCGCCGCCCCCTCCCCTCCTGCGAGGGGAGCCGCTGCATGGGGCCGGGGGGGCGGCCCTGCGGCGCGGAGCGGCGGCGACGGCGGCGGACCCCCCAGGCGGGCTGGGGCTGAGCCCGGGGCCGGGGCGGGGGCTCCGGGGGGACCATGCCCGGAGGCCGGCCGGCAGCAGCATGGCTCACGGGCCCGGCGCGCTGATGCTCAAGTGCGTGGTGGTCGGCGACGGGGCGGTGGGCAAGACGTGCCTACTCATGAGCTATGCCAACGACGCCTTCCCGGAGGAGTACGTGCCCACCGTCTTCGACCACTACGCAGGTAAGCCTCGGAACTGCTGACTAAGGGGCCGCTCCCCGGGCCGGGAACTTTGGAGCAACTTTGGCGGAGCCCCCTCGCCGCCTCCCCAGAGCGCACTCCTCTCCCCTCCCCCGCCGCGCCCTCTGCCAGGCGGCCGGCCCCACCCCCGAAGCTTCGCTCCTGGCAACCCCTCGCCCGCTGATCCACCCCCTCTCCCACCCGCCCCCTACGCGGCTCCTGCTCCCCGCACTTCCTACCCCTCGGCGCCCTGGGCCGTCCTCCTTGACCTTCCCACATCCCCTTTCCTACTGCCCCAAGGCCCCGGGGGAAATATTCGAGGGGACCGAGCGAGACGTGGCTACGGGACTTGGGAGAAGGGGGTGGACGGCTGGGGACCACATCACACCCCGGCCCTTTGCCGGTTCACAGTGAGCTGGCCGCACGGGAAAAGGGGGTGACATCTCGCGGGGAGCGCCCCCACGCCTCTAGCTGGGTTGGGAGAGGAGGGTCCGGGTGGGGAGCGAAATTGCCCCAGAGCCCAGGTCACTGTGAGCTTCTCTCCCCGCCCCCACTTCTGTCCTTGCAGTCAGCGTCACCGTGGGGGGCAAGCAGTACCTCCTAGGACTCTATGACACGGCCGGACAGGTGAGTGTCTTGGCCTCTGGCCGACGCCCCCCTCCTGTTCCCCAGTTCTTTGTGGCTGCGAAGGGCCTTTGGAAACCGAGGTGTCTAGGTGGGAGGGTGTGTCTGCGACGGGCTTCCCCTGGATTAGGTCTTTATTTCTTGTAACAAGTCAGCAAATTAGGAAAACAAACAAAACAAACAGAGCCGGATAAGCCCCCCCCATGTGAACCCCTGGGCTGTGAAAGTTTTTGCCTGTGTGGGTCGTTCTGTGTGGCGCCTGGTGTGTGGGTCCCAACTCCTGTTGCAAAGTGGCAGCAGCCAATCATGAAGCGCCCTTATTTTTAGTTGCAGATGACCAGGTCTCCCCCCCACAGCCTCTGTCTGGTCCCTCATTGGTGAGTGGTCTGCCTGCCCAAGGAGCCTGATTGGTGGGAAATGGCATCATCTAATATGATGGGAAGGCATTTGGTCCTGGTTATGTTTATTACAACATCATTGCACTCTGGGACTCCAGTCCCTGAAAACGTAATTTGTGGTGTTACCAAAGGACCACAGGGAAAAAAGAAAAGAAACAACAACCATGTAGCCACTCCCTGGGGTGGGGAGGAAGGGTTAGGAGTTTAGAGTGAATCTTGGAGGAGGAGGGGTTCCCCCCGGCCCTACTTCAGAAGGGCCAGGTGACTTTGTCTGGGTTTTCTTTGGGAGAGATTAATTGTGCAGAAAGAAGATGCACACTTTGCCCTGCAGCCTCTGGCCAGGGTTTGCACATCAGAGGTGGCCAGGCTGTGCTTCTAAAGGGCCAAGGTCTTCTCTCTGTCTCCCTGTCCCAGCTTCAGCCTCTTCCCAAACCCACTTTTGCTCTGGGGATAAGTTGTGTGTGATGAATTTTGTAGAATCCAGCACTATGATTAGAGTTGAAGACTCTGGCAGAAGTTTCCACATGTCATACAGACTTACATCCTTGAGAACACAGGAGCAGCTGAAAGTCTTAGAGAATGTCTTTGGGGGAAGTCCAGTAGTAGAATTTCCTTATCTGCAAAATGGGGTTTAAAAAAATAAGATGATCCCCTGGTGCAGATATTGTATGGCAAATGTTTAGCATTGAACCTGGCACACACTAGGTGCTCAATAAAGGGAGTGATGTACTTTGAAGCTTGTCTAGATTTGGATTTCAGAACTGTGATTAGAGTTTAGGTTGGATTCTGAAACATGCCTTATTGAGGGGGAGTGCCTTGATGTGACCTCTGGTTTCTAAACTGTTAGAGGAACGTCTGAAGATAGAGAACTGCTGGCAGTTCAAGGTCCCTGAGACCACCCCCTTTCACCAAAATGGCCCAGGTCAGTACAGCCAGTTCTCAGCTCTCCTGGGCCCCCATTGGTTGCCTGCCCTGTAGTCGTTATTCCTTCTACCTTCATTGGAGGATGTGGAGGGCAAGGGGCAGAGCTTGCTCAATCAACTAAGACTGACTTTTAAGTCGTATTATTGATAAACAAGAGGTTGACCTTATTGGTTGAAAAGAGGAAGCTTTTAAAAAATCGCCTCTAATTTGAACTTCTCACTACCTTCCTTTCTCTTATCTCCTTTACTTGTGACCATGATAATTTTTGACCGCACTCCCTGTTCAACAGGATGTGTGTAGTCAGAGCTGTTCTGAGTATGTTTAAACCCTGCTAGTATTTACTGAGTTTTTTCCTACATATGGGGCCAGAGGCAGACACATGCAAATATTATTTTATTTAGTCCATAAAACAACCCCATGAGATAGGTGGTATTTCATCTTTGCGGTGAGGAAACAGGCTCAGAGAAGCTAGGTTGCTTGCCTGAGGTCACACAGCTACTGAGGGGTGTTGCTAGGATTGGGACAGGGGTCTGAATCTGCTCCAGTTTGAAGTAGTTATACACACAGGACACCATGGGAATGCTGAGATGCCACGGGGTTGATTGGATTGTTTGTGCATCCATAGTTGTGGTACCTGTAATCTTCACAGCCATTCTCTGAGTGGGTGTTGGATGGCACCTCTACAGAGGAGAGAACTTAGATCCAGAGTCACTTGAAGTTGACCCCACTTACAAAACCAGGGCTTTCCATATATGGCCGTAATTACTCTTTTTAGTGGAGGATCATAAGATATAGACCAAGCAGGATGAACATATTAGTAAGGCTCAAATACTACTGTTTTCACCCAATGCTGGACACCATTGGTGGGGCCTAGATGTGTGTTAGGCCCCATTGGTGTTTTTCCCAGTGTCTAGACTTTTGTTTTTGCATCAAAGCTAGTAATATTTCATCTCCCAGCATTTGAGGGTTTATTACTAATAAGCAACTTAGCAATGATGAGACCAAATGGCAAGTGCCTGCTGTGTACCTGGTACTATGTCCAGGTACTTTTGCACCTGGGGAGTGCAAAGGAATGAATTTAAAATGGGGATCTACCACAGCTGATGTCAGCAAAGGGAGAAATGTCTGTCTCGGGTCTCTGTTCATGTGTTACATAGGAGATCTCTACATTGCACTTGGTCATTAAGACCTCAGGCTTCTAGGAATCCATATCAGATTTGTCTTACAATAATAACAATGATAAATAAACATGTAAATAAAAAGTAAATAAAAAACATTAAGGGTTTATATATATATATATGTATCCGTATACACATATACATATATATATATATATATATATGTGTATATATATATATATATATATATATATATATATATGTATATACATATAT
Organism: Homo sapiens; assembly: GCF_000001405.40. Classification (NCBI taxonomy): domain Eukaryota; kingdom Metazoa; phylum Chordata; class Mammalia; order Primates; family Hominidae; genus Homo; species Homo sapiens. Next base: position 46,546,526 of record NC_000002.12, read on the forward strand.
ATATATACACAAATCCTTAAGCCTAGTGGGCAGCAGAGAAAGGTCCATGGGCTTTGGAACAAAACAGGCCTGGGCTCAGATCTCCACCTTAGCTAGTCATGTGATTCTAGCTAAATTATTTACCTTTGTGATCTAGTAAAAACGTGAATAATTAGAATCTGCATTACAAGGTCATAGGCTGGCTTAAACTCTTTAACATATTTAAAAGCAGCTGATACTTTGTGCATAGTGGGTGAGTGACAAATAGTACAGGAAATTATTATATTCCACTATGGGGAGTTTTGTGGGGAGAAAGGTTCACAGAGTGGAAGAGAACAGTATATTGTGCCTGGAGTTGATAGAAATTCCACTAGAATGCCAGATCCTAGAACCTTTTCAACCAAGGTGTGCAACAGCTTTGCGCATTGTAATTCCCATAGTCCCTATTGTGGGATCCATGGTTCCAAGCCCAGTGCTCCCTGCCGTAAATGCCCTGTTGTATCAGATGGTTTTCTGTCTTAAGCAGAGCCCGTATCCCCATTGATAGAAGAGAAATAGCTTAGAGTTCCATGCAGAATTTGACAGACAAGTAGGGTATGTAGGCTTCAGTTGGTTCTACTTTCAGAGAGTTAAGATGGAATGAGGCAGCTCATGGCACTACAGGTCAGTTGCCTTCTCTCCAAAATGTTCACTCATGCATGTGGGCACTCATTGTATTTGAATAACAGCAACAGTGCCTCCCTCAGTTTGGAACCTCTAGTCCACTTGCTCACTCATGGTCCCTGCCTTAACCCCAGTCAAGTTCAAAGCCATAGGCATCATTTGTCCGACTGACATATTAGGGCATCTACCAGTCAAAGGGTGATTGTTGTAGATGACCTTTGGCCTTCTAGAGCAGGCTGCTTTCCACTTGACCTCTGCTGCTATTAGCAGACAAAGAGAGAGAATGGGAGAGAGAGTGTATTGGACTTCAGTCCCCATCATGTGCACTGCCTGGGGACATCCCAGCACACTCAGAGCACCACTGCCAAAGGGAACACTTCCCCTCTGTTGGCCAAGCCCATGGGTGGTCCAGGAGCAGCTGTCACATTTTGACTGCCAAGCATTTTGGAGTGGAAGTTGACCGAGGCATCTTCCTTCTCACTAGGGGCCTTGCGTGTGTTTTGGGGGTGAGGGGTTGGCTTCCTGCCTGGGCCTCTGTGGAGCTTCTCCTTTCTTGCCCAGCCTTCAGGACTTCAGTGTAGGCTCTGCAGCAACCCCATTGTCTGCTCAAGGAGGGACTGGAGAGATGGGATTTTCCCTCCTGCTACTGCACTGTTTGGAGCGATGGGAAGTGGAAAGAGCTCTCCCTCTCTGTCCAGACAGGCCAGTGGGGAGCTGCCTGGCAAGCTGCTCTCTAGCTGTGGGCTCTAGGCTGATCTCTTAATCCTTGGCAGGAAGGCAGAACTTGATACCCTGGAGAGGGAAGGACTGAAGCCCAGTTTATTCAGGTCCCAGAATATCCACACTCAGGAGGATGTGTGTTGGGGGTGAATTTGGGATCCCTAGAGTTCCAGATTTAGCCACTGTCTCAGTGTGTGGAAGTCAATTTGTGTGCTTTGGGATGTATTGTTTCTATGTCTGTTAACTTAAACACACAAGTTCAGGGAAGCGTCCATGACAGCTATAAATATCTTTTACTCTGGTGTCCCTTGGTGTTGCTTTTTCAATGACAAGTGAGATTTGTTTTACACTTGATATAACCCAGCAGCTGTGGCTGCCCTGCATGCCCTCTGGGTGCCCACAAGGCACTTCCCCTACAGAAGGGAATCTCCACCGGAGGCAGGCTTGGCATGCCCCACCTTCTGCATTTTAGCAGAAGGGCCTGGCATGATGAGAAAAGGGAAGGAGAAAGGGCCATGGGATCACCACTCACCAGGCTCCTCCCACCTCCAGGCAAGTCATCCTCACAACACCCTTCAAGGTAGACTTCTCCCAGATGAGGAAATTGGGAACAAGTGGGCTTATGGGAACCAGACAGAGATGTGATTAGGAAAAAGGTTTTCTACTTTGGAGAAGGCCTGCAGGGAACATTAGTAGGGTTTAGGAAATGCCACTCACAACATCAGACTCTGGGTCCTTGTAGCCCCGTGTTCCATCCTTGCTCAGCCCGGTGAGCAGAGCCTGGGAGGAGCCCCAGGGTTCCTTCCAGGCATCAGCTGCAACAGGTGAGATGCTGGCACTGAGCATCCTGGTTTCCCTTAGTAACCTACTGTAGATTTGTCATGTGTGCATTTTGCTAACCTTTTTAGAAGCTATTTATATCTCTAGCCCACACCGCATCACACGGGAATGCTGGTTTCCTCCTCTGCGTTGGGAAGGTGGATAGCCTTTGTTGACTCCAAAGCCTTTGCTGTGTTCGCTCCAAAGTCTGAATGCCCTGTGTTCCCCTCCTTGGGACTCTGATGTGGGTTTGGGTTATGCCAGCTTAGACTGTGGGCTGGCAGGCAGGGACTTTAGGGTGGGGGCAGTCCCCACCAGCTCTCGTTGGTCTACAATTATGCCTCATAATCGGGCACATAATCTGTGCCCCATCCCCATCCTGGACCTTTGATCTGTTTGGCTTCTCCACTTCCATCATGATTCTCCTGAGGTTTGGTGACATTCCCACGCTTTGAACGACAGCTTCCCCGCAGGTATCTCAAGCATGAGTGTTACAGGTGTGCTGAGATGCCAAGCTCTCATCTCTGAGGGGCCGGGGGAGTGACAGCCTAAGGGGGTTGAGCATGTATTGTCAGTTGCTGTGGGTGCTGTGATGTGAAAAAGGTGGGAAGCATTGCTTTAAGCCCCTCGGGGTCAGAGGCCCCATGGAGAATTGGGCTTTTGCGGTTTTGTTGTGCAGTTTGGGGTTTCAAGAGATTAGATCTAATGGTATGAAAACAAAGCCAACAAAGTAGCTCTCCACGGGGGTGTCCGTTTCCAGAAAGAGCACATGTGTTGGCAGCTGTGGGTGCTACAGAGGCCTCAGACACAACAGCAATGCTTCAGCAGGAGAGGGACGCAGTTACAAAGAAACAAGATGGAAGACCATGTGTGGCTCTTAAAAATTAAAATTCCTGATTCTCAGCTGTATTTCCTTTCTCTCTGACAGGCTTGGCTTTGCCCTAATTTGGCACACTTGGGTCAGAGAGCAGCTTTCCTTGCCCTCAGCAATTTGTCATTCCTCTTTTGGTTTCTGAGCACAGCTGCTTTGCATGTACGGAGGCTGGGCTGTCTGAGCTCTCAGGGGTCCCCCGGCTCCCTGGGTAGAACGCTCTCCTGCCCAGTGCCGGCCAGGACCTCCTGGATGCGTTCTTGCTCTCTTCAAGAACAGTGTCTTTCTCTACCATGTTGCAGTGCTCAGCCCAGTGCCTGCTACCTTGTAGGCATGCAACAAATACATCTTAAGGGGATTCATGGCCAGGCAGGGTGGCATGTTCTTGTCTGTAATCTCAGTACTTTGGGAGGCCAAGGCTGGAGGATCATTTGAGGTCAGGAGTTCAAGACGAGCCTGGACAACACAACAAGACCCCCAATTCTACTAAATTTTTTTTTTTAATTAGCCAGATGTGGTAATGCATGCCTCTGTAGTCCCAGCTACTCAGGAGGCTGAGGTGGGAGGATCACTTGAGTGCAGGAATTCAAAGCTGCAGTGAGCTATAATACAAGGCTTCATTGCACTCCAGCCTAGGCATTAGAGCGAGACCGTGTTTATTTAAAAAAAAAAAAAAAGAATTGATTCTCATTTGACTGTCAGCTTGTTTCTGCTAAAAGGTTAACCAAGGACTAAAGTCATAGCTGCTAAATAATAGCATCAGCACAACCCCTTTTCCAGGAAAGCTTCACTAATACAGTAGAAGTCTTTAAGGTTCAAAGGAGAAACAGGCACATAGGTATGGGGCAGGCCATCAGTTTTGTCTTTACACAGGCCCAGGGGCCTTAGTGATCACCAGTGGGTCTGTCTGTCCCCCAACACTCTGTCTCAGACTCCGGCCTTTGCATGTTTCCTGAGACCTCTTGCTCCCAGATCCCCTGAGGAGGAGACAGGTTGGCAGTGGAAAGAGTGTGGGTTTTGGAGCCTCCAGATGAACTTCGAATCCTAGTTCTACCTCTTTGTAGCTGTGAGACATCGGCCAGCCGGCTCACTTCTGTGAGCCTCTCTTCCTTCTGTGTGAAGTGTGGAGATAATTTATACCCTGCAGCATAGCTGTAAGGATTAGAAATGATGTATGTCGTTACCCTGTAGGGCTTGGTGCTGAGAGTGCGGGCCCAGGCTAGCTCTGGGGGCTTCACACTGGCTCAGTTCGGTTGGTGTTGATTCAATGCCTGGTGTGTGTTCCCACCTTCCACAGGAGAAGGTGGGGGATCGGGCCACAGAAAGGTCCACTACACAACTGGGCAAGTTCATCGTGTGAAATTGAGTGCTGCAGGGTCCCACACAGGAAGAGGTGACAGGGAGGAGCTTTTTGGAAGATCTAGGCTTGCAGGAAGAGATGGGGGCCAGTAGAGTACTGGTTGCCAGTGTGGACCCCCACACTGGACTCCCAGGGCCCAACTTCAGCTCTGCCACTTCCCAGCAAGGGGCTTAACCTTCGGAAACCTGTTTCCTTATCTGTCAGATGGAGATTATGATAGTACCTCCTTGTGGGGTTGTTAGATATGTTGGAGCTTCCCAGCTCCCAGATAAGGGATTTCCTCAGCCCTCAGGGCAGCTGGGTAGGGCCTGGGACAAGCCATGGCTCAGGTTGTCCTAGCTTGAGCAGTCTCACCTCAGGCATGCAGCAGTGGCTCCTCTACTCCACCCGATGTGTGCTGAACACATCATCTCATTTTCTCTGTGTGCCATGAGGTGAAGATTTGGGAAGCATTGACCTAAATGAGTTCCAGCAGGCAGAGGGGTGTGGAGAGCTCATATTCTGAGTGGGAAGAATAGTGTAGGGAGGAACGGCAGAGGGGGTGACCCCAAAGCGTCTTTTTATGGACCCCAGATCCCTGCTATCAGTGTCAACATGTGGAGCAGGGTTGATAACTAAATTATGGAGTTTTTCACCTGGTGACTGACAACTTGGTAATTAAAGAGATATTAATCTGGTGCTGTGTTGCTGGTTGATTTTAATAGAAAGAAAAGAATGTGGGGAAAGGGGTCTTTATTGCTGTCTCTGTTCCTTTTTGAGTGAATGGTGAGAGCACTGAAGCAGCCGCCTCTCCAGATCCCTAGATTTTCCTGCTCTACTCAGGCTCAGGGTAGACTGAGGGGCTTAAAAGTGGCAGGCTCATCATCAAATGACATTTTTACAGCACATAAAGCATGTCGCACCTGGTACCGCCTTGAGTTCCCTCACCTGCTCTGTGAGTAAAGGAAGCCAGTGGTGGCTGTCTCATTTTGCAGATCTGGGGAGGTTAAATGACTCGCTCCAGGCCACACGGTTGGTAAAAGGCAAAGCCGAGATCACCAGGCAGGCTGTCGGACTTTAAGCCCTGGGTTCTTGATGTTAAGTCACTCTCCCTAATCATCTGGCCCATGTTAAATGCCTCTTTTATCACATGCACTGTTGTTCAGCGTTTCATGTAAAAGGTACATTCCAAGCGTATCGCTTTTCTAGCTAGAAGAGATGGTGGAACATTGTGTATAGGTGGAACACGTAGGGACGGCTGCTAAAACGGCTCCTACAAAGACTTCTGCCCCACGTGACGTTACGGGTGTTTTGTCACTTTGTCCCTAAACCACCATGCTTCCTCAAAAAGGAGCAGGCCCGAGGTGGCGCTGATGGCCCCATTGCTCAAGTACGTGTGGAAGAAGCTCATGCCATTTGCCTAAAGCTGTGGCCCCTTCCCAGAAGAGAGGGACAGGGAAATGCTGTTTGGGGGGCTGCCAGGCGGGCCAGCTTTAGCCTGCAAATGACGGGTGTCGTTTGTGTCCCATGGGGGCTACCTCAGGCCTTTCCTTTCTCCCTTCAAGGATTTTCTTATTCAGGGGAAGCCTACCTCTGCAAAACTGTTTGTCCCTCCTTCATCTGAATATTCTCTAAATATGGCGCAAAACTTCCTCTGCCACCTGCTGCTCATATTGTTTGCCCTCTTGGGCCATCCCCATTGCCACCACCTCTGCATGGGCTCCCAAATCCTGCCTGGCTGCTTCCTGTGGTGGCTGGCAAGCCTAGAAGAGAACATTCATCCAGTCAGTCAACATACATTTCCTGAGCACCAGATCTGGGCCAGGGGCAGGTGTTAGAAGATCTGTCAGGCACAGGCCTGGCCCCCAGAGGCACAGTGTTTTGAAGGGTAGGTCAACCATGAGTGGTGGGAGGGCAGTGGGGCCTATTTATTGGGGGCACAGAGGAGGAAGGCTTATCCTTCCAAGGAGGTGAAATGCTAGTAAGAGTTAAGTTGAGTAAGGTTGTTTCCACGAAAGTTGTTTTTTAGCTGGAGAAAGTGATCAGTTTGGATTCTTACACGTACTAGATGCTCAGCGAGGCCTTGAATGGTGGCACTGGTTCTCAAAGTGTGATCCTCAAACCAACATGGATTTCCTGGGAACTTGTTAGACATCCAAATTCTTAGGCTCTATCCCAAATCCTCTGAATGAAAAACTAAGAAATCTCTTTTATAAAAGCCCTTCAGGTGATTGTGACGCAGGCTAAACTTTCAGAGTCACTGAATTAATGACTGTGCACTTCTGTACCTGCTCTTTGCAACCCATCTCCACCCCCTGCCCCCTCCCTCCCTACCACATCCACCGCTGTCTTACATACACACTGTCCCTGGAGTGCAGAGAACATGACTTATTTTATTCTTTTTTTTATTTTTTCAATTTTTAAAAAAATGTTGTGGGTGTATAGTAGGCGTAAACATTTGTGGGGCACATGAAATGTTTAGATACAGGCATGCAATGTGAAATAAGCACATCATGGAGAATAGGGTATCCATCCCCTCAAGCAGTTACTCTTTGTGCTACAAACAATCCAATTACAGTCTTTGAGTTATTTTTAAATGTACAGTTGCATTATTATTGACTATAGTCACCCTGTTGTGCCATCAAATAGTGTCATGTCTTTTTCGAACTTTTTTTTTTTTTTGAGACAGAGTCTCGCTCTATCGCCCAGGCTGGAGTGCAGTGGCACGGTCTTGGCTCACTCAACCTCCACCTCCTGGGTTCAAGCAATTCTCCTGTCTCAGCCTCCCAAGTAGCTGGGACTACAGGTGCCCGCCACCATGCCCAGCTAATTTTGGTATTTTAGTAGAGACAGGGTTTCACCATATTGGCCAGGCTGGTCCCGAACTTCTGACCTTGTGATCCGCCCACTTCAGCCTCCCAAAGTGCTGGGATTACAGGCGTGAGCCACCGTGCCTGGCCCTAACTATTTTTTTGTACCCATTAACCATCCCTACCTCCCGCCAAACCCCCAACTACACATCCCAGCCTCTGGTACCCATCCTTCTACTCCCTATGTCCATGAGTTCAATTG